>NC_000005.10:119806776-120109807 GCF_000001405.40 Homo sapiens
TTTTCTGCTGTTTTGTGGTCTCTCTTTCTTTCCTGTCTGTCTTCCTCTAGTGAAGATGATTTTCTCTTGCGATATGATTTAACTTCTTGTTTCTTATTTTTTTCTGTATCCATTGTATGTTTTTTGATTTGAGTTTACCATGAGGCTTGCAAATGCTATCTTGCAACCCAGTATTTTTATTATTATTATTTTTTTGAGACGGAGTCTCGCTGTCGCCCAGGCTGGAGTGCAGGGACGCAATCTCTGCTCACTGCAGGCTCCACCCCCCAGAGTTTACACCATTCTCCTGCCTCAGCCTCCCGAGTAGCTGGGACTACAGGCGCCCACCACCTCGCCTGGCTAATTTTTTATACTTTTAGTAGAGACGGGGTTTCACCGTGTTAGTCAGGATGGTCTCGATCTCCTGACCTCGTGATCCGCTGCCTCGGCCTCCCAAAGTGCTGGGATTACAGGCGTGAGCCACCGCACCCAGCCACAACCCAGTATTTTAACCTTATAACAGCTTAACAGTATTTGCATAAACTAATACAAATTCGCTTTAACTTTGTTCTCCAGCTTTTAAAATTTTTGTTTTTTCTATTTATATCTTATTGTACTGGCTATGTCTTGAAAAGCTGTTGTAGTTCTTATATTTGATTGGTTCATCATTTAGTCTTTCTACTTAAGATAAGAGTAGTTTGTACACCACATTCACAGTGTTTTGATATTCTGTGTAGTTACTATTACCAGTGAGTTTTGTACCTTCAAATGATTTCTTCTTGCTCATTAACATCCTTTCTTTTTCACTGAAGTACCCTCTTTAGCATTTCTTGTAGGACAGGTCTGGTGTTGATAAAATCCTTCAGCTTTTGTTTGTCTAGAAAAGTCTTTCTTTATTCTTATGTTTAAAGAATGTTTTCATGGGATATACTATTCTAGCGTAAACTTTTTTTTCCTTCAGCACTTTAAATACGTCATGCCACTCTCTCCTGGCCTGTAAGGTTTCCACTGAAAAGTCTGGTGTCAGATGTATTGGAGCTCCATTGTATGTTATTTGTTTCTTTTCTCCTGCTGCTTTTAGGATCTTCTCTTTATTCTTGACCTTTGGGAGTTTGATTATTAAATGCCTTGAGATAGTCTTCTTCAGATTAAATATGCTTGGTGTCCTATAACCTTTTTGTACTTGGATATTGATATCTTTAGATTTGAGAAGTACTCTGTTACTATTCCTTTGAATAAACTTTCTATCCCTGTCTCTTTTTCTACCTCCTTTTTAAGGCCCATAACTCTCAGTTTTGCCCTTTTGAGGCTATTTTCTATTTCCTCTACGTGTGCTTCATTGTCTTTTTAAATTCCTTTTTTTAATCTCTTCTGGCTGTGTATTTGCAAGTAGCTTGTCTTCAAGCTCACCTATTCTTTCTTCTGCTTGATCTACTCTGCTATTAAAGGACTCTGATGTATTCTTTAGTGTGCCAATGGAATTTTTCAGCTCCAGAATTTCTGCTTGATTCATTGTAATTATTCAATCTCTTTGTTAAATTTATCCAATAGAATTCTAAATTCCTTCTCTGTGTTATTTTGAATTTCTTTGAGTTTACTCAACACAATTATTTTGCGTTCTCTGCCTGAAAAGTTACATATCTCTGTTTCTCCAGGATTGGTCCCTGGTGCCTTATTTAGTTTAGTCGGTGAAGTCATGGTTTCCTGTATGGTGCTGGTACTAGTAGATGTTCTTTGGTGTCTGGGCATTGAAGAATTAGGTATTTATTGTAGTCTTCACTGCCTTGGCTTATTTGTAGCTGTCCTTCTTGGGAAGGCTTTGCAGATATTTGAAAGGACTTGCGTGTTGTGATCTAAACTGTTTCTGCTTTAGGGGGCACCCTAAGCCCAGTAACACTGTTGTTCTTGCAGACTCCTAGATATACAAGGTGTTCTTGCATAACACCTTGATGGTCTTGGGCAAGATCTGGGAGAATTCTCTAGACTACCAGGCAGAGACTCTTGTTCTCTTCCCTCACTTTCTACAAAACATATAGGGTCTCTTTCTCTGTTCTGAGCTACCAAAAGCTGGGGGTGAGATGACACGAACATCCCTGTGTTTACCACCACTACAACTGGGCTGCGTTAGACCTGAAGCCAGCATAGTGCTGGGTCTCACCCAAGGCCTGTTGTACCCACTCCCTAGTTAATGCCTGTGTTCGCTTAAGGCCCTGGGGCTCTGCAATCAGTAGGTGGTAAAGCCATTCAGGTCTCTGTCCTTCCCTTCAGGGAAGTGAGGTCTGCCAGGCCCCAGGTGGGTCCAGAAGTGTCATCCGGGAGTCAGGGACTAGAGTACAAAATCTTAGAAGTATACCTGGTATTCTATTGTATTGCAGCTCAGCTGGCACTTAAACTACATGGTGCAGTTCTTCCCACTGTTTCCTCTCCTTTCCAAAAAAGAGAGGAGTATCACCCTATAGCCCCTGCCAACCCTGGCCACAAGGAGAACTCCCAGACTACCACTGATGTTCCCTTAAGGCCCAAGGTCTCTTAAGTTAGCTTGTAGTGAATGCTGCCTGGCTTGGGACTCACCCTTCAGGGCAATGGGCTCTCCTCTGACTTAGGGCAGGTCCAGAACTGCTGTCCAAGAGTCAAACCCTGGAACCGGGGACCCCAAGAGTCTGCTTAGTGCTCTACTGTGGTGGTGTTGGTACCTAAGGTGCAAGATGTCTCCTTTGCTTTTCCCTCTGCTTTTCTCAAGCAGGAGGAGTTTTGCCCCGTAGCCACCATACCCTATAATGTGCTGGGTCTCACCTGAAGCCAGCAAGTCTCAGAGGCTCACCAACGCCCTCGATCTAGTACTTGGGATGTTGCTGTTGGTTATTCAGGGCCCAAGGGCTCTTCAGTTAGCAGGTGATGCATACTGGCAGGAATGGGTTCTTTCCTTCGAGGTAGCTGGTTCCCTTCTGGCCCAAGATGTGTCTAGAAATGTCATCTGGGAGTTAGGGCCTCAAATGGGAGCCTCCTGACTCTGACTGATGCCCTATACTGCTGTAGCTGAGCTGGTATCCAAGATGCAGGACAAAGTCCTCCCTACTCTTGCCTTTTCTCTCTTTGAGTGGAGGGAAGGGTCTCTTTTGGAGCTGTGAACTGTGCAGCCCGGGGTTAGGGGATGGCACTTTGGCTCTCTGTGGCAATGTTTGCACACAGTGAAGTTCAGACCACTGGGATTGGTGATTCCGCTCTGGGTAGGGGTGGTTTAAAGGCTCCCTTTGTGGGTGGGCATTAACTGAGTTTGGTCCAGTTTTCCTTTCTGCTCTAACAAGAAAGCACTGAGTTCAATGCCTTATAATTGCTGTGTTCTCCCTCTCCTAGTGCCCAGAGATGCTCTCTGCACCTTGCCTCCACTGCTGGGGGTGGGGAGGGATGGCATGAGTGATTCAAGGCTATTTTTGCTATCTCTTCAGTGTCTCTTTCAGCGATATGAAGTTAAAACCAGGTACCATGAGTGCTCACCTAATTTTTGGTTCTTATGAAGGTATTTTGTGTGTGTGTGTAGATAGTTGTTGACTTGGTGTTTTTGCCCCAGGGGATAATTGGTGGAGTTTTCTCTTCTGACATCTTGCTGGAGCAAGATGAAAATGTTGACTCAATTAGTTCTTAAGGTCACAGGAGTATAAACCCTCTGCATGGAACTTGTTTCACTATCTGGTTTGTGTTCCCAATGTCCTGCCAAATGGCACATGTTTTCTAAAAATAGACAACACATTTTATTGCTGCTAAATAGACATAAACCCAAAAGTTAACAGTTACAAAATTTCTTCTACAAAATCTATTATCAAATACATGTTAAAAACTTGTTTCCCAATCTCATGTATTTTTTTCTATGCAATAGATTTTTTCTTTTAATCAAAACTGCCTACCAGTCATTAAAATTCTAAAACCTTTAAGGATACATAGAAATGTTTTGTCAACTATAAAGTTTCTATGCTACAGTGATAAATTAGTTATATTATTCATGTTTGTTTATAATTTTCATAGTACCCTGCAGATATGAGTGGCAAGTTATAGGAAAGATTTACATCTAATACCTCAGAATTTCCTAATAGAAGTTGATTGGTTAATCTGGCAGTATTAAGTAGCTGCCATGATCTCCTTCAGCTTCTTGTCCTCCCCAGCTCCATTTGACTAGGCTCCCAGCAGGGATAGAAGCACAGTGGTCATCGAGTAGGGATAGCAGTCACAGCAGTCTCCCTACCTTTCTCAGGGAGAAGGAATCTGCTCCTGGAGGATAATTATCAGAACTGATATTTGCATGGCTTTTGGCAAGTGTAAAGTATATATCCCACATTATCTTTAGAATAAACATAGCAGGTAAGTTGGGATGGTTGTTATTTTTGTCCTTGCTGATGCTAGTATTATTATTATTCTTTATTACTTCTGATAGAGATAGAAATTGAGATACAGACAAAAAAGAAAACTATTTTAGAAAACTTACATGGGTTGCCCAGTGTCCCATACATAGTAAGTGGCAAAGCATAGACTTGAATCTTGATCCTTGAACTCTAAACCCTTTTTTCTTTTCTATTGGCAAACCTGAATGCCCACTTAAGGCTAGGCATTAGACTAGTCCCCTTACCATAACTAACTGATAATTGTGAATTTGTGACATATTTCCACTTTTTCAGAGTTAAAGCATGTTGAGTATCTTCCTATTCTTGATGCTTGAATAATAGCTTCGGTTGTAGCACAATCCACAGTACAATTTTATACTGCATATCTCCAGGTTTCTTTTTTCTTTCTTGGCTTTTATTCATCCTGATGGGCAAATTCCTATGTTAATCTTTCTCTCTTAGTGTTCTTTGTTGAGAAGTATTTTCACTGTGGGACATCCTCTCTCACTACTTTATAGGCAGCTTCTTTTTTCTCAGTAGTGAACACACTGTGCTAAGCGATGTGTCAAGTTTGTTTTATCTTCTTCAGGCGTTTGAAGTTCTAGTAAAAAGACTGACTACCCAAGGGCATCACCCTTTCTGGTAGGGTTCTGTGTTGCTAGCTTAGATGTATGAGGCCCATTTAAAACCATCTTTACGGGGCTTCTCATGAAACGACTCTTACAATATTAAAGGTTTTAAAATTTTATTTTAAAACTCTCTTTTTGAAATCATTAAAGTTTTATTTTTATCAGAGAAATATATGTCTATATTACAAAGTAAGAAAGACAGAATAGTTTTAAATACATAATGAGTTTTTTTTGTCCTCACTCCATCCTATTCTCACACCTACTTACCACGGGCAACCTATTATTTTAATTGTATCTGTTTCTAGTTATTCTAGTCATTACCTTTATCACTGTAAATACTATGATAATTCCTTTATTTTTTGATTTATGATCACTAGAGAAGAGCTGCTGACATTACCTGCATTCCTAAGGAATGCATTTGTCTCCCTTGCATAATTTCCACCACTTTGCCCCATTTTCCTTCTTTCCATTTCTTCTAATTTGTAAAATTTCCTATTGGTTCCCATTCTAACTTGCAGTAATATCCATATATATTTATTATTTGACATTCACTTTATTTTATTTTATTTTTTGAGACAGGGTCTTGCTCTGTCACCTAGGCTGGAGTATAGTGGTGTGGTCACAGCCTCGACTTCCTTGACTCAGGTGATTCTCTCACCTCAGCCTCTTGAGTAGATGGGACTAAATGTGCACGCCACCATGCCTGGCTATTTTTTTTTTTTTTTGTATTTTTGCAGAGATGGGGTCTCTCCATGTTGTCCAGGCTAGTCTTGAACTCTTAGGCTCAAACGATCCTCCTGCCTTGGCCTCCCAAAGTGCTGGGATTATAGGCGTGAGCCACTGTGCCTGGCCAATTTTACATCCACTTTCAATATTCTCCTTTGAATCCCTGATATGTAAGATGGATGTTTTAGAGTCACTAACTTTTCCACACAACTGTCTTTCCATCACTCAACTTCTAGCAGTTATAACTCTACATTTGTCAAATTGAAAACATTTGCAATTTATTTTGTAATCATAATTAATCTTGTGCATTTCTATAGGCTAATTCTTAAATCTGAAAATTAATAAAAAGTGTTTACATCATTATATCAAAATTGTAATAAGTTACAAACTTATTACATCATAATAAGTTTTTATTTCTGTCTCCTCGGGGAAGAGTGTGGCATCAAGGCCAAATGAAGCATTTTTTCTTACACTTCAACATTTTCTCATAATCTTGCACATTTTAGTTAGCAACATTTTAGAGTCATGACTCTTCTGCATAGTTTTCATTTTCCTGGGTTTTTTTGGTTGCTTTTTCTTTCTTCAAGATTTTCTCCTTGTCTTTGATTTTCTGCATTTGAATATGACATGTTTATTGTCAAATTTTTAGTATTCATTCTGCTTGATGTTCTTTGCACTTTGTAGATTTGTGGTTTGGTGTCTGTCATTAATTCTGGAAAATTCTCAGCCATTATAACTTCAAATATTTCTTCCTTTTCTCTCTCTCTTTTCCTTCTGCAATTCTCATTATGCAATTTACACCTCTTGTAATTGGACCACAGTTCTTGGACATTTGATTTCATCTATTTTTCTTTTTTCTTTTAAGTTTGGACTCTTTTACTGGCGTATCTTTAAGCTCACTGATTCTTTCTTCAGTCATATTCAGTCTACTGATGATCTCATAGAAGGCAGTCTTTATTTCTGTTACAGTGTTTTTATTTCTAGCATTTCCTTTTGATTCTTTCTTAGTTTCCATCTCTTTGCTTATGTTACCCATCTGTTCTTGCATGTTGTCCCCTTTTTCCCATTAGAACTCTTAGCAAGTTAATCATAGTTATTTTAAATCCCTAGTCTGATAATTCTAAAATCTCTGCCATATCTAAATCTGGTTCTAATGTTTGCTCTGTTTCTTCAAGCTGTGATTTTTTTTTTTTTCATTTTAGCATGCTTTGTAATTTTTTTTTGTTGAAAGCCAGACATGATGTATTGGGTAAAAGTAACTGAGGTAAGTTTTATGTTTATCTGGCTAGGAGTTAGGCTGTGAGTAGAAAAAAAAAACTTTAACATTTCTTGCATGTATAAAAATGCCATCTTACCATTCCCTTCCCTGATGGATAATTTGGGTATTCTAAGTTTAAAATAATTTTCAGTGTGGCTGATGAAGTCTGAGGCCAATATGATTATAATGTCTTTAGAGACGTAACTTTTTAAGCTATGATGAATTTTTGGAACTTTCATTTTTACTATGGGTATTCTGAAATTTTACAAATAAGTCTTTAGGTGTGGGCTTTTCATTCATTTGCTCAGGGACCAAGGAGATCTTCCAATCTGAAAATCGTTTATCTCCAACTCTAGTAAGTTTTTATTCTTTCTTTGATAACTTCAAATCCTTTACTTTTCTGAAACTTGATTATTTTTTCATGATTAAGAATAAAGGGCACAGTTTGATTAAGCTAGTAGTCAATGTACATTTTCTTCTACTGTTGTGTCAGCAGAAGTGTTTTTTCTATGTTTCTCATCTAAATGAGAAGTCTGTGTTTGTGGGCAGAACTTGTTGACGGGCAGCTTTCTTTTCAGACTATGTAAGCAGAGGTGAGCAAGGGATTTTTTTTTTTTTTTTTTTTTTTGAGACAGAGTCTTACTCTGTCGCCCAGGCTGGAGTGCAGTGGCAATCTTGGCTCACTGCAATCTTTGCCTTCCGGGTTCAAGCAATTCTCCTGCCTCAGCCTCCCAAGTAGCTGTGACTACAGGCGTGCACCACCATACCTGGCTGATTTTTGTATTTTTAGTAGAGATGGGGTTTCACCAGGTTGGCCAGGATGGTCTCGATCTCTTGATCTTGTGATCCACCCACCTTGGCCTCCCAAACAAAGTGCTGGGATTACAGGCGTGAGCCACCGCACCGAGCCCCAAGGGGATCCTTAAGTGCCTAAATAAGTGCTTTCATCTGGGAGTACCAACCTGTACCCTGGAAGCTTATGTGCAGTTAATTGGATTGCCTTAGAGATGACCTCTGCCCTTGCTCTGCACGAAGTATTTTACCTGTGAATAGACACCCAGAAGAAAGCTGTGTGGTTGAGACAGGAACCGGATACAGTAACCAGCAGAGGTTGCTGCACAGTTAAACCGCTTGTGTTCTGTCCTGTTCCCACTGCTAGCCTCAGTGTGTGCTCACTTTCAGCTTCCGGTCTCTGAAGTTCAGTCACTGGGCTCAACTTTCAGCTTCACTACATCCAGCATTTCCCCTAGTTTTATCCATCGACTTGCTTGAATCCACTGTTTCCTAGAAATTCATTGAAATCCTTTGCGAGCTGATGACTATGCCTCGTTCTTTGCATTGTTATAGTTCTATTCATTTTGTATGTTTATTGTGTTGTTTCAACAGGCTGGTGAAAAAGAGAGATAAATGTGGATGCTTAGTCCATCTCTTTGAACCCAGAGTCTTCTAATTTAAAATTTGTCTTAGTTATCTAAATAATATATGAAAAATTGTTACCGTAAAATTCTAAGAACACAATTATACAGAATAAAAAGTTAAAATCTGCCTTTATCTCTGTCCCACTTTCCCTCCAGCTGCTCATCATCAGTTGACCTTTGCCATATGCAAGCCCCACTTACCCACCTACTTACTTCCTCACATATAACTACTGTTGGTAGTTTGGTATATAACTCAGTAGACTTTTCTCAATGTATTTTGAATCAAATATAATTATAAAGGTTTGTTCCCTGTTATAATAAGTACATTTATACTCCATGTATCATTTATGTAGCTTGCCATTATTATAGAATGACTACATTTCTTCCTCAAATTAGCTGAAATAAACTTGGATTGAATCCTTTCCCTTAAGATAGCTATTTTGGATATCGAAAGTTTGATATTAAGTCATAATTATCTGATAATCATTTTGTAATTTAGATTTTATTTATTTTTAATTAAATTATTCCTGTTAAGCATTTTTCCCTTTTACTATAAATTATGCAAAAAATAGAAGTTCTAGGCTACTTATAATAAAAGCATTTTGGCTTTTATTAACATCGTTTTTTAAAAGAAGAAATTGCAGTTCAGAAATACTGTGATTTTCACAAGGTCACATGGATAATGATCAGAGGACAAGAGTTTCCTGACTCCTATCACAGTGTTCTCCAGCCAGACAATGTTTCCTTCTAACTGAAAACTCTGCTTCTCCCAGGAGAAAAATAAAACTACTAACAAATATGAGTGAACCTTTCAACTAGAATAAAACAAAGACTCTATAAAAAAATATGTAAGGGGGCATTTATGTGAGAAATATATCCAGTAGCTCTTGGCACATGCACAGTTAAAAATTATCATATAATAAGCAAAGATAATCTGGAGAGTGTGTGTAAATCTTTTCTGACAATTTTCCTGACAACCTGCCCCATCCTGCCCAGCCCAGATAGTTAAACAGTTAATCTCTCCCTTTTCTAAACTTTATTATCCTTTTGACTCTGAATTATGACTTGTTTCATGTCCATATCCTCTCTTAGTAGCAAACTCCTTGATTACAGGGACTTTGTCTTATTCATACCTGAACCCTAGCACCTGGGGCAATACATGGAATGTGCAAGGTGCTCACTAAATGTTTCTTGAATGAATAGACACCTTGAATTACTATGCCAAATTCTTTAAATTTGACCCCTAAGGATAACTAACTGTGGGCTGTGACAAATATTAATTCTATGAATAATCTTATAGGAAGGAGATTCTAAGTATTTTTTATGATAGTTATGAGATAAGACAGTGTAATAGCCTCATAATTTAAAGCAAACTAGGAAAGAAGTTTGTATCTATTTTTTTCACTCTGAATTTGTAGACAGAAAACATTACAGTTTTAGAACTTGCACAAAAATAAGCATATCACCCAATAAAAACATTCAACTATGTTTTGGGCTGACTATATTTTAAAATCTCCCTTGCTAATCAGCACCCCTCACCTATTGCTTAAAGTATGGGCTAAAGTATCTAGCTGAAATTTAATAATGTTTTGCTTTCATTGTTTTTTATTTAATTGCAATAACCTGCCATTTATGGTTAATGACAGCTTTTTATTCATAGTATTGGCATTAAATTTCCCTTTAATGATAAACTAATTTATATTTTAAAGTGGGCCAATTCAAAGAATGACAGTAAGGAAAGGATAGTACAGGGAGTGCCACATGATATTAATTGTGGCAGTTGCATATGAATGGCTAAAGCTTGGGCATACTAGGTTATAGTGTAAGGCCAGAGCTGGTGTCTAATTCCAGTAACAGCTCAACCAAAGCCACATTTGTACAGCTAGAGAGTCTGACTCAGTAGCTTTAGTGTGACTCCTAAATGGGTTGTGGATGGAGAACTAGGATTTCTGGCCTAATGTGAATGAATGTGGAGTCTTGCCGAAGTCCTGTGAAGCTTTAGAAGACCAGGGCTGTGAAGGGCAGGCCTAGCTAGAGTCCTGAAGGCCACTTACAGTGGACTTTTTTCTCAATTTCTTCATCTCCCATTCACCTTTTTATGCAGTCCTGTCTGGCATCCACCTATCTCACATTACTCTACCAATACAGCTCTCACATAGTCAGTAATCACCTTCCCAGGGCATTTATCAATCCCCATCTTTCTTAACCTTTCTCTAGCTTTTAATATGTATTTTCTTTCCACCATTCCTTACACATTTCTTTTCCTTGGCTTCACGACACCTCATTCTCCTGGTTGATTTTTAATCATATGGTTTCAGGAAGGCAACCAAAGGGATAGAGGTTAGCTTTGCAAACTCATTCTCACTTGTTAAGCCACTCAGTGTGGGTTTCCTCAAAGCTGGAGCCTAGGCTCTCTTTTTTCCCCTCTGGACTCTTGCTCTGGACATGGAATCCACATTAACATTGAATTCTTACCCGTATGTAAAAGACTCACAAATAAATACGTCCAGCCAGATCTTATCTCTAGGACCTAGACCCATCTACCTAATTGCTATGCTGACAACTTTACGTTGATGAGGTGTGAAAATTCTGTCCAAATCAGCTCTGGGATTGCCCTCCTTCTTTCTGCCTGTCTCCATTATCAAACCTAGTCCTTGTCTCCTGTCTTCTATCTCAGTAAACATTGTCTTATTCCAGACATTACCAAAGCCAGAAACCTAGAGTCACCCTAATACCTCCTGGAACCTTACATTCTATATCCAAGCCATACCCAAGTTTTGGAAGCTTCACAACTTAAATATCTCTCCCTGTTTTCTCTCTCTGCCTCTAGATTATTATTACTGCCATTTCCCGTTCAAGCTGCCATCTTCTCTCCTGCATGACTACAATGGCTTCTATGTCCCCCTCTCTATTTTTTGTTTTTCATTTTCTTGCTACTTCCCTTCCACATTCTCTATGCTGTGCATTCTCTTCCTTCTTCCTGAGATGCTTCATCTGTTCTCCAACCTTCACATCACACAAATTCAAATGTCCACCAAGGATCACTCTGTCAGAGAAACCTCAGCTCTTCTCCCTGACTACAACAAATCCTCCCATGATAAACTAACATGACACTGTATGCCTTCCCTTCATGACACTTAATCATGGTAATGGTTTTACCTCTACTGTGTGTTTTTGTTAGTTTATGTCTATCTTCTCTGCTAAATCATGTTAGCTTTTGTTCACTTGAGTATTTACTTTTTTTTTTTTTTTTTTGAGATAGAGTCTCGCTCTGTCACCCAGGCTGGAGTGCAGCGGCGCGATCTCGGCTCACTGCAAGCTCCGCCTCCCGGGTTCACGCTCTTCTTCTGGCTTAGCTTCCCGGGTAGCTGGGACTACAGGCGCCCGCCATCACGCCCGGCTAATTTTTTTGTGTTTTTAGTAGAGACGGGGTTTCACCTGTGTTAGCCAGGATGGTCTCGATCTCCTGACCTCATGATCCACCCGCCTCGGCCTCCCAAAGTGCTGGGATTACAGGTATGAGACACCGCGCCCGGCAGAGTATTTACTTTTTAGGAAAATTTCTGGTACATACTAGATACTTAATAAATAGGTATAGAATAAATGAAGAACCAAGTAAGGCCATGAAGTTGGTGTTGGAAGAGCGCAAAGGTAATGAGATTTGAGCACGCCAAGGGCAAATGGTCTTTTCACTATTTAGCTATGGTGAGAGTGAGTGGCTTTTCTGGCTACTGAATTGGAACTAGAGATACCAGAGAGAGTGAGATTAAGAGTAACTGGCGATATTGCTTCTTTGAATGTTTCTATTCTCTAATTTGCACTTCTCCTCATGGGCTAGGTTTTTGGTGTGAGAGTACATTTATAGGAAATGGTTAATTGTGGGATTTGGAATATAGCAGCTTTGCTGGATTAAAAGTATTTTCAATGGCTGGGAAGATTTTCCTAGGGTGAAAATACTTACTCAAAGGTCGTTTCTATATTCAAATAAATGGTTTTCTGATGGCATAAACTAGATATTTTGTAAGGTACTTGCAAAAAAAATAAATCTTTGTTCATTTAAAAATCATACATTTGTGTGCAAGTAAAACTGCCTGTCATGATTTGAAAGGATTATTTATGGTTTCTAAACATTCGTCTCTCCCAACTTGGCTCATATATTGCCTTTACAAAGTGGAAACTGAATTCCATTAGAATGTTCTATTTTTCAATATATACACCTTGTTATATTGTATTGTAATATGATTACTTTCAGTTTCCCTACTTGCTATATTAGAAACTGCCAAAACACATTAAATAATGTTTAAGTTTTTACTATAAATGTACTGATGACTGTGACTAATACTCTTGGTGATCATTTCAAAGGTAATCTTTAGTAACAGTAATGTTTTGCATTGACCCAAGAAGAAAATAGTTCATAGTAATGTAGAAAATAATAATTATGAAAAATGGTTATACAATATACTCTCCAAGACCTTACAAGGTGGAAAGCAGAAGTGTAGCATTTACTTTATGTATTTTACTTTTTTGAGACAGGGTTTCACTCTGTCACCCATGCTGGAGTGCGGTGGCGCAATCAGGACTCGCTGCACCTTCAAACTCCTGGGCTCAAGCGAGTCTCCTGGTTCAGTTTCACAAAGTGCTGGGATTACAGGCATGAGACACCATGCCTGGCCAGAAGTGTAGAGTTTAAATGACATTTCTCCGAATTTGAATTTTAGAAATGATTTCTTTGGCTTACATTGAATTGCATTGTTTGATATTAAACAGGTATCATGTAAATAGAACATTGTATTAATATGATTTTTTGTGACTATAAAGTTCTGGAATTCTTGAACTCTTAAATTATGTTTCTCTGTCTATGAGATGGTGTTGCTTAGGGGTGAGGAACAGACTGAGATCTGACAAAAGAGTCTCAATGATGCCACGTCCCTAAGAAATTATGATAAAGAGAGGCAATCAGACTGAAGAGTACCCATCAGACTTTGGAAATTGTCTCTGTTGTTCTGTTTTGGCCAAATGCTTGCTTCATAGGAGGAGACACCATCTGCTTTAGGCATTATTCACACTGAGGGGGGCATGAGCAGTAATTAAGAGGAGATAGTGCATAGGCTGTTAACCACAGAGGAAGACTTCAGAGGAATTTGGTACTGTGCACAAACATATAATTAGGAAGGACACTCATAGTTAAAAATTTGAAGAGAAATGCACACATTTGGTACTGAAAATGAACTTATTTTTAAAGACCAGTTTGCACTTTTTAGACAAGAGCAGTCTGTATGATTTGAAATATCTATGTCTTCCCATCTTTTTGTTCTCTTCCTCTACTGAATTTGAGGATAATTACTTTAGTATGTTGGTATGTTCTTTGACCATACTTTCAAATTAGAATATGTATGGTGGTTCTCCGTAGCTACTTCTCAGTGCATGAGCAGGTGCATTGGATGGGGGCTGTATTGTGTCCTGAGCATACACACTCATAAGGGGCTTATAGAGGTCATCAGCTTTACCTGGAATGAAGTCACTGATTGAAACTGTAAGTTTTGATCCAAGATTTCCATTGAATTGTGACAGCCACACCGTGGAACTAATGTACTGTCATATTCTCTTTGTTTTTGTTGGTAGCTTCAAGAAAAATAATCTCTGCTGTCAGAGAAAAAAGCTTTATTTCCAGGTAAAAGGCACAACCATGGCAAGTGTCGGGATTATTATAAAACTTGTCAAATCATGGCAGGCTTTATTATGATATTATGGTAATTTATCTTAACTCTCAGGAGATTTTGACAATTATTTCCCAATTTTAGTGACAGAGGAGATGTATAGTGATCAAAAACCTCAAAAGCATTGTTTGGCCTCCTGAGAAACTCAGTGTGGTCTGTATATATGCTTAGGAGATTTATTTTTGTAATAAAATGAAAGAGTTTTATAATCTT
This sequence comes from Homo sapiens, assembly GCF_000001405.40. Taxonomy (NCBI): domain Eukaryota; kingdom Metazoa; phylum Chordata; class Mammalia; order Primates; family Hominidae; genus Homo; species Homo sapiens. Next base: position 119,821,090 of record NC_000005.10, read on the forward strand.
TCTTACTCCCTTTTTCTCCTAAACCATAGGGACAATTGGTATTAATGCTTGTATAGTTTTATTTTTGAAAACAGCCTGTGTGTTATGGGAAAGCAATTTATAATTTTAGCTGTTTGATGAACTATACTTACTCAAGGAAATCAATCATAAATTTATCTTGGGTCATATTTTTTTTTCTAAGAACTAGTCTGTAACCTCAATGACGGCAGGAACCATGACTGTTTCATTCATCTACATAGCCTGGGACATACTGTGTGCTCAGTAAATATATATTGTTTGGATGGTTAAATGAATAAGAAATAATGGCAGATTGCTGACTAGTATTATTTAGTAGATGGCATATGCAATGAAGACAATTATGGTTTTTCTCTGCATGCTAAGCATCATGTAGTGTGTCATGCAGATTTAAAATACAGGGTCCTGCTGACCATGTTAGACAGGAGAGGGAAGAAAAAAGGTACAATAATGTAACTTATCCATAATGATTGAACTGAAGGAAAATTCATTTCTATTGATGTCAAGTAAAAACTGATGAAAAGATTCTCCAGATGGTTTGCATACAAGTACTTTGCTTTGTGAAATAGATATATTTATGAAAAGTTGTGTTAGTTGATAACATATTTAATGCTGAAGGAGAAATTACTACATAAAACAATTCTTATTGAAGAATTCCTTGTAAATCTTTTGAAATGATGGAATTTATTCTTCATGTGAGTTAAGATTTCATCCTTTGGAAAAGCATAAAATGCAGAACAGTAGTACAAAGGACACACTGTTATTTATAATAAAACTAAAGATTCTTTTTATGCTTCCATACAATGCCTTCCATAAAAGAATTCTTGTAGAGTGCTATCAGAATCACACCTTGCTTTACAAGCAGAATGCAAAGTTTGCAACATGAGGCAAAACAGACAAAAATAAGCCTAATGTCATCAGTTTTCTGTAAAATGACTTCTTTGTTTTTTCCATAAGAATCCTGATCTAAAGTCAAGTTGGGTCTACCCATCTACATATAAATATTTATATCTGAAATCTATATTTTACTCTATACCTACATCTACCTATGTATCTACGTATGTATTTATGTATCTTTCTATCTATCTATTGGCTCATTTATCTATATATCTCTCTATAAAAATCCCTAGAGGTTTTTAAGAGAGTGACTGAGCAATAATGAGAACTCTGCTCAATTTCTTATAGACATATGCAAACACTTATTAAAACCATCAATAATCTACCCTCCAAATACCAGGGGTCCTTTTGTGTATCCTACTCTGGCTTACCCACAGGGTCTACACTATGATGCCCACACTGTGATGTCCATACTGTGATGCTTTGGGCCCTTATTACTTAAGTGAGCTAATATGTATAAAGTTTTAAAAAGAGTACCTAGTACATTTCCTAGGTACTATTAAATAAAACAATAAAGAAAAGAATAACTCACTAAAAAAGATAAAATCCCTATGTCAAAATAGGTTTTGGGAGCAGATAGAAAAAAATCACTGTTGATTCAGCTGAAGGGCACTAGAAAGCAAGATATTAGTAAGTGTACATATACAGGATGGAACATAAATAAAATAAAATAAAATGAAAACCTTTGAAGGCAACTGCAAACCCTCTTACCAGGAAGATTGAGTTCAGAAAGTGATTTGTCAGCATCCATAAAACTGTAGCAGGCTGACTGGTAGCCCAAAGGTAAAGTAAAATCTCAGTCTCTTCACAGTTCTAGGCAGTCATCTCTTTATTTAGTTTATATTCCACAATCTTGATTTTCACTTACTAATATCTTGCTTTCTAGTGCCCTTCAGCTGAATCATCAGTGATTTTTTTCTATCTGCTCCCAAAACCTATTTTGACATAGAGACTTTATCTTTTTTAGTAAGTTGTTCTCTTCTTTATTGTTTTATTTAATAGTACCTAGGAAATGTTTACATAGATAAACATGTGTCATGGTGGTTTGCTGCACCTACCAACCCATCACCTAGGTATTAAGTCTGACATGCATTAGCTATTTATCCTGATGCTCTCCTCCCACCTCTCTACCCTCTCCCGACAGGCCCCAGTGTGTGTTGTTCCCCTATCTGTGTTCATGTGTTCTCATTGTTCAGCTCCTACTTATAATTGAGAGCATGCAGTGTTTGGTTTTCTGTTCTTGTATTAGTTTGCTGAGGATAACAGCTTCCAGCTTCATCCATGTCCCTGCAAAAGACGTGATCTCATTCATTTTTATGGCTGCATAGTATTCCATGGTGTATATGTACCACACTTTCTTTATCCAGTCTATCATTGAAGGGCATTTGGGTTGATTCCATGTCTTTGCTATTGTGAATAGTGCTGCAATGAACATACATGCACATGTATCATTATAATAGAATAATTTATATTCTCGATTCCATTCTGAACCAAATTCTTCAGTTGCCAGCTGAAAAGCCTGTGAGAGATTCAGTTCAGGTGCACTACGGCTGTAGCACAGCAGAACTATGGCTTCTGGTAACATTTGGTAGCCACCCCCCCTCCTATTTTTTCATAGTCCTCTCTCACAACTGGTTGGAGATTAGAGCTAGAGATTCAGCACCTTAGTTTTATGTGAAGGATTTTTAAATTTCCTCTTGCTCTCAGCATCTATTGCTTGCTTCACAATTTCTGGAACAGATAATCTGCTTTGACTCCTGTTTACCATTGGCTTTTGTTCCCTGTCAAGTTGGTAGAGATGTCTATCATGTATTTAAACCCATGCCATTTTTCTTTTTATATTTTATCCATCTCTTTGGAGTAGAAAGGATTAATTACTTGCCAAGTCACTGTACCATCTTGAGCAGTTCACACCCTGAGCTGATTTTAGAGCTGTGATTTTAGGCCACGGTCATCTACTCTTATTCTGTTTTGTAATGCCCATCAACAGTTCCATTTCCTAATTTGAGGTGATGGTCTTGTGATTGTTGGATCAGCTGTAAGTCCTAGTCATAAGACAGTGCATTGAAACAGTCATTTTCTGTTAACATCCAGCTGTAGTGGATTAGGCATGCATGTGCTTTTATAAAAATAATTTAAATAAAAAATACATTCTTACTATACTTCCTCCCACAATTGGAAAGTTTGGTTGTTTTTTATTTTCCATGACTCCAAAATAAAATACCAACCACATATATTAGATTAAATACTAGGTTATCACATGAGAACACTCCTTAGGAAATAATCTAGAAAATGTTTGTCAATCCCACCCTGTGGCAGAAGGGACTAAGTAATTTTTTGATGTGTCTCACAGTCTTGATCTGTTAAATATGAGACAAAGGCAGAATGTTAACTGTATTTACCACACAAAGTAGATGTTATTTTCTCTGTTCACTTATTACTTTTCAAGGAGATGTTTACCAATGAAAGTTCAGCACCTGGTACAGTACACAGCTCAATAATGAATTCTTGCCTCAGTGAATCACAAGTTCAGTTTAAGACAATTATGGAAAAGGTTGAGAACTACATCAATTACACTTAGTGCACCTGTGGCATTAGTACATATGTTTATTCTAGAAACTATTATTTCATCTAGTTTCCAAACGTTCATTTTGGTGAATTTCATTTTCTTAAATAAACAATATTTAATACAGCTTTAATAGTATGTTGATGACCTACACTTGGTTGTATGATTATAATGACATGTTTAACTACACATGGCATGTTCATATTTTCTATTTTTAAAATAGACATCAATCATTTACCACAGCCTCAACGAGACATTCTTAGGAACAATGTTGTCAAGGAAACATACTGAAACTGTTACATAAAAGAATGTCTCTGTGAGGAAAATCTTTCAAAATAGTATTTCTATTTTTTCCCAAATTATGTAAAATTATAATTTACAAGCAATTCAATTTAAGTAAATAATTTATAAGCAGTTTATGTAATGGTGCAGCTGTGGGAATCTGTCAGGTAAAGATATTTTTTAATTTGAAGGTTAAGTGATTAGATGCCACTAACATAATACAAAGACCTAATCGGGAGGAGATTTTTAAAAGTGGTATGATGCTTGATTCCCATGTTAATTTAAGCATATAAAATTTCAGAGACATCTTTAAGATACAAATGACATAGTTCTTAATAGAATTAATAGATTAAAAAATGTTCCTCTATTTCCATGTTGATAGAGTGAGGGAGAGAAAAAAAAGAATGATTACCTTTGAAGGCATAAATGTCAAAGTCCATGGGAACTTACTAGGAAGTATCATTAAACAGCAAGTATATGTTATTTGTGTGTTCAGGCAACTATGTTAGAAAATAGTAGCTGGAGACTAGGCTGGTCTCAGACTTCAATCATTAGCACTTGCTTGTTATCTATTTTACATTTATCATTTAGCATTGAAGGATATAAGCTTGAATGAAAAATTTGTAGGAAGATTTCCTGGAATATATATCACATATGTTTTGTTAAAAAGTATAGATTGTCCTACATGACATCATAGAATATTTGAATTTGAAAGAACTAAAGAGATTTTTCGAGAGATGAGAAAATGTGCAAAGAAAGGCTATGAAAACTACCTAAAGTTACTTAGGAACAAAGCCAGAAATAGAACCTGGTTTCCTGATTCCTAGTTCAGTGCTATTTCCATGATATTGTTAACTTAAAGAACTCGGGGTACCACTCTTTTCCTGTGATTCTTTCCCAATCGTTAACACTACTGATTTTCAACTGAAATGTCAACTACATATAGCATTTTGTATGCTATTTAAATTATTCCTTGTGGGATAGAGGAAAGAATATAAAAAGTAAAAAAAATGTTTCCTTAAACATATAGGAATTCTCAATGGCCTTGATGATATATTAAGAGATAAAAGGCTATCCAGTAAGTGTCAAGGAACTGTAATCATTTAAATACATTTTCATAATCAAAATCTAAAAAAAGAATAAGCTTTTGCTGGAGTCAAAGTAAAAAAAGATGTAAGCAGGAAGTTAAAGATTATGCTTTCTCCTTTCATTTATTTTTCATTCATTCTTCTACATTCATACTATAAAATATTACACAGACAAACTCTGTCTAAGATGATATTCTTACCTGGCTTGTCTCTGAGAGCACCAACATCTTGACTGACATTGTCAAGTAGACTCATCCGGTAGATATCTACAACTGACAGAATGGCATTTATACTGCCGTTTTCAAGGCAGCAAAATGATCATTGAGTGCTAATTATCAGTGATCAATTTTGGTTAATAATCCTATCCATTTGAAAAAGCATGTACTCGTTTTTCCTCCGGCTGTTTTATTATGTGTTAATTAAAAATTTTAAAAATCAAATAAATGTTCTCTTTGCTTTTGGTTTTCAGAGATTTACTAGTATATGTCTACATGCAATTTTCTTTGCAATTATCCCTCTTATTCTGTTCATAGCACTTTTTGAATCTGTGACTTAATATATTTTATCAGTTTTGGACACTTCTCAGCCAGTAGCTCTTCAAATACTGTTTCTGCTTCATTTTTTCTTTCTCCTTCTGGGTCTTCAAATACATGTATGTAATACCTTTAAACCATATGCCATTTGTTATTTCTACACTTGTTTCTGTATCTTCCATCCTTTTTTTTCCAGACTGTAGCTTGAATATTCTGTTTTAGATATTTCTTTTTTCTATGTCACTCATTCTGTCTATAGGCATATTTAGTACTATTGATACCAGCATACTGTTTCTAGAATTCCCATTTGGTTTATTTTTGTAATAATTTTGGTTAATTGCTCAATTCTATTTACTCAGTTCTATTAGGCATATTTATTTTAATGCTCTTGTTTCTGAATCCCTGGTGTGACTGTTTTTTATTACTTGTTTCTCTTGGGAGTTTAGATGAACTATCTTGTCTCCTATGTGGCCTAACTATTTTTGATCAAGTGCTAGATATCACTCATCGAAAATTATGGATATAATTTCAGGATCATGATACTGTTATCTTCTATAAGAGAAAATTTTTATTTGTTTCTGGCACAGTTAGGGACACTAACAATTTCAGGCCAAAATTTTCAGTCCATATGAAAATAGTTTTATTTCTAATTCCTACTTGTCCCCAGGATGTCAGTCTTTGTAATCTCAGCCCTGTCTTAGTGGTTGACCCAAGCACCTTCCCTATCTCTGCCCTTGATTCATCCTTGATTTATCTTTTATTTTCAATCTTGTCCTCTTAGCCTCCTGAGTGTAATGAAGGCTTTCTTCAGCTTCTTTTTGGGCTTTTCTAGTGAAACGGGCAAAGCAGCTCTCAAATTCCAGGTTATAAATCTGTTTTTTTTTTTCTTTTCTTAGATCTTATCACAATAAATCTTCACTGCCTTAGTAGTTCTTCAGTGCCATTACACAGATTTTGTTTTATTTTGTCCAAACTTTCTATTTTCTTTCAGCAGGAAGATAGTTCCAAAATATCTAGTTTTCTATTACTGGAAGCGAACATCTCAAATTTTATCTTTGAAATTTGTCTCATTTTTATATACTTGTGAAGTTTTAATTTTTCTACCAACAAGATTTTTTTGCGAGGGAGGGAGCTGCTGTGCATTTCTTTTTCTTTTTACTAGTGATACAAGGCTATAACATAGCTAAGAAAAAATTTAACTTAGTATTTTTACTATGCTCCTTTTAAGGTTTGCAGGTACAAATACAGTAGAATTGATTGGGAGTGGAGGAAATGTAGCATGCTATATCTTCTTAGTCACTCATTTAATACCAACGTTGTTTCCGCTGATAACATATGTTTATTCCAGAAGTTCAAGAGATATTATTTTTATTTCCTGATTGAATGTTTGTATTGTGGAATATAATTAGCAAGTATAGAGTTTTCTTTTATTGATGTACTATTGAACATTCTATAATGTTAAGGAAAAAGTTATTAAGAATCAATTTTTATGTAATTAAAACATCTCATTTCCAGTTTTCAGAACATTACAAATGAAAGCAAAAGTTGTCTGCTATTGTAAATAATTTTTTTTGCATACGAACATTATGTATACGTATATATATATCTTTTACTGTACTCTAGGTACACAGAATTGAATTGCTCAGAATATATGATGCATTGTCCACTTTTATTATTGATATATCATGGTCCTCTTTTATTTGTTTCATTATTTACTTATTTTTAATGAATTAACCTCCATAAAACCACCACGTGATCAGAAAACTAGACCCGAAAACATTAACAAAAACTTCCATCTGCCTATTTGTTTTCTCCATTCCGTTTTTCTTTCTTCTTTCTGTCCTGATGTAACCACTTTCTGGGACTTGTGCTCAGTGCCTAAACAATATATTGCTTAATTTTAGTTGTTTTAAAATTTTTGTTTAGAGTCTTGACCTTTTGAAAGTATCAAAATCTTCCTAAGTGTTTATTGCTAAGCTAGCCGAATAGAAGGCTAATGCTCTAGGCATCTCAGTTCTATTGCTGATTCCTGTCCAAGAAAAAGAGAACTTTTACTTCTTGTTAAGGCTCACATCAAAATAGAGCTTAAGCATACATGCTTAATAAGCATTCGTGAGTGGGATAATTGTGCTGCTTTTATTGTATTTTTTTAAGCCAGGTTTATAGATGGTTTGTAAAGACAGCTAAGTCCATGTGGGCTACAAAAAACTAGTATGAATTTTATGCCTGGCATACAAATGCAGTGCTTCATCGGTTGCCCCAAATTCCATTCCTATTTATGTTATTCTCAACTACATTCAGCAACAAGGGAGGGAACTGCGGGGGAGCTAACTGCTTAGAATCTCATGAATTGTGCACTCTTCCATCCAACTTCATGGACTCACATGGGTTCTGAAAATAATAATTATGTTAACTCTGACAGTGGTTTTTTTATTTCAGAGACTCAGATTCTGGTTTTACCCATAGAAGTTGGAAGAACAAATAAAAAAGAATAGATGCTCTTAGTACATAGTGGATAGTGCAAAACGTCAACAAAATTATTGTGAATCCAAAGCTTAAAATGGCAATTAAAATAGATTGTGCCTCCTACACTCTGTTTCTGGAATAGTTTTATTTGGAATTTAAGAGGAATGTCTTGATTTAAAAATATGCTTTGGTTTTATTATTAGAATAAGAATTTTGGGAAGAATGAAAGAAAAATAAAGTAACAGACAAATTCCAATGGAGTAAGAAAGACTTTTTCTTAGGAGAAATGTTAAAATCTTAGAGGTTTGACTAGCTAGATATGACAAATTAAAGAAAATAAGCCCCAGTTTATCTACTTTTTAAAGTGGGACTGTAAAAGAGGGGATTGTTTTAGTTCTTCTAAAATTAGGGAGGGTAAATGGAGCATAGAAAAACATGGTTATAGCATAGTAGCAGGGTCAAAGAGAGTGTAGTGTAATTGTTATGTTGAGCAATCCCAGATCTAACAAGTTTTTTTTTTTTTTTTAAAAAGAACTTTTGAGTAACCTTTATTCTAAACCTAATAATGAGAAGTTTTAGGGACAGACTGACAATGTCAGGCTTTGTTTTGTTCTGTTTTCTCTTTCTATTATGTGGATCTAGAAGAAAAATAAAAGCCATTGATATAACTGACTCTACTTGAGGCTAATCCACTTTTCAATTTCATTGTAAAAGAGAAAGATTTTTAGAAACTTTACTTAGTCTATAAATATACTTGTCTATAGACACCATTATTATAGACACAGTTATAGACAGATGTTTCATATTTTGGTAGAATTTGTTTTTTTAGAGTCACCTATGAAATTGTGGGCTTAACAGACTCTTGAAAATGTTCCTCTTAAAGTTGTAGATAAGGAGTCTTTAATGAGAACTAACCACACGGCTATAGAATATCTGGACAGATGTGAAAGAGAATGATTGAAATAGCAACCTACATTAAAAGAAGTACTGATGCAAGGTGATACACCTGTTGTAAGTGGGTGGGAAGATATTGTCTCTCTCTCAAGGAGAAGAAATATAAAATAAGGGCTTTAAGGGAAGTGATAGGAGCTACTATATATTGAAAAAGAAAGAAAATAATACATCTAATTCAGCCTGTCTCTGACGAGACAGTGATTGAGATGATTCAACCCAGGAGGTGAAGGTTGAAAATATTTTTTTAAACAGTGGATGTTTTGGGCAGCACCAGAACTCACTCACTATAATGATCTCAAGATAGGGTACCCTACCAGACAAAACCTGGAGAAAATTATGTCATTGAAAACAGACAACTGAGCTTAAAAACAACGAGAAAGAGAAAGAGAAGCAGCTACTCAGGTCTTACGGATAGTTATTCCTAAGGTAGAGAAGGAAAGTAATCCATTTAAGAAGCAAGGTAAACTATTGTGAACCTACTTTGAATAAGAGAATAGCAGACAGAAATAAAGCATTAGAGACCTTTCCTGTTGCAGAAAACTATTAAGCAAAAAGAGATGTTGCTCAAAGCCTAGAACATTAGAAAGCTGAGGAAAAGAAGGGCCTGCAGAGGGTGATTCTCCAGCAGAGACCAAGACTGGGGAGAGGGGAATCTTCCCTAGCAGGCAAGTCTCATGCTCTAAGACATTCCAGAGCAAGCAGCAATAGTCCCTGTGAAACAGGCCTGCATCCTGGACAGATCTCACCCTCAACTGCTATCCTGGAATGGGGGCAGAAAATTAGGCTCAAAGGGAAAATGAAATTAACAAGTTTTAAGTATGCTGCATAGGAAAGAAAGAAACTTCAATAAGACCCGCTGACTTGGGGCCATGACTACTGCAAATTTCAAAACTTTGTCAGGAGTTTTTCCCACTCTCTGATTGAAGAGAGAGAATGCAAAAATGAACTCCTTTCCCCTTGATATTTGTTAAGCATAATTAATCTTATGGCTGACTTCACAATTCACTGATTTTGGACCCTGAACAAGTGACACTGACCAACTGGGAGTCTAGAGTAGCAGAAATTGTTTCTCTGAATTGACTCTCCTTTCATTAGATAACATTGAGCCTTTTATGGTCTTTGGGGGCAGTACATATTGGTTCCTAGTTTCTGGAGATCCTTTTCTAAAAAAATTGGAGATATTCACTTTGGAGCTGCAATTAAGTTGTTTTAAAACTAGGATTCTAATAATTTTCTGTGTTGTGTTAACTCTTTGGACTTTCTTAGTAGAGGAGCCCATGGGGAAAAGAATTTAATTTCTGATGTCTTGTACTATATATATATATATATATATATATATATATATATATATATATATATATATTTCTGAATTTAAAGCCAGGTGTCTTAACATAGAGGCTTTAATTTCTTCCTGAGAGCTTCATAAGGGAGTATATTTATATTCCCATTTGGTAATTTTTATGTTGTTGATGCTATTATTGGAGAATAATTATGCCTCTATTTGACTTCATCGTGTAACCTCTGGTGAATTATGATGGAGAGTGAGGCTGGGCACAAATTAGAATGAGAAACAGAATAGGGAGTAAAAATAGAACTTCGTATGAGGGTAGAAGTAGAACTTTGGAATAAGTTTACTTAACGTATGATTCTTTGGACACAGTGGAGCATTGGTTGGTATTTGCAGAGAAGCCTTCATAAACAGGGTTGTTCTGAAGCTCATCTCTGTCCCTGGGGATGAACTGAACCCATCATTAGCCATTTGCTTAGCTGTTAAACCAAATATGTGAAGAGAATGGAAACCAGAGGAATATGTGTACATGTGTGGGAATCTTATTTACTACTCCTCATATTTCCACAAGTAGAAAATAATATATATTCAATCTCCAAGAAGGAAAATGGGCTAAAATCCTTCTAGACTTCTCTCTACTGACTTTACTCCTAGATAAAATTCAAATGATGACTTTTGGGATTGATACATTGGGGAAAAGGTACTGAGCATGAATGGTTTTGATCTTTCTGGGTTTCCCTTTCTTTGGAGTCAACTTGACTGAAGCACACACTAGAGGGAAGCTTACCAGGGCAGATTCTGTCTCTGCAGCAGAGCAGTCAGCAGTCTTGGACGGGGTTAAATTCAGATCAAAGTGAAATGTATTAGGAGACCCATTTGGCCACTGATCCAAGCCATATTCTTCAGTTTAATGTTATCACTAATACAGTTGAATTTTTATGTTCATTTCCCTGACTTCCTATTCTGTATTTTTACTCTGGGAGGCTATAGGCACAAGAGTGATTATCACTCCTAAAACCCCAGGAGATTTAGAGAAGTACCAACTAATGAAGGAGGCACAGTGAGTGCAGGAGCAGTCAGTGAGCTGGGAGAGCCCGTCACGGGGCACCATGTATTCAAACTTAAGAGGAAGATTTGGGTCATCAAAAGCGGAATAAAAACGATGACTTGTGACTATGACCACTTTTTATTTTTTTATTTATTTTTATTTTTTGAGACGGAGTCTCACTTTGTTGCCCAGACTGGAGTGCAGTGGCGCGATCTTGGCTGACTGCAAGCTCCGCCTCCCAGGTTCACACCATTCTCCTGCCTCAGCCTCCCGGGTAGCTGGGACTACAGGTGCCCGCCACCACGCCCGGCTAATTTTTTTGTATTTTCAGTAGAGACGGGGTTTCACCATGTTAGCCAGGATGGTCTCGATCTCCTGACCTCATGATCTGCCTGCCTCGGCCTCCGAAAGTGCTGGGATTACAGGCATGAGCCACCACACCCGGTCAACTATGACCACTTTTTTTTCTGAAGCAATGGTTAAGATTTCACATGTCTACAAGGTGAAATGAAAAGTAACAAAGGGCTGGACTTATGTGTTTTTTGTGTGAGCAGAGGTGATGACTGGCGGGCAGATGTCTCCTCCAGAGTAGAAGTTCTTGTGTGTGTTAGCAGCCTGTAGCTATGGGGGAATTGTTGGGTCTTCTTATTTTAAAGAAAATGCCGATATAAGTATTTTTATAAGAAATTCCCTAAGTTTTAAATGTTGGCTTAAATTTATAGGAAAAAATTCTTGGCCAATTAAAACAGGTCTATAGACTTGAAGTGGTTTCGGGACTGTTGTAATAGAAATGATATTTCTTTCAGCATGTTGGGGACCTGCTCCCTAATGCACTTAGATTTGAGTTTCTTTCTTACGAGTTTATTTTATTCCAATTGGCTAAGGCAGTTCAGTTTCCTGTCTGTTTGCTGTATTTAAACTTCTGCTCTACCTTTTTTATTACCACTGATTTAAGAATTTATCATATACTGCCCTAGACCAAATGTAAAGTTTATGAGTCCAGTGTTCATGGGACTTGACTGGATCCAAGAAAGCACATATAGGGAAATGTGCCATCTCAACGTTTTGTCAATTATGCCAGTGTACTTGTGCCAGGGAAAGTGATTTCTCTCTCCTAAAGACATATGAGCCGGAAAGAAGTTCTTTGATTTCTTGTTTTATGTGACGTTCTGTCTGCAATTAGCAGACTTCCAGATGTTCATGCATTTTATATTCAACTTACACAGTCATTTATGTTTCCCACCAGAAAGCAGAGTGGTTTATGTTCCAGAAACTCAATCGAAAAACATTTCTAGTAACTTGAACTTGAAATGACTAAATATTTCATGGTGTAACTTCTAATTATAAATGTTCTGTGAGATTAGAGGACTCTTATTTTTATCTGGCTAAGTTTGAATTTTATCTACATCCATTGAACAAACATTTGAAAATATTTCCTTCAGTTTGGAGCTGTTTACATCTTTCATTTTTTTCATTGATCGGATCTCTTCTGATAAACCACTAAGACTTTGTAACTTTTAATCTTATTTTAAAAAATCATAGTTGTTCTGTGTTATAATTGTATATTCTATTTTTCGTTAGGCTGTGAAGGCCTAGAGAGGCCCTTGCAACACTTCATACAGGACTTTCTTATACTAGGTGCTCAAGAAATTTACTTCATTTGTACTAATTCACTTTCCCTAAGAATTCGGAGAAAAGGTATTTGTAGATCAGTGATTTAACTAAGGGTGGAGCCTTCATCAAGTTGGTCCCCTTTGCCAACCCATGTGGGATATGTGGTATGAACAAGAAATGGACTTTGTTAAGCATTATTTCAGGTCTGTTACTACAACATAAGCTAGTCTATTCTGACTAGTAGACTGAAGAAGAAAGGTTAACAGACACTGGCCAGGCAGCTACCTGGATCTGCCACATTCTTCCACAGAGCCTGTTTCCACTGAATCCTGCAAAACAGTGGTGGTCTTCACTTCCCTTCTAACTTAATTTTATAGTGGGCAAATTTTAAATAGATACAAAACCAGAGAAAGTGATATAATAACCCAGTATACCCATCAACATATGACCAATCTTGTCCATTTGTACTCCTCCCATCTTCTCTCCACTCTGATTATATCAATCAAATCCTAGGCATCACATAATTTTACGTGTAAATATTTATGTATATGTCTCTAAAATAAAGAACATTTATAATTTAATCATAATATTATTTTCACAGCTAAAAATTAACAATGTCCATAATATCATCAAATAGTGTTCACATTTCACCAATTGTCTTATAGAGGATTTTTTTTTACAGTTTATTTGTTCCAATTGAGATCCAAATAAAGTTTGTAATTGTGATTGTCTAACACATCTTTGAATTCTCTGTTAGTCTAAAGATTAGTTTAGTTATTTCCCTAGTTCTAAAAATCCTGTCATTTTTTTCCTGCAGAGTTTTCTGCAGTCTAGATGTTGCTGTGTGTTCCCATGGCGTCTGTTAAACAGATTCCTCCATTTGTTTTATTTTCTGATTGGATCTAGATCCAACTGGTCTTTAGATCTAGACAATTGATCAGATTGCATTTTTTTCATAGAGTGGTATCATGTCCTTTCATCAGGAGACACATGCCTGCTTGTCTCTACCACTCTTCCTCTTGTCCTCTTTTTTAGTGCCTTGAACACCTTAGAGATATCTTCTGTTTCTGTTAATGGTGATGCATGAAGCTTTCAATAGGACCCTTATTGTACTGGCAGGGCCATCTTCTCATTTTCAGCAAAATTGAGTGTTCTCTCACTTTTTGTTTAAAATCAACTTTCTTGGGGTATAATTTACATAAATAAAAAACATCCATTTTAATTAAATAGTTTCATAAGTTTTGACAAATGTACATATTAATGTACCACCCACCCCCCCATTAAGGTATAGGACAATTCTGTTATCCCCAAATCCTTTGTCTCCTTCCTGAACAATTCCCTCTCCCTGTCTCCAAGCAACCAGTGATAAACTTTTTATCACAATAGATTAGAATTTCATATAGACAATCCAAAGTTTCATGAAAATGAAATTACACAGCATGTACTCTGGTGACTGACGTTTTGCTCAGAAAAATATATGTAAGTTTCATCCATATTGTTGTGTGTATAAGCAACTTGTTCCTTTTTATATCTGAATACAACTCTATTGTATGGATATGCCAATATTTGTGTATTCATTCACAAGTCAATTGACATTTAGATTGTTTTTGGGTTTTGGCTAAGATAAAGTTGCTATGAAAATTTCTGTAAAAGTCTTTGAATATTTGTATGTTTTCATCCTCTAGGGTAAAACCTAGAAGTGAAATGACTGGGTTACAGGATAGGCATATATATAGGTTTGTAAGAAAATGCCAATTTTCCAAAGTTACAATTGGAAATGTTATATATTCATCAGAATGTATGATAGTTTTATTACTTTACACTCTTGTCAACATTTGGTATTGTCAGCCTTTTTAATTTAGCCAATCAAATGGGTGTGTAGTGGTATCTTTTTTTTAATATTTATTTCTCTGATTACTAATGATATTGATCATTTTTTCGAGTGCGTATCTGTCAACTTTTTATTTTCTCTCTTATCTATCTATCTATCATCTATCTCTATCATGTGTCTAATCTATCTATCATCTATCCTATTTATCTATCTATCATCTATCTATCATCATCATCTATTTATTTGTATTGAGAAATAGAGACAGTCTGACCCATTTGTGTTTTTCCTTGATGTCCCAGATGATTCCCAAATGCTCTGCCCTCTGGAGGATTGGAATTTGAGTGTTTCTCTTTTGTTTGAGCTCTGGGAATTGTTCATCTTAAGACTCCTTGATTATTATTTTCCCTGCCTCTTTTACATGCACAGATTAGCACTCAGTTCATTTTTAAAGGAACTTGTGCAGTTTTTTTGATAACTTCCTCTTCCTCCTCCTTTTTCTTTTGTAGCTTCCTTCTCTGTTTCATAACTTCTAGCCGCCTGATTGTTCTGAAGCCCTAATCTCTGTCTTCTCACATTCTATAATTTTTTGTGCTCTGCGTGGAGTTCTCTACCCCAGCTTCATGATCCAGAATATTGGATGACATAGAAGCCAAAATGATTGTGAGGCTCACTCATTTGTTTTTTTTTTTATTCTCAGGATCATATGTTTGCACTATTTGTTGTGCAATGTCTGAAAACAATTGTCTGATATATTTTTTTCAATTTCTTATTTTGGTATGGGGCTAAATACGTTTGCTGTTACTCCAAATGGTCAATGGCAAAAATCCTATGACTTCTTTTTTATGTATTCTCGAACCCCTTACACTCAGCTGAACCCTCAAAGGTTGGCTTATCAAAATTCACTGACTTTAAATTTGTTGAATCCTTTAAATTTGTTCAATTTCCCTCTGCCTACAGTGGGTGTTCCTAATCTTTACTGTTCTCCCTATGCTCCATCTAATCTTTTCTAGATTTGTTTTTGCAGATTTCTAGAGTTTTTCTTCTCTGTAGAAATAGAAAGGATCAATCATAACCTCCCTCAATTTCACTCCAGCATCCCTCCAATGTCTGGTGAGGTATCCTGCTCCTTGCTTTAAAGTGCAGTGCCCAATCAATATTAATAAATTTCACTTTCATATAATTATATTTTCTTTACTCTTTCATTCTCCAAATTGACCTGTACATCAACATTTCTCTCCATCTATTGTTTTATCTTTATCTTGCCGCTTAAAATTAATGCATGATCTTCATTCTTAGATTTCTCTCTTGCTATGAGTTGTCAGTTTTCTTCTTTGAGTTAGCACATTTATGAAAAACCCTCAGTGTAACAGTTATTAAGGCTTGATCCAGTTGCCAAGTCTCTTTTCTTATACATTTTTATCACTTAATTTCTTTGAGTACTCCTACAAAAGGGGCTTCTCAGCCTCAGCCTTACTGTCATTTTGATCTAGCTTAGTTGAGGGGGAAGTTTTTCTGTGCATGGCAGGATGTTTAGCAGCATCTGTGACCTCCACCAAGATGCCAATAATGTCCATCCCTCCACCCAAGTTGTGACAAAATGTCTCCAGACATTGCCTGGGCAAAATCATCCCCAGTTAAGAACTCCTGACTTAGAACAATTTTCTCTGACCTAGAGATTTCCCTCAACTGTAAAATGAAGATAATGAAACCTATTTGCCAGGGCTATTTTGGGGACTCAACGATGATGTTCAGGAATTTTTAGCATAGCGCCTGTTCAAAAATTGTTTGCTATTATTACAATTATTATTAACTTTTCTGTGAATATACTGACTCCCCACTTGCCTTACTTCCTAAATCTAATGTATTATGTGTATGTCTATAGTGTGTCTTATTTATTTATTTATTTTTCCAAGATGGAGTCTTGCTCTGTTGCCCCGGCTAGAGTGCAGTGGTGCGATCTTGCCTCACTGCAACCTCTGCCTCCTGGGTTCAAGCAGTTCTCCTGCCTCAGCTTCCTGAGTAGTTGGGATTACAGGTGCCCACCACCATGTCTGGCTAATTTTTGTATTTTTAGTACAGATGGAGTTTCACCATATTGGCCAGACTAGTCTTGAACTCCTGACCTTGTGATCTGCCCACCTTGGCTTCCCAAAGTGCTGGGATTACAGGCGTGAGCCACTGTGCCTGGTCTCACTTATTTATTATAATATTAATTATCATTTTTTCTGTTTCCTCTTTTTTATTTTATGTTATTAGAAATTTTTATTTTTAATTTTTGTGGGTACATATTGGTGTATATATTTATGGGGTACATGAGATATTTTGATACAGGCATACAAGGCATAATAATCACATCAGTGTAAATGGGATGTTCATCATTTCAAGCATTTATTCTTTCTTTGTGTTACAAACAGACCAATTTTACTCTTTTAGTTATTTTAAAATGTACAATAATTATTATTGACTGTAGTCACTCTGTTGTGCTATCACATACTAGATTATATTCATTCTAACTACATTTTTGTTCCCATTAACCATCCTTACTCCCCCCCGATCGCCACCATCCTTCCCAGCTTCTGCTAACCATCATTCTACTCTATCTCCATAAGTTCAATTGTTTTAGTTTTTAGCTTCCACAAATAAGTGAGAACATGTGAAGTTTGTCTTTCTGTGCCTGGTTTATTTCACTTAAAATAGTAACATCGATGTTGTTGGAAAAATGAAAGGATCTTATTCTTTTTTATGGCTGAATAGTACTCCATTGTTTATATGTACCACATTTTCTTCATCTATTCATCTGTTGATGGACAATTAGGTTACATCCAAATATTGGCTACTGTGAATGGTGCTGCAGTGAGCCTCGGAGTGCAGCTATCTCTTTGATATACTGATTTCCTTTCTTTTGGGTATACACCTAGCAGTGGGACTGCTAGATCATATAGTAGTCTATTTTTACTTCTTTACTGTTCAGCCATAAAAAAGAATAAGATAAAATACAAAACATAAGACATTTTGAGAAACCTCCAAATTTTTCTCCATGGTGGTTGTACTAATTTACATTCCCACAAACAGCATACAAGGGTTTCCTTTTCTCCACATCCTCTCCAGCATTTGTTATTGCCTGTCTTTTAGATAAAAGCCATTTTTATTGGGGTGCAATGATTTCTCATTGTAGTTTTGATTTGCATTTCTCTGATGATCAGTGATGTTGAGCGTCTTTTGACATGCCTGTTTGCCATTTGTATGTCTTCTTTTGAGTATTCTTTATTCAGCTCTTTTGCCCATTTTAAAAATTGGATTAATTTTTTTCCTATATTGTTGTTCATTATTTCTTTTTTATTCTCATTTATTATGGCATATGCATCAAATTTTGCATTTCTTACACTGATAACTTCTCTTTTCCTAAAAAGGTATGGAAGGTATGATTTCATACCTTCCTTAGACAGTTGTCTTTTCTTCTTCTTTTTAGATTAACTTTTAAAACAGTGAACCTGCATTCATTGTTATAAATTCTATTTATATCCTAGTATCTGGCCTCTATCCCAGTCACCTTACTGAAATTGCTCACACAAAGATCAACCATATCTTTTTGTTTAACATTTTGTAGATAGAAATTAAGTATGCAGATAGTTTAGGCAGTTTTCTCAAGGCTTGTAAAGAAACAAAAAACGAAAACAAAAGTTGCCATCCCTTCACCCTTCATCTGGCTTCACCTATCTTTGCTGCCCAGAAATCAAGCATTCTGTATTCATTTAGATGATTATTCAAGTATTTATCTTCATATTTTTCAGTAACAGGCTGTGATGGCTAATTTTATGTGTCAAATCAACTAGGTCATGGGGTGCCTGAATATTTGGTTAAACATTAATTCTGGGTGGGCTTGTGAAAGTGTTTTGGGAAGAGATTAGCATTTCAGCCCATAGATGTAAAGCAGATTGCCCTCCCCAATGTGGGTGAGCATCATCCAATGCATTGAGGGTTTAAATAGACCAAAATGTGAAAGAAGGGGGAATTATCTCTCTCTCTCTGCCTAATGCTTGAGCTGGCACATTAGGCTTCTTCTGCCCTCAGACTGAGACTTAGAACGCCAGCTGTCTTGGGTCTCCAGCTCACAGACAGCAGGTTGTGGATCTTTTCAGCTTCCATAATCATGAGAGCCAATGCCTTATAAGAAATCTCTCTCTATATAAAATATAAAACATAGATAAACATACACAAAATTATAAACATATGTATATATACATATGTCTTATTGCTTCTGTTTCTGTGGAGAATCCTGACTACTACACATGCTTATACTGTACTGACAAAATTTCTTTTTTTTGGATTTAGATATTATCTATTGACTTCTTACCCTAGAAAATTGATGTTTACTTTTCTTATTCCCCCATGTGCTGGCATGTGAACACACTCCTTCTTTCTATCCATTCTTGTTACTTACATTATTATTTTTAATGTTTGCATTATGACCACCTAAGCTGAACTGACTAGAGTCTTTTATTGGAAGATTCTGAATTATCAATATTTCAATATTTTTACTTTTATATTGGTCTATTTCCTCCTGGGGGAACCCTCTAATTTCCTGGGAAGATATACACTTTGCTGTATTTCCTTTTTTTTTTGGCTGTATTTCCTCTTGGGGCTAAGTGAAGAAAAAAAGAACAAGTGTTTCATCATTCATTGCACAAGAGTTTCACCTTATCCTCTTATTTTCAGTATGATGCACTCATCATCAGCTGGGCCTGTTTGTTCTTGAGTCTACATCCCCTGTTTCACTTCTCCAAAGGAATAAACCATTCAGCTTCTATTGTATGGAGCAGGAGCAGTTGCCTTTCAGTGTGGAATAAGGGGTAGGAATCTGAGAATTGAAGTGATTCTTGTAATCTCCAGCACAAACTACACCACCAGTTTTTAGGAATAGTAGTTCTTTTGATTCCTGAGGTGTTCTGAGATTCTGTGTCATGAATACATTTGCTTCTTGGGTTTTCCTACTTCTAGCTTAGGCTTTGGCTTTACTTGTTTTGCTGATAGTTACTAATCAACTGTCTGCTTTCTAGGTAGGTTCTTAATTTTGTTGCTGTCACTTCCTTTCATGTTACCTTAATCCTAGCATATTTATCCATTTTATCTATCTATTTCTTTCTTTCTTTTTTTTTTTTTTTTTGAGATGGAGTCTTACTCTGTCACCTAGGCTGGAGTGCAGCGGCATGATCTTGGCTCACTGCAACCGCTGCTGCCTGGGTTCAAGCGATTCTCCTGCCTCAGCCTCCTGAGTAGCTGGGATTACAGGTGGCTGCCACTGCGCCTGGCTAATTTTTGTATTTTTAGTAGAGACAGGGTTTCACCATCTTGGTCAGGCTGGTCTTGAACTCCTGACCTCGTGATCCACGCACCTTGGCCTCCCAAAGTCCTGGGATTACAGGTGTGAGCCACTGCACCCTGCCTTATCTATCTATTTCTTAGTTTTCCCCCTAATCTTATTTTAGTGAAGGTTTGAAGAAGAGCAGTTGCAAACCAAAATGTTCAATCCACCACATTTAACCTGAAGTCCACAGTGATGGCCCCTTTTAATCTTCATTCCTCTTGACGTATTTATAGAATTGATTAGTATTAGCCCTTTTTTGGTAAACTTTCTATTCTCCTGGCTTCTTTGATATTACTTTTATGCAGCAACAAATATTTCTTAGAAAACTACTGTGTGCTAGGCATTCTATTATATGATGGGACGCAAAGATGAATAAAACATAGCCTTTGCAATGTGTGTGACTGATGTGAAAAGAGGTGTTATTGTGTTCAAAGTGTTATAACAGGATGAAAGTGATTTAATCAAGTTTGAGGAGTTGGAGATAAGTACAAATTCATCAGTTGAAATTATTGAGGAAAATAATCAATAATAACACAAATAACAATGGTTACAAGTATTTAAACTTATCATATGCCAGGAATTGGAGGGATCCAAAGCCTGGGTTTTAAACGACTGAACTATCCTGCCCTGTGTAGAGGGATAGTTTATTTAAAACAGTGACTCATGAAGGTGGTTGGCTGTCAGGACGGTGGTGAGCAGACAGTGGAGCCTCCATATTCATTGTTCCATTATCTATTGAGAAGGTAGTGTTTGTTAGGCATTGTTCTAGGTGCTAGGAAAACAACACTTTAATTTCACAGTCACTGGCCTCAAGTGGTTTAATCTGGGAAGGAGTATTGTAAGATTACCTGAAGAAGAAAGTGCTGCAGATGATGTGGACATGAACTAGAGCAGGTAAGGACTAGTGATAGAGGGATCAGGTAGGAGGGTCAATATAAATTTCTGTGGGAGATGCTGAAGGGTTAAATTGAGGCAATAAAAATGAATATGAAGAGAAGACATTAGATTCCAGAGACTCTTCTGAGATGTAAGTACAATAATTGATGGGGACTAAAATAAGTCAAGAAAAACTGAAATTTCCAGTGGGAGAATAGATTGATAGTGATACCATTTACAGCGGCAGAGAGGCAATTTCTGAGCAGCTATTAGAGAATATGTTATGTTTGGAATGCTCATGGATAACAAGGTATACTTGGGAACAGAAATCTGTAGCTCGAGAGGAGACCATCCAGAGAGAAGAAAAAGATCTGGGACTAAGCAGATAAGATGCAGAATTACTTAGAGACTGATGTAGGATTAGTCTAGCATGACAAATGAAAAGAAGACTTAGAATAAAGGAGTAGAGAATTAGGAGAATTAGGAATGTGAGGTACCCAGTGAGCTAAGAGAGAAAAGAATTTAGATAGAGTGGTTACTTTGTCACTTGGTTGAGGGCTGAAGATAACATTTTGATTTTTTTTTTTTTTTTTTTTTTTTTGGAGACGGAGTCTCTCTGTGTCACCCAGGCTGGAGTGCAGTGGCGCTGTCTCAGCTCACTGCCAGCTCCACCTCCTGAGTTCACGCCATTCTCCTGCCTCAGCCTCCCGAGTAGCTGGGACTATAGGCATCTGCCACCATGCCCGGCTAATTTTTTGTATTTTTTATTAGAGACGGGGTTTCACCGTGTTAGCCAGGATGGTCTCGATCTCCTAACCTCGTGATCTGCCTGCCTCGGCCTCCCAAAGTGCTGGGACTACAGGTGTGAGCCACCACACCCAGCCAACATTTTGATTTTTTGGTTAGGAGTCTTTGATGGTCTCAGCAACAGTAGTTTTAGAAATGGGTTTTGCCAGTGTTCAATCTGTAATATTAATTGTATATTCCACTAGTCTTCAAATGTTCTCTAAAACAATTATATGACAATATCTTCACATTCTTGCAACATCTTGGCAGTATAATTGATCTGTGTTAGGGACTTGAACTATATACTCTTTTAATGAAGACAACAAGTGATCATGTTTGTACACAGTTTTCAATTTCACAGCACTGAGTTTCTGGAAGATATAAGTTATGTATATCATGTAGTCACAATGAACTGGGTAAATAAACAAGGCAAAGTGGTAACAATGCAAGCTCTTTATGATACCTTCCAGAAAAGCAAGCACTGACAGTAGGACAGCAAGGTATTTAGACTGGAAAGTTTATTTGCATTAGGTGTGAGCTCTAAAGGAATGGTGGGCAGGTACCATGCCCAAGAAGAACTCAAGCTCAAAGCAATTTACTTTGATCAATAACTCATATCTTCATTTATCTGATCTCAGATCTCAGTCATCCTCTGCACAAACCACTCCCCGTTCATCCGTCCTTCTTGTAGTGATAAGAATGTCAGCACTATATAGTTTTCTTATTATCAGGACTTAGTCTTCAATTATGATTGAGGCATTTTTGTTGATTAATTTATGCTATTCTTATTTGTTTTTATTTTTGTTAGCATAACACACCATATATTTCCAAATATATATTCAAAGTCCCTTTTCCAATGAAAGACATATCCTTCTGAGTTGGTCTAATAACCTCTTCTACTAAATTTAATAGATCTTCTTTTGGTCATTAATGATTCATACTCAACACTTCTTGCATTCACATACTGAATCGCACATCCTGGCCTTTGAGCTTCAATTACTTCAGTGTCTTGTTTGTTCTTCCATTTGCAGTTTTGAAGACTGATTCTTTGATAGAGAGGACAAAAGAAAAATAGGACTTGAGAAGTTCTGTGATTTTTATTGCCATCTGTTAACATTATGCCATCTGCTTTAAATACTGATTTAACCCTCTTTTTCTGTGCTTTTAAAATGAATCTGTTTCTTTTTCTCCCTTGTGTTGTTTGTGATTGTGTTGTCAGAATCTTCCTCCTGCCAGCCTCCCTCCCTCCCTCTCTTCCTCTCTCTTTCTTTTTCTCCTTCCCTCACTCCTTTCCTCCTTTCATTCCTTCCTCCTTCCCTTCCTGAGAAGCTCATTTTCTTGGACTACTGTCTAGTATCTTAGACCAAGTGATTATACCTATTTTTCATATAAAATGCTTGAAGGTATTTATTTAAAGTCTAGGATACCTGATTGTTATGCTCAGGGTTCTTTTCCTAAACTCCATGTATGCATGCATATGTGTGTGCTTGCTGGTATGGTGAGGTGGGACGGAGAAGGACTGGGCTGGCAGGAAGGCAGAAACCTGATCATCTCTGATTTGTGTTCTAAGTTACATAGCCTTGACTCATGACACCACCATCAGCCTAATGTCTCCAAACAAGAAATTCTCATGCCATCCTAGGCTCTTCCTATTTCTTATTTCTTGCATTCAATTAGTTCCATGTGCCTATTGATTCTACCCAGGGATAGCGTTTCAAATAGACTGCTACCTTTTACTTCACTGCCACCTCACTCCCTTAGTTTTAGGCTCTTCTAACCTGATCAGTTTCACAGCTTCAGGCTGTACAGTCCCCATTTCTCCATCTTCCTTCTCATGCTCTCTAGTCACCTGCCTCATCCCATATTCTCATTAACCTCATGATGACTCGTCATCACTGTTGGAAACTTCGACATCCACCTAGAGGATCTAGCCAGCACAAGGTCTCTCATTTCATTAAACTCCTAAATTTTAATTTTTGTTTTCTGCATCTTCTTAAACCAACCACTGCCATAATAATCACCAATAACTATCCTGCCTCTATATTTTTGATTTCAAACATTTCATTCTCTTATTATCCCTTCTTAGCTTTTCATCTTTCTTGGTCTAATATTCTCATTTGAATAATTCCCCAAACTTTATGAAGACTTCCATCTATTGACCTTACCTTTTCTTCACTAGACTTAATTTTTCAACTTTTATTTTTATTTCTGTATTATTATGTTCAGAGATAATTTTTCTAGTTTTATAATTGGAGACAGTAGACAATTTATTTCTTTAGAGTGTGTCTTTACCTACAATCTCAGACTCCCAGATTGCAAAGTTTGGGCAAGTTTTAATATTGCTGTTCCTTTTTGTGAGTCCTGGTGGAGCTGAAAAAAAAATGATTTTAAGTCAAGAAAAGAATCTAAATATTACAATTCACTACACCAGCAGGCAAGACTTGGGCCATACTGACTGAAAGAGGCTGAATGGTTATTCTAAAAACGTTTAGGAAGCAGGTGCAATAACAGCAACATGGACCGAGTGTATATGTTTTAGCCTTAAGCTAGATGGTCATTCATACAGACCTCCCTTTCATGAGGTCAGCTGATTTCTGTGTCTTCCTGTTTCAGACAAGTAAGGGTTGTGACTCCCTTGGCAAAATTAATCCACCAAACCTTTTTCAGATATAGTTAAATTTCAGTTATATGCTTAAACTTCAAATGTATTAGTGGCTTCTAACTTCAAACAACTTTAGTACTATAGATGTTTATCTGCTAGCTTTATTAACCAAAGTCTACAAGCTTTAACTACATTAATAGATAATCTGGTGATCAAAGAAAGTTTCCCTGCATTATAGTATTTGCTTGAGGGGCCACTTACCAAGATGGGTCATCATCTTACTTGACTTGCAAGCATCATTTGACAGAAGTGACCCCTCTCTCCTTCTCAGAACACTTGCTTTTTTGTGCTTCTGTAATATTACACTCACTGCATTCCTTGATACCTCACCAGTCACTTCTTTTAGTCATATTTTCTAACTTACCCTTCTCCACCATATACTGAAGCACCCCTTGACTGTCTTTGTCTTTTTTTCTGCTACCTAATGGGTTCACTAAATGATAACTTCCATAGCCATGACTTTAAATATTATCTATAGGTTGAGGTTCATCCAATTTATATGGTCAATCTTTACCTCTCCCCTGAATCCTAGACTTTTACATCTACTGCCTTATTGGCATCTCTGTTTCAATTTCTGATAGACAATTCAAACCCAGCATGGCCAACTTAGAATGTAGATCTACCTCCCACCCTATTTTTTCCCTTCAAATTTCCCTCATCGCAGAATAGCAGTACTGTTCACCCAGTAGTCTAGGCCAAAATTTTAGGAAACATCCTTGATTTATCTTCTTTCCTCATATCCCCAAACTCGTTCATAAATAAGTCTTGTTGGTTTGAATTATGGAAAACAGCATGGAGATTCCTTAAAGAATGAAAAGTAGAACTACTATTTGATCCAGCAATCTCACTACTGGGTATCTATCCAGGGGAAAAGAAGTCATTATATGAAAATGATACTTGCCCACACATGTTTATAGCAGCACAGTTTTTGCAAAATCATGGAACCAACCCAAATGCCCATCAATCAACGAGTGGGTAAAGAAACTGTGATATATATATATAATCTCCACACACAATGGAATACCACTCAGCCATAAAAAGGAATAAATTAATGGCATTCAAAGCAACCTGGATGGGATTGGAGACTATTATTCTAAGTGAAGTAATTATATGTTCTCACTCATAAGTGGGAGCTAAGCTATGAGGATGCAAAGGCAGAAGAATAATACAATAGACTTTGGGGCCTGTCGGGGGAAAGGGTGGGAAGGGGGTGAGAGAAGGCTACAAATTTGGTTTAGTGTATACTGCTTGGGTGATAGGCGCACCAAACTCTCACAAATCACCGCTAAAGAACTTACTCATGTAACCAAATGCCACCTGTTCCCCAAAACCTATGGAAATAAAATAAATATTATCTTGAAACTGAATACTTCTTATTACCTTCACCCAAAATATCCTAATTGTAAACCTCTATCATTTCTCAGCTATAATATTTTAATACCCATCTAATTAATCTCTTTGCTTTACTTTTGCCTCTCCAAAAATATCATAAGACATATCATGGCACAAATATTCTTTCCATGTATAAGTTGGATTATGGCATTCTTTCTGTTTGAAAATCCTCCAGTGGCTTCCATTGCAACCTGAATAAAATGCAAATAAACTTCTTACCCTGATCTGTATTTTCTGGCCTTCTGACTACCTTTATGACTTAATTAATCTGCATTCTTCTTATTCAGTACACTCTGGCCACAATGCCTAGAAAAGTGCCAAGTTTATCTTTTTTTTTCTTTTTCTTTTTTAACCCTAACCCTAACAAGTATTTTCTTGGCTTGGAAATAGTTTATTTTTTTTTCTTGAGTGTCTCTATTTCACAACTTAGATATTATTTCACAGATCATGTCCTCCAAGAGAACATCCCTGACTACTGTAATTATAGCAGGCCTCATCATTTTCTTATGGTTATAGGACTGAGGTTTCCATTTTCCTACTAGCTATTGGCTAGTAACTGCATTCAACTCCTAGCTGTTGACATATCTCCTATAGTTTACAATATGGATGTTTGCTTTCTTCCAGACTAGTCATATTGTGCCTGCCTCTATGCCTTTCTCTTCTGTGACAAGCTAAAGAAAACTTTTTTTTTATTATACTTTAAGTTTTAGGGTACATATGCACAACGTGCAGGTTAGTTACATATGTATACATGTGCCATGTTGGTGTGCTGCACCCAGTAACTCGTCATTTAACATTAGGTATATCTCCAAATGCTATCCCTCTCCCCTCCCCTCACCCCACAACAGGCCCCGGTGTGTGATGTTCCCCTTCCTGTGTCCATGTGTTCTCATTGTTCAATTCCCACCTATGAGTGAGAACATGTGGTGTTTGGATTTTTGTCCTTGAGATAGTTTGCTGAGAATGATGGTTTCCAGCTTCATCCATGTCTCTACAAAGGACATGAACTCATCATTTTTTATGGCTGCATAGTATTCCATGGTGTATATGTGCCACATTTTCTTAATCCAGTCTATCATTGTTGGACATTTGGCTTGGTTCCAAGTCTTTGCTATCGTGAATAGTGCCGCAATAAACATACATGTGCATGTGTCTTTATAGCAGCATGATTTATAATCCTTTGGGTATATACCCAGTAATGGGATGGCTGGGTCAAATGGTATTTCTAGTTCTAGATCCCTGAGGAATCGCCACACTGTCTTCCACAATGGTTGAACTAGTTTACAGTCCCACCAACAGTGTAAAAGTGTTCCTATTTCTCCACATCCTCTCCAGCACCTGTTGTTTCCTGACATTTTAATGATTGCCATTCTAACTGGTGTGAGATGGTATCTCATTGTGGTTTTGATTTGCATTTCTCTGATGGCCAGTGATGATGAGTATTGAAAACTTTGGTTTTAAATAACTTACCAAATTACTTTTGGTCCATTCAGGATAAACACCATTTTGTCATATCATGTGATATAATCACATGAATGATATTTCATCATATGCACAGGTTCAACTCATGCTCAAGGGCATTATATACAGCATTTACACCAGGGAAAGAAATTTTGGAGATCATATTAGGATTTTGTCTGCCATAGTTCTGTATTAAAGGAAATGAATTCAGTGTTAATAAACTTCCAGCAACGAAAACTTCAGGCCTAGTTTATTTCACTGGAAAATTCAACCAAACATTTAATGAAGAATGAATTCAAATCCTACATAAACTTCACCAGTAGAAGAAGATGAAAGTTGTTTACCAACTTATTTTATGAGTACAGCATTACCTTGATACTAAAACCAAAGATATTACAAGAAAATTACAGACCAGTATCCTCATAACCATATTTTCAAAAATCCTTAAGAAATATTATCAAATTAAACCCAACTATATATTAAAATGATAATACATCATGATCAAATGGGATTTATTGCAGGAATTTGTCTTGTTTAACTTAAATCAAAACATATTTTCAAAAATCCTTAAGAAATATTATCAAATTAAACCCAGCTACATATCAAAATGATAATACATCATGATCAAGTGGGATTTATTGCAGGAATTTAGTCTTGTTTAACTTAAATCAATCTATAAAATTTACCATATCAATAGATGAAAGGTCACATAATCATCTCAATAGATACAGAAAAGTATTTGAAAAAAATCAGCATCCACTCACACTGACAGAGACAAAACAGCACAAAACTCTTAATGTACTAGGAAGTAATGGGAACTTCTTTAAACCAACAAAGGGAGTCTACAAAAAAACCTACTGCCAGTATCATACTTTATGGTAAAGGGCTGATTGCATTCTCTTTGGGATCATGTAGATCTTAGTGCACTAAGGCAAGAAAAAGAAGTAAAAGGCATACATATTAGAAAGAAAAATACAAAAACATCTCATTTGGAGATGACATTATTATCTACTTGGAAAATACCAAAAAATTCACAAAAAACTAATAAAAATTCAATAGTTAATCAAGTTTATATAATACAAGATTAATAAAGATAAATTATATATATATATATATATATATATATATATTTTTTTTTTTTTTTTTTTTTTTTTTTTTTTTTGAGATGGAGTCTCACTCTGTCACCCAGGCTGGAGTGCAGTGGTGAGATCTCGGCTCACTGCAAGCTCCGCCTCCCAGGTTCACGTCATTCTCCTGCCTCAGCCTCCCGAGTAGTTGGGACTACAAGTGCCCGCCACCAGGCCCGGCTAATTTTTTGTATTTTCAGTACAGACGGGGTTTCACGGTGTTAGCCAGGATGGCCTTGATCTCCTGACCTAGTGATCCACCCGCCTTGCCCTCCCAGAGTGCTGGGATTACAGGCGTGAGCCACCATGCCCGGCTGATAAATTATATTTTTATATATTGGGAATGAAAGTTTGGAAATTTAAATGTAACTATAATAGGTTCAGAAGGATTAAAAACATGAAAATCAGGAATAACTCTCACAAAATATTTAAAATATTTGTATTCTGAAATGACAAAATATTGATTCCAATTATAGAAATCAAAGGAGAATTATATAGATACACCATGGTCATGGATTAGAAGACTCTATGTTGGAATAAATGTCAATTTTCCCCAAATCTATAGATTCCATGGTATTCTAATTAAAATTCCAGTAAAATTTTGTTTATTGGTTAGGGAATGACCAGCTCATTGTAAGATTCATATAGAAAGGAAAGAACTTAGAATGGCCAAAGAATTTTGAAAAATAGCAAAGTTGGGGGACTCATCATTACCTATTTCAATTCTTATCTTAAAGGCATAATAATGAAGTCAATGTCATATTGCTTGAAAGACAGACACAACAGATCAATAAATCAGAGTAGAGAATAATAGAAATAGACAAATTCAGGCCGGGCGTGGTGGTTTACGCCTGTAACCTCAGCACTTTGGGAGGCTGAGGTGGACGGATCACAAGGTCAGGAGAAAGAGACCATCCTGACTAACACGGTGAAACCTTGTCTCTACTAAAAAAATACAAAAAATTAGCCAGGCGTGGTGGCGCGCGCCTGTAGTCCCAGCTACTCCGGAGGCTGAGGCGACAGAATTGCTAGAACCCGGGAGGCAGAGGTTGCAGTGAGCCGAGATTGCGCCACTGCACTCCAGCTTGGGTGACAGAGCGAGACTCCGTCTCAAAAAAAAAAAAAAAAAGAAAAAGAAAAGAAATAGACACATTCAGTTATGGTTAATTTTTCATAAAGATGCCAAAGTAATTCAATGGAGGGTAGTGACAGCCTTTTAACATATAATGCTCAACTAATTAGACATCCATATGCAAAGGAATAAACCCTAAAATTACCTCACTCCATATACAATATTATCTCAAAATGTGTAATACACTCGTATGTAAGAGCTAAAGCTATGAAACTTCTCGAAAAAATGTACAATAAAGTCTTAAGGTATTCAATGAGATAAAGTTTTTAAAAGCAGGACTCAAAAAAAAATCGTAAACTATAAAAGGAAATATTGATAAACTTATGTTAATTAAAATAACACCCCTCATTTGCCCTCTGTGTTATCAAATGTTACAAAAATGAAAAGTTAAGACACAGACTTGAATATTTGCACAACATATAACTGACAAAATCAGTAATGTAAAAAACTCTCACAGCTCAAAATAAGAGCAAAAAACTCAATTAAAATGAGTAAATGATTTGAATAGACACTTGACCAAAGAAGAAATATAATTGAGAAACAAGTGCATGAAAATATTTTCAAAATCATCATTCAGTGTAATTTCAACTTATTCAACATTGTTTGGTCATAGGGAAATGCAAACTAAAACAAAGAGAACTCATTGTTACATACTTATTAGAATAACTAAAAGAAAAATACCTGATTAGTATGCAGGACAACTAGAATGGTCATTTCTTAGTGGTGTGAATGTGCAATAGTACAACCACTTTGGAAAATAATTTGGCAGTTTTTATGAAGTTAAAGAAATACTCATACCATATGACCCATCAATCTCATTCCCAGGTATTTTGCGTGATAGAAATGAAGGCCTCCGTAGAGACCTTTTCAAAATCTTCTGTACAAATATTTATTTTGTCTTCATTTACAATTGCCCAACCTGGAAACAACCCAAATATCCTTAAACTGATGCATATGTAAATAAAATTAATGTATAATGGTACAATGGAATATAGTAGCAATAAAAGAAGAAAACTACTGATACATGAAACAATTTTGATGAATCTTGAACGTATTATGCTAAATAAAAAGCTGCACTTGGAAGGCTATGTAGTGTATGATTCCATTTATATAACATTCTGGAAAAGTCAAATCGTAGATAGTAAACAAATCCACAGTTGTCAGAGTGACATTTTCATCTGGTGTATTTATTACCTCAAACATTGTAGTTGTAGTTTTCATCTCTGTTGGTTTCATTTGGGTCTTCTGTGTATCTCATGTTTGTACCTTTTGAATATATAGAATGAAATTATAATAAATGTTTTAATGTTCTTGTCTTTTATTTCCAATGTATGTGTCAGTTCTGGGTCAATTTTGATTGATTTTTTTCCTTTTCATTAAAATCATAACTTCCTTTTTCCTTTTCATGCCTAGTACTTTTAAAATAAAATTTAGCTATTGTGACTTGCATCATTTCAGGTTTATATTTTAAGCTTTGTTAGGTTGGAAGCTTTGTTAGATAGCAGAGTAAAATTTATTCTGGGGCTAATTATTCTCCATTATGGAGGCAAGTATACTCTACCCACTGCCCTGTGAATCTTGGGGCTTTTTATTTTGGCTGATATGGAGGCACACTCTCCATAGTCTTGTGTAAATCCTGAACAGTGAGCTTCTAATCCTTCTAGGTGACACTTTCCTCAGTCTTCATAGTTTCTTAACACATAAACTGATTAGTGGGGACCCTTTGGAGGTGTCTCGTGTTCTCTCACTGTACAGCTACGTTTTCTATCTCATGAACTCTAGCTGCCCCAGCATTCCTGAACCCAACATCTGTCTCCTTGACTTAGGGACTATACTGGCCCTTTTATTGATTTACTGTGCCTGTGTTTTGGCCTGGAAACTCTCAGGTCAGTAAACAGACAATCTCAAAGTTCACCTCACTTGTTTGCTGTATCTCAGGGATTGCCACCCCTTTATGCTTGCTGTCCATTGTCTTAAAAACATTGTTTTATATATGTTTTACATATTTTTTTCCAGTTTCTTTGATTAAGCCAGAAAAAGAAATCTGTTCCCTGTTACTCCATCTTGGCCAGAAATAGAAGTCTACAGGATATGTTTTTCATACTATTACGCTTCCTTCCTCTGTCTCATCATTGAATGAAGTGAGTTTCAATACACAAGCACTTTTCAGGAAACTCCTTGAGAGGAGAAGATGAAGTTCAAGATAGCCTTCCAGTTTTACTGCTATTTTCAATTTAGAAAATCTTTCTTCTCTGCTGCTAAATAGTGGACTGCTGCATCTAATTGTAGCTGTTTCTTTTTTTACAATGTATTTTTTTATATATATATAATTGACAAAAAGTGTACGTACTTTTGTGTATAACATGATGTTTTGAAATATGTATACATTGTGTAATGACTAAATCAAGCTAAAAACACTTAAAATCCACTTTTAGAAATTTTCAAGAATACGATACATTGTTACTAACTATAGTCACTATGCTGTAAATGGAGCTCTTGAACTTATTTCTCCTACTGAACTAAAATTTCATAATATTTGACAATCTCCTCCATCCCATAACCCCTGATAACCAGCATTCCACTTTCTACTTCTATGCATTCAACTTTTTTTAGAGTTCACATAAAAGTGAGATCATGTAGTATTTGTCTTTCTGTGCCTGGCTTATTTTATTTAACATATTGTCCTCCAGGTTTATCCCTACTGTTGCAAATTACAGAATTTCCTTCTTTTTAAAGATTGAATAGTATTACAACCTTTAAAAAGAAGGAATGTGGCCGGGCATGATGGCTCACACCTGTAATCCCAGTGCTTTGGGAGGCTGAGGCGGGCAGATCACGAGGTCAAGAGATCGAGACCATTCTGGTCAACATGGTGAAACCCCGTCTCTGCTAAAAATGCAAAAAAATTAGCTGTGTGTGGTGGTGTGTGCCTGTAGTCCCAGCTACTCAGGAGGCTGAGACAGGAGGATCGCTTGAACCTGGGAGGCAGAGGTTGCAGTGAGCTGAGATGGCACCACTGCACTCCAGCCTGGCGATAGATCAAGACTCCATCTCAAAAAACAAAAGCAACAACAGCAAAAAGAAGGAATGTGTGTATATATGCCACATTTTAAAAATCTATTCATCTATTGATGAACACTTAGGTTGTTTCCACAATTTGGGTATCTATTGTGAATAATGCTGCAATGAACATGCGAGGGAAGACATCTCTTTGACATACTGATTTCATTTCCTTTGTATGTAACTTAGTAATGGGATTATTGGAACATATGATACTTCTATTATAAAGTTTTTGAGGAACTGCCATACTATTTTCCATAAGGGCTGCACCAATTTACATTCCCACCAATAGTGTGCAAAGGTTTCCTTTTCTAAACATCCTGGCTGTCACTTGTTATTTTTTATCTCCTTATTACCAGTCATTCTAACAGATGTGTGGTAATACTTCACCGTGTAGTTTTAATGTGCATTTGTCTGAGGATTACTGGTGTTGAACATTTTTTCATATACTCATTGACCATTTATATGTCTTATCCCTTGCCCATTTTTAATAGGGTTGTTTTCTTACTATTGAGTTGAGTTCCCAATTTATTTTGAATATTAACCCCTTTTTAGATATGTGATTTGAAAATATTTTCTCCAATTTCATAGCTTGTTTCTTCACTCTGTTTCCTGCTTCCTTGGCTGTGCAGAAACTTTCATTTGATGTAATCCTATTTGTCTGTTTTCACTTTTATTGCCTTGAATTTGGGGTCATACCCAAAAAGTCATTGCTCAAACAAATGCTATGTAGTTTTTCTACTGTTTTCTTCTAGTAGTTTTAGAGTTTCAGGTCTGACTTTTAAGTCTTTAATTCATTTTGAGGCTTTTTTTATATATGGTGTGAGATAAGGGCCTAATTTTATACTTCTGTATATGGATATTCAGTTGTCCTAACAGCATTTATTGAAGAAACTATCCTTTCCCCATTGCTTGTTCTTGTCATCTTTGTCATAAAATCAATTGAACATAAATGTGTGGATTTATTTCTGGGTTCTCTATTCTGTTCCGTTGGTCCATGAATCTGTTTAATTAACATAGCTTTGTAGTAGAATTTTTTTTTGAGACAGAATCTTGCTTTGTTGCCCAGGTTGGAGTGCAGTGGTATGATCTCAGCTTACTGCAACCTCCGCCTCCCAGGTTCAAGTGATTCTCCTGCCTCAGCCTCCTGAGTAGCTGAGATTACAGGCATGTGCCAGCCTGCCTGGCTTATTTTTGTATCTTTAGTAGAGGCGGGGTTTCACCATATTGGTCAGGCTGGTCTTGAACTCCTGACTTCATGATCCGCCCACCTCAGCCTCCCAAAGTGATGGGATTACAGGCATCAGCCACCATGCCCAGCCTGTAGTAGAATTTTAAGTCAGGTAGTGTGTTGTCTCTAGCTTTGTTCTTTTTACTTAATATTGTTTTGGACAATTTGGGGTCTTTTATGGTTTCATACAATTTTAGGATTTTTCATCTATTTCTGTGAAAAATTTCACTGGAATTTTGATAAGAATTGTATGGAATGGTGTCTTGCTCTGTTGTCCAGGCTGGAGTGCAGTGGCACCGTCTTGGCTCACTGCAACCTCTGCCTCCCAGGTGCAGGTGATTCTCATGCCTCAGCCTACTGACTAGCAGAGACTACAGGTGAGCGCCATCACACCCAGATAACTTTTGTATTTTTAGGAGGGGCAGGGTTTCACCATGTTGGCCAGGCTGGTCTCGAACTCTTGGTTGCAGGTAATCTGCCCACCTCGGCCTCCCAAAGAGCTGGAATTACAGGCGTGAGCCACCACACCTTGCCAAGTATTGTATGGAATCTGTAGATCACTTTGGGTAGTATGAACAATATTAATATTAATAATATTTATTCTTTTGATCCACAACAATGAAATATGTTTTCATTTATTTCTGCCTTTTTCAATTTTTCATCAATGTTTTATAGTTTTCATGTCTTTCACTTCCTTGGTTAAATTTATCCTTAAATATTTTTATTTTTTGGTAGCTATTGTAAATAAGATTGTTTTCTTCTCATTATTAGTGTATGGAAATGCTACTGACTTTTGTATGTTGATATTGTATCATGCAAATTTACTAAGTCAGTTTATTAGTTCTAATGGTGTTTTAGTAGCATTTTTAGGGTTTTCTATATATGAGATCATGTCATCATTCTGTGAAAAATTTCATTGGAATTTTGATAAGAATTGTATGGAAATTTTACAATTTAACTTTTCCAATTTGGATGTCTTTCATTTCTATCTCTTGCCTAATTGCTCTTGCTAGGACTTCTTGTGCTATATTAAATAGAAGTGGTGAGAGGTGTAGACGAATGGGACAGAATAGAGAACCCGGAAAAAAAGCCAAATACTTAGCCAACTGATATTCAAAAAAGCAAGCAAAAACATGAAGTGGGGAAAGGACACTCTATTCAATGAATGATGCTGGAATAATTGGCTAGCCACATGTGGAAGAATGAAACTGGATTTTCATATCTCACCTTACACAAAAATCAGCTCAAGGTGGATCAAAGACATAAATCTAAGACCTGAAACCATAAAAATTCTACAAGATAACATTGGAAAAACTCTTCTAGACATTGGCCTAGAAAGAGTTCATGACCAAGAACTCCAAAGCAAATGCAACAAAAACAGAGATAAATAGATGGGGCTTAATTAAACTAGAAAGCTTCTGCACAGCAAAGGAAATAATCAGCAGAGTCAATACACAGCCCACAGAGTGGGAGAGCATCTTTGCAAACTCTTCGTCCAACCAAGGACTAATATCCAGAATCTACAAGGAACTCAAACAAACCAGCAAGATAAAAACAAATAATCTCATCAAAAAGTGGGCTAAGAACATGAAAAGACAATTCAAGAGGAGATACACAAATGGCCAACAAACATATGGAAAATATACTCAGCATCACTAATTATCAGGGAAATGCAAATCAGAATCACAATGTTATACTATATTACTCCTGCAAGAATGGCCATAATTAAAAAATAAAATAATAATAGATGTTGGCACGGATGTGGTGAAAGGGAACACTTTTACACTGCTGGTGGGAATGTAAACTAGTACAACTATGGAAAACAGGGTGGCGATTCCTTAAAGAACTAAAAGTAGATCCAGTGTGTGTGTGTGTGTGTGTGTGTGTGTGTGTGTGTGTGTGTGTGTGTGTATACATATCATGGAATACTAATCGGCCATAAAAAGGAACAAAATAATGGCATTTCCAGTAACCTGGATGGAGTTGGAGACCATTATTCTAAATGAAGTAACTCAGGAATGGAAAACCAAACAATGTATGTTCTCATTTATAAGTGAGCACTAAGCTGTGAGGACACAAAGGCATAAGAATGATACAATGAACTCTGGGGACTTGGGGGAAAAGGTGGGAGGGTGGTGATGGGTAAAAGACTACATATTGGGCACAGTGTACACTACTTGGGTGATGGGTGCAACAAAATCTCAGAAGTTGCCACTGAAGAACTTATTCATGTAACCAAACAACACCTGTTCTCCCAAAACTATTGAAATAATAAAAAAAAAAATAAAAAGATTAAAAAAAAGAAGTAGTAGGGGGAGGATTCTTGTCTTGTTCCTGATCTTAGAGGAAAATCTTTCACCTATTCACCAGTATGATGTTAGCTATGTGCTTATCATATATGTTCTTTATTGTATTGAGGTCCATTTCTTCTATGCCTAATATTTTGAGTTTTTTTAAATCATGAAAGGATGTTGAATTTTTTTTCAAATGCTATTTCTCAAACTATTGAGATGATTATATGGTTTTTGTCCTCGATTCTGTTAATGTGGTACACCACATTTATTGATTGAATTCCTGGGATAAATCTCATTTGTCATGATGAATGATTCTTTTAATGTGCTGTTGAATTCAGTTTGTTAGTATTGTGTTGAGGATTTTTGCATCTGTGTTCATCAGGGACATTGCCTGTAATTATCTTTTCTTGTAATAACTTTGTTTGGTTTTGGTATCAGAGTAATGCTGGGCTCATAATATGAGTTTGGAAGTATACATTCCTTTCAATTTTTTGGAAGAGTGTGAGAAAGATTAGTGTTAGTTTTTCTTTTATGTTTGGTAGAATTCAGCAGTGAAGCCATTATGTCCTGGTCTTTCTTTGATGGGAAACTTTTTATTACAAATTTAATCACCTTTCTTGTTTGTGTTCTGTTTGGGTTTTCTATTTTTCCATGATTCAATCTTGGTAGGTTGTATATATCTAGAAATTTATCTGTTTTTCTAGATTATTCAATTTGTTGGTGTACTCATGTTCCTAGTAGCCTCTTATGATCCTTTGTATTTCTGTGGTATCAGTTGTGATGTCTTCTCTTTTGTTTCTGATTTTGTCTTCTCTCTTTTTTCTTTGTCCAGCTAAATAATTTTTAATTTTTTTTGATGTAGGCATTCATTGCTATAAACTTGCCTCTTAGAACTGCTTTCGCTGTATCTCATTAATTTTGGTGTCTATTTTGCTTCTATTTTTCTTTGTCTCAGATTTTTCTAATTTTTTTTTTTCATTTCATTGACCCACTGGTTGTTCGGGAGCATGTTTAGTTTTCATGTATTTGTGATTTTTTGAAATTTGTCCTGTTATTGATTTATGGTTTCATATCATAATGGTTGGAAAAAGATACTTGGTGTGATTTCAGTCTTCTTAAATTAGTTAAGACTCATTTTATGGATCAACATATAATTTATTCTGGAGAATGTTTCATTTGTGCTTGAGAATATGTTTATTCTGTTGCTATTGGCTGGAATGTTCTGCATATATCCATTAGGTCCATTTAGCCTAAAATGTGGTTCAAGTTCAATGGTTTTTTAACTAATTTTTCTCTCTGAATAATCTGTCCATTGCTGAAAGTGAAGTATTAAATTACCCAGCTATTGTATTACAGTGTTTCTGTCCCTTCAGATCTATTAATATTTGCTTTATATATTTAGGTGCTCCAATGTTGGGTGCATATATATTTATAAATGTTCTCTCCTTTTCCTGAATTGAGCACTTTTTCATTATATAATGACCTTGTCTATTTTTACAGTTTTTGAGTTAAAGTCTATTTTATCTGGTATAAATACAGCTACACCTGCTCTCTTTTGGTTTCTATGTGCATAAATATCTTTTTTCATCTCTTCTATGTGTGTCCTTACAGGTGAAGTGAGTCTTTTGGAGGCAGCAGATAGTTGAATTGTGTTTTTTAAATCCATTAAGCCACTTTACGTCTTTCGATTGGACAATTTAATCCATTAAAATTAAGGTAATTATTGATAGACAATGACTTACTGCTGCCATTTTGTTAATTGGTTTCTGGTAGTTTTATGGAGCCATTGTTTCTTTCTTCCTTTCTTACTGTCCTCTTCTGTGATTAGGTGATTTTCTCTAGTGGTATGCTTTGATTTCTTAATTTTTTTCTTTTATGTATCTACTATAGGTTTTTGCTTTGTGGTTACCATAAGGCTTACATAAAACATCGTATCATTTTAAAAGGCTTTTTAAAGCTGATAACAACTTACCTTTGATTGCATATAAAACTCTATATTTTTCCTCCTCTAACTCATCTTATGTTTCTGATGTCACAATTTACTACTTTTATATTGCATATGCCTTAACAAATTATTGAATCTATTATTATTTTTAATAGTTTTGTTTTTCAACCTTCATACTAAAGATATAAGTAATTGACATATCACCATTACAATATTAAAGTGTTCTGAATTTGACTATGCATTTACTTTTGCTTATAAGCTTTATACTCTCTACGTTTATGTGTTAGTAATTAGCATCCTTTTCTTTCAGGTTTTTTGCAGTATAAAGAACTCTATTAGCATTTCTTGTAAGACAGGTATGGTGTTACTGAACTCTCTCAGCTTTTTTTTGGGAAAACCTTTATCTCTTTTTTATTTCTGAAGGACAGCTTTGCCATGTACAGTATTCTTTTTTGGCAAGTTTTCTCCTTCAGCGCTTTGAATATATTATCCTACTGTCTCCTGGCCTATGAGGTTTCTGCTGAGAAATCTGCTGTTTCCCTTATCGAAACTCCCTTATATATAATTTCCTTTATTTTGTTCCTCTTCCCACTTTCAGGATCCTCTCTTTTTCTTTTATTTTTTGACATTTTGATTATAATAGGTCTTGATACAATCTTGTTTGGATTGAATTCTGTTGGAGACTTTTAACATTCCTATATCTAGATATTTACATCTTCCCCAAGATTTGGAAAGATCTCTGCTATTATTTCTTTAAATAAGCTTTCTACCACTTTCTTTCTCTCTCTTTTTAAAATCCTATAACTCAAATATTTTCTCTTTTGTTGCTGTTCTGTAACTTGCATAAACGTTCTTTATTCCTTTCCATTCTTTTTTCTTTTCTAACTGTATATTTTCAAACAACTTGTACGAGTTCACAGTCTTCTACTTGATGAATTCTGCTGTTAATACTCTATTGTGTGTTTCATTTCATACATTGTATTTTTTAGTTCCAAAAACTACTGTTTGATTTTTAAAAAAACATGAATCTTTCTGTTAACATTTTTATTTTGGTTGTTTATTGTTTTCTTTATAACACTGAATTGTTTCTCTGTATTTTATTCAAGTTTTTTTGAGTTTCCTTAAAATAATTATTTTGAATTTGAATTACTTGCCAGGTAGTTATTATATCTCTGGCTCTTTTGGGTCAGCTACAGGGAAATTATTGTGTCTTTTTGGTGGTGTTATGTCTTCTTTGGTTTTCATGTTCCTTGATGACATACACTGACGTGTTTGCACTTGGTGACACAGTCACCTCTGTCAGATTTTATAGGCTAATTTTGGCATGTAAAGACCTCCCTCCATGGAGGAGCAGTATGAAAGCACTTGTTGGGTATGGTACAGCAGTTTTGGCACCAGTGAGGGTGCAGCTGTGTACTCTCTGTGTAGCTCTGTGAGTTGAGGTGGGTGTTGTCACAGATTGTAGGAATTCTCAGCAGTTAATACAGTGGATGTTTGCAGTGATGGTGAGGATTCTTGGGGTCTCTAGTGATTATGATTGCTAATGTCCTCTTGGTCTCTTTCTCCCACTAGGCAAGTTGGGTTCAGAGCATCTCTCTTGAAACTGGGCCTGGCTTATGGCCTGCTCACAGTGGTGGTAGTGACAGTGTCTGATGAGTCATGCCCAAAGGTGTGGTCTTGTGCTGAAGCTTGAAACACAGGCATGTGTGGAGGGACTATAGTTCTGGGATATGAGGTGGTAAAGGTACTGATGTTTTGAGTGCAGGAACTCCTGGTGCTGCATTGGTAAGGCTGTGTAAGGTACAGATGCTCATAAAGTAGCCAGGGAATCAAGAATGGGAACATAGGCATGTGCAGAGTTACAGTGGCTTCAGGGTCATGGCAAGGCCTAGTTCTTTATGGAGGCTGAGCTAGTGCCCAGAGAGCAGGCATGCTCAGAGAGACCTTGTCTTGTGACCCAGATTGCGAACAAGCTCACTATGGCAAAGGCTCCAGTATCTGAGACATGGGTGGTTCGGTGCATCCACGTCGGGAATATGTGCACTTGTGGTGCAGCCATCACTTGGCGGTCAGGGTACACGTGAGGTTGTGAGGTGGTAGCTTCTTTCCTGAAACAACTCTACAGTAGCTGCTTCTTGTTGGATGAGAAGAAGGAAGAGGTGTGCAATATGTCTCCTTCTGGAGTTCCCCAACAAGAATGACTGTCGGTTACCTCAGTGGTAAAATTTGCCAGTGTCCTCTGTGGAGCAGGCCACTGGGAACCATAATGGTTTGTTTTCTGGATAGCTATCTGCATTTATTTGTGTTGTGGGGTAATAAAGGCTATAGTATCTCCTACTCTGCCATCCTGGTGATATCACCCCAAGGGATATGCTTTTTGATCATCAGTTAGAACCTCTCACTTTTATAAAACACATTTTGATGGAAGTTTTGGGTAGGTGCTGCATTAGGCAAATTTCACCCTAAATTTTTATTCCAAATTTTCCTCTCTATCTACTTCCTTTACCTCAGCTGTTTTGGCAACACTTACGCGTATTTTAGAAGTTGGGGATTTTTCTATCTACATTGAAAATGGCATTTGCTTTATAAATTCTCCTTGTTGCTTTTGGATAATTTATACAAGGAGATGTTGAGATACTGATTTGTAAAACTTGTTCATCCTGGAAGTCTTGCATTTTTAAAAAAAAAACTAAAAATTGAAAGTAAGAATTGCTTAATATAAAGGGAACTAATATTTTCAAATAACAGTATAAAAATACTTTGTTGATATGAAAGACATTTATTTAATTGAGTCAAAATTTATGTTACAAAGTGTTATTTATAGCAGATATTATTATGGAAAAAATAGTATAATATGAAAAGGAAAATGTGGAAGGCTATGCACCAAACTATGGACACATTTTGATGTTTAAATTTGGGTATTTTAAATTTTCTTCGTTTTGATAACCAGCTTTTAATGTTTTTTAAACAAAAAGCACTCATTTATAATGTAGAATTGCCATTTCTTCAAATTATAGTAAGCACAGAATTTATGTTAGAAACAGGGCAATTTAATTTATAATGTAAACTAAACATTGTATCATCACTCTGTATTGCTATATCCTTCCAAGAACATAAATTCCAAATATACATACATATGAGCTTATACTACAATGTTGACAGCATGACACAATTAAATTAAAAATTAAAAATAGAAATAATTTTCATTTTTACCTTATAACAGGAATCATTCATTTTTACCAGTATAACCAATGAGACCATCCAAATCAGAGCCAGACTTAGTAGGGATCAAACTTCAATGTAGAACACATTTTGTCCTTTAACCAGCAACGTGAATGGCAAAAAATTCACAATGGAGCTTCAAGGATTGATGTGGATGTAGAATTATGAAATATATTACTCCTATAGATGGCACAGAGACTTATTGTATGATGTATATATGAGTTTCAACTGCTGCAAAAAAGTATATTCTATAGATTAGTTACACTGTTTCACTTTCTCTATTTTGCCATCAGTTGGATTGGCTGTCTGCTTAAGTTATTATTGAGCAAAGAGCATGAATTTTCTCTTCCCTAAGTGCATTTGTAGACTGTAAAAATGGCATTGCACCAAGATTGCAATACTCCATGCCTTGGTTTCCAAGAGTACTGTGAGAACCTGGGAATATCCATTTAGATAGCCCTCTCTATAAAACGCACGCAAGATGATGCTTCTTTGATTTGTAGCAGCATCTGTCTTTGCAGTATCTGTAATATTCACAAGTTTGTCATTTCAGAGTTTTATCTGAAGCCTTTGATTTACTATTATTCATTACGGCTATTGATGGCCAGATGCCCAGAACTCTGATTTTTAGATTATATATCTCAAGTCTGCCTAATGCTGTTACACTATGTTCAGTTGGTATCTGTATGTCCTGAATTATTTTACAGACTGTAAATTTGAAAATAACCAGTGTCAGCCTTTAAATATGGTCAGGATATCTAGAACTAACTTGAATCTGAGTTTAATTTATTCGTTCAAAAAATTCTTGTGAAATGCCATAAGGTACTGGGAGTAAAGGGATGAATAATCTGTGTTGAATCTGTAAGTCCAAAACCATCAGGAATATATCTATAGTCAAATGAAGTTAGATTTTTTGACTTATGGCTATGAGAGAGACCACACACGTGGTGAACCATGAACCTTCATAAGAGGAAAATGTTAAGAGTGATTTACTATAGGATTTGTGTTTGTGTTAGGTATTTTTCAGGAGGGTTGAAGGAAATGGAGTTTTCTCTGGATTGGGTACTGTCAGAAAGTAGGGTGATTATTCAATTGAATATTTTAATGAATCTTACCTAGTGGGTGGGAAGAATAAATATGAAGGTAAGTCCATAACTAGCAAAACAGCACTTATTATTCATAATAATAAGGAGGATGTTGGTGATTTTTGCTGTTTCCACTGTTATCTTGTTTTTGTATGTGCTTTGCCAAGGTCACGAAATAGTCTTTTTCTTTTTTTTTTAAATTTCACTTTATTATAGTCATAGAGCTACCCGATCTGGTGTCAATGCTCTGTGAGGTTAATGTTAACAGAAGAATGCCACACCTTAGCTGAGAGTGCCAGGTCAGCTCCTAATAACACCAATACCTAGCTGTTAGTGTTAGATGAGTTCTTATGTTTCAGTGTCTGGTTTTCTTTTTCTTGTCTGTAATTTTCTTGTAATGTCATTGTCTTGTTTGGGTATTGGGGTAATCATGGCATCACAGAATGATTAGGAAGTGCTCCATCTATTTCTGCTTTCTGGAGGAGATTGGGATGAGTTGGTATCATTCTTTCGATGTTTGGTAGAATTCACCAGTGAAAGAAAGCTGGTGCTTTCTTTTTTGGAAGGTTATTAATTACTGCTTTAATTTCTCTAGTAGATATAGAAGTATTTTGGTTATCTATTTCTTCTTGCATGGGTTTTGACAGCTCATGTCTTTCAAGGAATTGGTCCATTTCATCTGAATCATCAAATTTTTGTGAGCATAGAATTTTTCGTAGTATTCCTTTATTAGCTGTTGAATATTCATGAGATCAGTTGCAATGACTCTTCTTTCATTTATGATGCTGATAATTTGTGTCTTTCTTTTTTTTGGTTAGTTTGGGTAGAGATGTTTATCAATTTTTTTGATATTTTCAAAGTATAACTTTTGGTTTCTTTGATTTTTCTCTATTATTTTACTGTTTTCAATTTTATCATATTTTGCTCTTTTTGTTATTATACATTTTTTTCTTTTGCTTGCTTTAGGCTCAAATTCCTTTTTAAAAAATTTTCTAAGGTGAAAACTTAGTTTATTGATTTTATATCTTTTCTATTTTCTAATATAAGCATTACATTTTAATTTAGTTAAAATATTTAGAATTTTTTGAGATTTTTATTTCATGGATTACTTACAGATGTGCTATTTAGTTTCCAAATGTTTGGGGATTTTTCCAAGTATCCTTCTGTTTGCCTTTGTCCCCTTCTGGTATTTCTGTTATGTGTGACACATTTTGTTATTGTCTCACATTCTTGAATGTTCTGTTTTTTAAAAAACTAGCCTTTTTTTCTCTTGCATTTCAGTTTGGGAAGTTTCTATTGATATATCTTTAATCTCTCCTCAGCCATGTTGGATCTACTAATTCTCTTTCTGATAATTTCAAAAATTATGTCACATCATCTGTGTCCGAGTCTGATGATTGCTTTGTCTCTGCAGACTGCTTTCTCTTGGTTTTGTCTTCATGATCTTTTTTGAAAACCAGATTTGTTGGATAGAGTAACAGAAACTGAGGTAAACAGGCCTGTAGTGAGAGGGCATATATTAATATCGTGAAGATCTCATCTGTATTTAATGTCTTCTGTAGCCATAGGAGCCAGATAATTCAAATTTTTTCTAGTTTGTTATTTTTGTCTCCCCTCTTGACTTTGGGCTTGCCTAAGTTCTCCCAGTCAGAGAAAGTCCATGTCTTATAGCTCTCTCAGTTGTAACCCACTATTGTTATACTGGAGCTTTGTGTGTAGTAAGATGCTGGAGAGGGAGAGTATTTTATAATTTTCTGATTAGATTTCTGACTTTTAGTGGGTCTGTGCATCAGCGCTGTGATCTCCTGACTGTTTCTCCAGTGGTAAGGTTCTCCCCTGCTCCCTACCACCTTCCCTGGCTGCAGCATATCCAGCCTGTTCTTTGACACCCTGACCCTTGTTGACCTTTATTCCTCTTAAGGGTAAGAAGGGTTAGAGGGAGATGGAGGGGGAGGAATCCTCTTCTCCCAGCTGTGATAGACTATGGCAATGGGCTTTTCACCTGACCAATAGACCTTGGTTATGGAGGAACCCCTTGTCATATTTCACAATGACTATTCTTCCCCTCCCTTAACAGAGATCCAAGGGCCAAAGAGATCTTTCTAGGATTATCACTGTGAGAATCTGGTAAAGTTTCTGGAGGTAAGGTCCAAAACATTGTGAGGATCTCACTAAGATTGTGGCCCCAAGGAGTTTCTTACTCTGGAGCTAGTCCACGCACAGCCTCCAGTAAGCCACAAAAATTA
Source organism: Homo sapiens (assembly GCF_000001405.40). NCBI lineage: Eukaryota > Metazoa > Chordata > Mammalia > Primates > Hominidae > Homo > Homo sapiens. The sequence continues at coordinate 119,865,556 of NC_000005.10, forward strand.
CTCTAAGTGTTTCTACTAGTTACTGTCTTCAGAGGTGTCTTTTCACAGTAAGAAGTTTTTGGTTGTGTCTCTTTAATGGGATTATCTCTTCAGATTTCCAGGTGGTGATTTTTCCTGTGACTTCAGCTGCTCTGAATCCAAGAAAAGACATTAATTTCAGATTGTCCAGCTTTTTCTTGTTGTAAAGATGAGGGTAATGACTTGCAGGGTCTTTATATGTCAAAATGAAACTGTAAGTCCTCTTTCAAGCTTTAAAATAAACCAAACATGCCACTAAAAACAGAAATCACAAACTGGCTTATTATAAATATTGGCTGGCATAAACTTTTTTGGTACTTAGTAGTTCTGTTTGATAATGGTATAACCATAAAATAATGTCCTTATCAGTATATATTATTTAAAGATGCTGATTTCCTATATTTTAATATTATATCACTATTAGAATGTTTTCCTTGAAGAGTAATGCAACTTTTGTAACTTTTAAAATGAGATAAAATCTGTACTGCGGTTATAAAAATATCCATGTTGGACTCCTTTAATAAATTTTATCTGTTGTTTTCAAAGCATTTATAGACATTCCCTATTTAACCTTCATTTTCATGATGAAAACAGAATGATGTTATGTATCTTTAGCTATTTTAACCTAAAAAATTGAGACACCAAAAGGTCAAGTAATTATTTAAATGTTAATGTAACATCAATTCCATGCACTTGATATCCTCATGATTCTAGAAAAATTTTGAGCCTGGCTATGAAAATTAGTGAAGTAACTAAAAGTCAGTTAGAATGTTCAGACTTTAAGGTTAGAAGTAAGAAAAGTTTTATATATGAGGACAAACAGAAGAAATTCTCTGGAATTAAATATAAAGCTGCAATCAGAACAGAAACTTTTCATAAGTCAGGCTTGTAAGTATTGGCCAATATAATTTGCAGTGATGTATACATGTCAGTCATCTTCAAAGAGATGTTTTTATTAACCTCACAGCATATGTGCTGTAGTCCTTCCAATAAGCAATAAAAGTGGAATATACAAGTAAGACTATTGGCAAAGATAGGTAACCTTTTTAACTATTATAAATATTGGTGGTTTTCTTTTACTCAGTTGTTTCTCTGCAGCATATTGTGTACCTGTTTGTTTTTGCCTGGTTTGTCATCAACTCTTCAACCAAGGTCTGCTTCTTGATTACTTTGCTTAAGTTTCAGATCAATTTAGGATAGATAAACGGGGCACCACCTATCTTGTAGGTAAAATTGTATTTTCAAGGTCACAAAGCCTAGCTCCCTCCCCAGACATTCTGACTTAATTGCCATTAGCTGTTATCTGTGCACTGGGATTTTCAAAAGCTCCCTAGGTGATTCTAATGTGCGGCAAAGTTTTGGAACCACTACTTTACTTTCTGAAATTTTGGTATAAATTTTATTCTGGCTTTGTAGGAATCAAAGATCCCCGTAGAGATTTTGTCACTATATTTCAGTTTGCTAGTGTACGAACTAATACGATGTTTATTTAGTTGTTATCTTTATATGGGCCCAATGTGACTTCTAAATAGTTATTTCCAATTAGCTAAGAGTTTACTACATATTTTTAATAGTGAGAAATTAGAACAAATTATTGGCACCCCCAACTTCTGATATTGCACAAATAATCTAAGAAGGATGGCAATTGTTCACTCTTTAAATTCTTCAGAGAAGTTACTCAAACAATACTGGTAATAAATTCAAAGAATTAAAAATTGTAAAATTGTTATAATTACTATTTCCTGGCTTCTGGGTTGGAGACAGAAGTTAGTTAGCACTTGCTGTATCCCTGGCATTATACTAAAAATCATATTTAAATTAGCTTTAATTTCTACAAAGTTTTCTGTACGTTTATTTCAATTTGCCAGGATGAAAGTGATATGATAGACCGATCTCTCTCATGAATATTTGAACTTAAAAGAAAATGTCAGGGAGAAGAAAATTCTAAAGCTTAGAATGGATATCTAATAATGAAACTTCAGGCATCAGGCAGAACAATATCTTTAGAAGAAGTGACTTTACATTCTATCTCAATGACATTATCTGTTCTTTCATTTTTCCTATCCTTATTTTGTCTGCGGCCAATTCTGATCCATCTTTTCTTAGTTTCAAATTTGAAATTATCCCATGTCTTAGTGTCAACGTGTCAACCTGGAACATATGGAGATAAAAACCTAAACAAAGCAAGACTCCTTGGAACACTACTTAGCCATTGCGAAAGCATTTTAAGTTCTGTATAGATGGCAATCATTTTTTTTCAAATGAGGCAGGAACACAACTAAATGAAATGTCTCCTTGAAAAAGGAAATTTGTGCCTTTATGCACATTTCTGGCTTAGCAGGTAACATGACCTAGAATGGAGAACTGGCATCTCAGATTTTCTCTATCCTGGTTAAACATCACCAGTTACATGGTCACTCAAGTCTGAAGTCTTGAAGTGATTTGACAATTTTACCTTAGCTCATTTTAATTGGTCACTAAATCCTATTAGGGCTGCGTTTGAAAACCCTTGATTTTATCCTATTTTACTCTTCCCATCTCTCTGCCTTAATTCTTGCCCTAATCTCTTATTTGAATTAAAACAATTGCTTCCTAACTGTTTCACCTAGAAAACAGACATTTACCCCGAATATGATATGCACAGTAGCCTAGGTTCATGTGAGCTGTGAGACCTGAAAGTCATATAATATATTCAGGAGCAAAAATTCTGACCAAATAAGAGGAAGAGAAGTTTACGCAAGTTTTTACTTTTTTTTTGAAAAAACTTTTTTATTATGAAGTATAATCCACAAATATAAAAGTGTATACAACAAATTTGCAGCTCAACGAATTACCCTCCCCCCCCGCCCCACCCCCCCACACAAACTCATGTAGCCACCAGCCCAAGGAAAGAATATGGGTGGAGAGTTGCCATACTCCAGAAACTCCCCTTCTGGTTCCTCTCAATCAATCCTGGTAATAAATTCAAAGAATTTATTTTTGCCTCCCCAGACATAGCCTGTTATCCTGACTTCCACAACAGTTTAGTTGTGCCTGTTTATGAACGATATGTAAATGGAATCATACAGTATGCTACATCTAGAGCCTTTTACTCAACATATTGTGCGTGTTTCACCATTCTTCCCTTGTCGTGCCATCATGTTCAATGTGGGTATGAACCGGGCTAAGAGTTGCCTTTTCTCAGGCCTGAGAGCATCTCACTCATATGTAATTCCCTGTTCTTTTATTATTCTCTCTCCCATCAGATTCCATGTTGACAGTGAAATTCACAGAAAAAGAGGCTCTTTTTCCTTCCCCTAGGGTTCCAGCAGGGCAGGAGGCAGCCTGATGGAAGGTGCTGAGGAGGGAAGGGTTCTGTGACCTACTTCCCCATGCAGAGCTTCTACCTTCTGAAAGCTTTCACAGATAGGACTCATTACCTGAGCCCTCATTAACTGACTTCTAGGTGCCCTGAAAAGGCAATCACTTGTTGCATTTACTATCATTTTATGTTCATTTAAAAACAAGGTAAAATACTTTTTCCTCACTATAAGATGGCAATATAAAAATAACTTTCATGTCTTTCTAGATAGAAAGAAATTTTCTAGGCCATTTGGGGCATTGTATAGTAGGTGCTCTTATGCATGGTACATTCATTCCTAAAATCAAATAATATTCTGATGAGATATGTAATAGAGGTGTACAGAGATAATAGAGAAATGCAAAACCTTCTGCTATATTTGATACTTTTTTTTTTTTTTTTTTTTTTTTTTTTTGAGACGGAGTCTCCCTCTCGCCCAGGCTGGAGTGCAGTGGCGCCATCTCGGCTCACTGCAAGCTCCGCCTCTCAGGTTCACGCCATTCTCTTGCCTCGGCCTCCCAAGTAGCTGGGACTACAGGCACCCGCTACCATGCCAGGGTAATTTTTTTGTATTTTTAGTAGAGACGGGGTTTCACCATGTTAGCCAGGATGGTCTCGATCTCCTGACCTCGTGATCCGCCCGCCTCGGCCTCCCAAAGTGCTGTGATTACAGGCGTGAGCCACCGTGCCCGGCCTATATTTGATATTTTAATTACTATTAAGATGATTTAAGAAAATGCACATAGATTCCTTCTAGTTATGTGCATTTTCTTTTTAAAATCTTCTTTTATTATAATTTATAATATAAAATTGTATGTTTGCAACTTCTGTTGCTTACATTTCCTATACCTAGCTACTCCATGTTTCTGTATCTTTTATCCTGCTGTTCCCTTTGCCTTCAGTGCCTTTCCCAGCTTCCCCTTTTCAAGGCCATGTTCAAGTAACGTCTTCCCAGGAAGGCATTCCTAACTCTAGTTTGGGAAGATGACACTCCTTTATGCTCTCATAACACCCTGTCTTGGTCTATCCTATCATTTAATTGTAGTACATTGAAATCCTTTATATTTTCTGTTTCTCTCATGAAACTTAAGCTCTTCAAAATCAGTTACTTTTTGTATTATTTATATATCCCAGCACAATTCCAATCAGAGAGCAGACACTTGATAATTGCTGAAGTAAGTTAGTGAATGTGATCTAGTGCAGAGGTTCTCCCAGTGTGACTCCAGACCAACATTATCACTGTCATCTGGGAACTTGTTTGAAATGCAGATTCTCCAATTCCACTCCAGACTTATTGAATCAGAAACTTTGGGCCCCAGCAATTTGTGGATTAATAAACCTTCCAGGTGATTCTGATGTTCAGTAAAGTTTGGGAACTATTGATCTCAGATGGTTTGCTTGACTTTTGGATGATGGGCAGGGTCTAAATTCCTTTTAATATGCCTTCTAATGATAAAATCCACGATCATATGAGAATTCCTGCAACTGCCACTTCCAAAATAACCTCATTTATTCTTCCTGTATTTAAGTTTACATTAAGTTTAGGAGGAGAATCACGTAAAAATTGTTTCGTTTTCTTGATTTTGATTAGTTCAGTGATCCAACAAAGTTATTAGGAAGCAGAACATTTATTGGGCATCTTTACTGTAAATACAGATTAGATGTTAAATGAGTATTTCAGAGCTAGAGGCAAGGGTCTCCAGTGCCCCTTCTTATCTATACCCCATGTTCCTCTAGATAGTTGCAACTTTCAGACTATTTGAAATAGAAACAGTACAACTTTAAAGTCAAGAGACTTAGGCTGAGACAGCTACTTTCTAATTCCCCCGTAAAAACTTGACACCGCACCAGATTTCCAATAATTTTCTTTACGCTGATTCCTTGAAAAAGCAACTCTCCTGTGAATGTTAATGTGGTTACTTGTCTGTCTTATGATTGTTTTCCCGTGTATTGAAAAAAATCCAATTTAGTGCCAACCATTAATCATATCTTAGGCTATTTGTACCTGAACATGAAAGGTGTACATCTTAAGAAAATCCTTCATGATTACAGTGAAACACAGACAAAAAGCCATGGTGTTAATATGATCAAGGACTTTTTGACTATAAATTTTGAGATCAAAGTTATTGTATACGACCCTTCAGAAAGCTACATGGTCTCTGAGCACTCTAGCTAATGAACAATTCTACGGTGATATTATGCTGTGTGTGTTTAATAGCATCTAACTTCTTGTTACTTTGGCATATTATTAAAGGTTCCTAGAGACATGCCAACAGTGAAAATGCCACTTTATCATTCTGTATTTTTTCCTCCCTCTACCGTTAAAATAAATTATAAATATACATATAGCTTTTATGGTTATGATACTAACTCATCTTTTAAACAATTCTTCTGTTGTAATTTATAATAGCAAATTGTATGTTTGCAAACTCTGTTGCCTACCTTTGCTGCTAAGAGGAATTCAGATAATAAACTTTATAAATACAGCAGTGTCCTATTATCTTTAGGGGAGATGTTCCAAGACTCCCAGTGGATGTCTGAAATTGAAGATAATACCGAACCCAATTGCCCTCAGTCAGAACAGGATTCTGTTCATGTTTTCCGCTCACAAATTTAATGACTTTTTCATCGTAAATAAGCACTTATGCACTGTGGGCATTTTGCAGTTTGAAGTGCAACAGCAAAACTAGCACAGATTTTATTTTTCCTTTTCACAATTTCATGGATAGAAGGTTTGTTCTTATTGTACATCTTAGCAACCTTGGCATACGATTTTTCTTTTCTTTCCTTATTAAGTTGAGAACTTTCAGTTTTCACTTAAAGGAAACACCTTATGGCTTCTCTTTGGCATAGCCAAAATGCCAGCATCATTATTCTTACACTTTGGGGCCATTTTTGAGTGAAATAAGGGTTACTTGAATGGCAGCTTTGCAACATCGTGTCGATCTGATAACCACAATGGCTACTAAAGGGCAAAGAGCATCTACAGCATGGATCCGCTGGACAAAAGGATGCATGAAGCGGGACAGAGTGAAGTTTTATCATGCTACTCAGAACAGTATGCAATTTAAAACTTATGAATTATTTCTGGAATTTTCTGTTTAATATTTTCATACTGTGGTTGGCGGCAAGACCACTGTATAAGCAATTTTAGTATGTATTATTTCTGTGGTTATATATGAAAATAAAGCATGCTGTCTTTTATATTCAAAGGAGTCGTTTGTTTAGTTTAACTTAACTAAATTTGCAAAACGCTTTCTATATGTAGGTACTATGAGGACACCGGAAATACTAAGACAGTAAAACCTAGTTCTTGTAAATGGCCATTTTTCTCCCTGTGTTTTTCCTTGATCCTTCTCTGTGCATATCTACATCCCAATCTCCTCTTAATAGGAAGACAGTTATATTGGATTGGGGCCCACCCTGATGTCTTTATTTTAAGTTACCTTTTTTAAAGACCATATCTCCAAATACAGTTATATTCTTATGTACTGAGAGTCATAACTTCAACATGTGAACTTTTGAGCGGACATAATTCAGTTATAACATTCATAGTTCTATCACGTCTAAAGTCTTCTATTCTGATACACCAAACACTCACTGCCAACTTCTATCTCTTCAGTTCTATCACGAAACGTCATGAAGCTCTCCAATGTTGAACTGCTTGTTCTCCAGAGCCATCAATTCTTCATGGCTTTATATATTCTGTACCCACCTGACCTCCATAATGACTTTAACCACTAAAATGACAAGAGCTGTAACATTAAGTTCCAAAGTCTTTTCCAACTACCTACCCTGTACATTATTCACTGAGTCACAAATTGGCTTGAAGAAATCACCCAAATATAAAAGTTAGTGCTGCTGTCAATTCACAGCCTTAGTTGTAAATATCCAAATTCATTCTATCTCAGTAGGCAACTTTGCCTTTTTACATTATTTTTCCAAGAGATGGGGTCTTGCACTGTTGCCAAGGGTTGGTCTCAAACTCCTGTGCTCAAGTGATCCTCTCACCTCAGCCTCTTGAATTGCTGGGATTCCAGGCATGTGCCAATGTGCCTGTCTATCTATGCCTCTCTTTAAAATAGAAAATGGGTTGTTGAGTTCCTTAACTTCCTTTCTTTATATGCATATTTCCTTATGTTGCAGAACATTTATTTCTGTAAATAAAATTTATTCATTTATATTTACTCTTATCTCTTACCTCTAAATGCAAAAGAAGACTGTACACTTTACTTTAAAATTTTTTTATTCCCTTCCTATTCTTTCTTTAGCCTTTTCTTTATCAATTAATTACTCATTTAGCTTTTGTTTTCCTACTAATTCTTTTTTTATCAGTATAGAAAGATACCTGACTAGTATAGTCATGTATTGCTTAATGAAAGAGATCTGTTCTGGGAAAGGTATTGTTAGGTAATTTTGTCATTGTGTGAACATCATAGAATATACTTTCAAAAATCTAGATACTATAGCCTACTATACACCCAGGCTATATGGTATAACCTCTTGCTTCTAGGCTACAAACCTGTATAGCATGTTACTATATTGAATACTATAGGCAACTGTAACACAATGGTAAGTATTTGTGTATCTCAACATATCTAAACATAGAAAAGGTACAGTGGGAATATGAAATAAAAGATAAAAAATGGTACACCTACATAGAGCACTTACCATTACAGGTAGTTGGAAAGGCAATGAGCAGGTCAGGGGAGGGCTTTCCCCACACCCACTAGAAATGTCAGGTGCTGGTTTGGCAATTATCACATTGCCTCTCTAACAAGAGTAATTCGGCAGCCAAGGAAAGATAATCTCCTGATGGTCTACACTTGTTAACATTAAAAATGCTAATTGAAAGCAGACCTTAGGGAGAAGCAACTTCCTGGGCATGCCTGTTAAGAGACAAAAATGGTGAAGTATGATCTTCCCGGTCACACTCCACCGGAAAAGTGAAGAAAGCCTCAGAGAGGCATGCATATAAAACTCCCTGAACACACTGTGCTGTGCGTGCTCAATTTCCAAAGGTAAGGAGGGCACTGCGCTATGCAGAAAGCCCATCCTCAGGGAAGAATCATGGGAAAGAAGGGAGATACAAAGTGCTAGGATCAAGGTTAAAGGTGCTTTTTCTCTGCCCATTTTTTCTCTTGGACCTTCAGACGCCCACTTGGATCTCCTCGCAGGGTGCTTTCCTTTCTCTCCTGTTTAAAGACTTTTAAATAAACTTCCACTTCTTCTCTGAAACTTGCCTCAGACTCTTTTTCTTCTCTATGCCCCTCAGTCGAATTCTTTCTTTCTTTTTTTTTTTTTTTGAGATGGAGGCTTGCTCTGTTGCCCAGGCTAGAGTGCAGTGGTGTGATCTTGGCTCACTGCAACCTCCACCTCCCGGGTTCAAGTGATTCTCCTGCCTCAGCCTCCCAAGTAGCTGGGATTACAGGTGCCCGCCACTGGGCCTGGCTAATTTTTGTATTGTTAGTAGAGACGGGAGTTCACCATGATGTCCAGGCTGGTCTCGAACTCCTGACCTCGTGATCCACCCACCTCGGCCTCCCAAAGTGCTGGGATTACAGGCGTGAGCCACCGTGCTGGCCGAATTTGTTCTTTTGAGGAGGCAAGGATGGAAGTTGCTGTGGACCCGGAAGAATATACCGCTGGTAACTTGGGGTAACTCCTAACTCTGCCACCACTAACATTTCTCTACCACGATGATGCTTCTGCTCATTATTCTCATCAAATGGGAATTTTGTAAGAGTTTCGGTGAGAAATTAGGCAGCCTTTACAGTCCTGATTTGGCTCCTTCTGACTTCTCTTTGTTTCCTAATTTTATATAGTTTTTAAAAGATGCTAATTTTTCTTCAGTTAATAATGTAAAAAATACTACATTGACTTGGTTAAAATTTTGAGACCCTCAGTTCTTTATGGATGGACCAAATGTCTGGTATCATTACTGAGCAAAATGTTTTGAACTTGATAGAGCTTATGCTGAGAAATAAAATTTGTATTTTTAAATTTTATCTTTTGATATTTTTCCACAACCTTTTTGAAGGGCCTTTGTATAATCTTATGTAATGTATATATGTGTTATACATGTGTATAATGTTTTTTGCCATTTCTGCTGTTGAAGAAATGTTTAGGAGGCATTGTATGTCTAAAATGCTCCCCCAGATAGAATCAACTGGTCATTTTATATTTCTCTGTAATTTGTTTATGCTGTAAATAACTGAATCATATTTTAAAAGTTATATCTATCAACCTCATTTTAGCTTCAAGTGAGAATTTGTATGAAAAATAACACAATACAATATCGTATGGGAAACAATAGCAGTAAAATGTGGCAAAGGTAGCAGAAGATTGGCAATTTGGATAAGCAGCAGTTTTTCTATTCTCCAACAAATAACATTATGAAAATAAGCAAGACTAAGGAAACATATGGGAAGGACTGTGAATATTAAGTTATTTATCATAAAAGTCAATTCGTATGATTGCTTTTCTTTAATAAAATGTTCAGTAACATAATAAAATATGCATAAATACAAAATGAATGCTCCATTTCAAAGCACGTCTATAGGACTTATGGGAATAATGTAACAGATAGACATAATTAATGTGATAGCTGCTGAATAACTTAAACTCGGATATAGCAGATAATGGTAGGGAAAAGGCTTTAGCCCAGTCATGGTTTATGTTTCAAATGGTGTTTGGAGAAATGAATATTTCACAGTGGAGAGTGAAAAACAGACTCTGACCATGATTAAATAGGTAGAAATGTGAATAAATCCAACCAGCTATCTTCTTCATAAAAATATTTCCTTTAATACTATAAAGAAAGAATGAAACATTTTAAGTTTAGTTATTCTTTATTAACTACATTGTTAAGTATGGCATATTTTTTCTGCTTCTTAGAAGTATTCTCTTTAATGTGCTATGACATCTGTAATTTTTCATTTCATTAAAATTCATTTGTCTTACCGCATATAATTAGAAAATACAAACATATTTTATATTTAAAATGTAATTTGTGGTTTTTAAGGAGAAATCCAAGATATAAACTGGACAATTTCATTATTGCCCATAAGATCAATAAGATCCTAGTAAAATGGAAGATCATAGATAAAGCAGGGAGCAGAACAGTTAAAGGATTTTCTTGAAGTCAAATAGGATCAGAGTCACAAGCTGATGGAAAGGCATCATTCAGGAGTTTCAATAACAACTAAGCCTCACAAGCTGAACAGTTTTGCATTGGTGGCATGAGCACATTTTAATCATTTGGATTAAACTTGGTAGCTTCTTTAGTGGTAGATTAATCTTGTGGCATGGTGACAACCTCTGATGTCTCCTCTTATTTACTATCCTAGGAGTTGGAGAATTTTGTGAGGAAATTGTGTTTGGAGCTTGGCTACTCTTTGCTGGGCTACTTTCTGTTTAAACTTGCCTATGGTAAATGTGGTTCTAAAAGTCTGAACTTCTGGATTACTGAGGAATCCTCCTTATTATGAGCAAAGAACTAAACTCTATAAGGAGTGAAAGCTTAACAAAAATCATAAAACCAGTTCGAATAAATTCAGCCCCTGCTCTATCTCTTAGAGATGCATGTGTCTTATTTTTCATTCTGCTTTCCCCAGTCTTTATTTTAACCCTAAAAGAAGTTTTTACTTTGGTTTAAGAAGTCAGAAGGAGGTTATAGGGCAGGAACTGGTAAGAAAGATGGCCTGTGTTCTATAACTTTATAGATCCCAGTCCTTTAAAATCCTCATACTTAACATAAACAATGAATCATTCTTTAGGACAGCAACTTCTCTTGTAAAGTTTTATAAGAAGGAAACTTGGCATAATTTTAAGTAGATGGGCTGGACATTATATTATGTGTATTGTGCTAATGGTTTCCAGTATTTAATACCCTCCATAAAACCCCTGAGAGGTTGGTAATGATAATGACCTTATAGCACAGTTGGAGCAGCTGAATCTAAATGGGATATATAAACTTGCCTAAGATTTCTTAGCTCTGAAGTGGCAGAATTGGGATCAAACCTAAGTTTGTTTGCTTTCAAAAATCACACCTACTTTTAGACTTCCTGAATCTTGATATCTGTGTTCTTTCTCAGATTCTGGAGATTTTTACTCATTGTTATTATTTTTAAATAAGCTGTCTTGTCCTTTTTCTTTCCTTCTCCTTCTGAAATTCCCATAATGTGTACATTGGTCCACATGATAGTGTCCCACATGTCCCTTTAGCTATCATCTTTACCCCCCTTTTTTTCTGTTTTTGAAAATCTGACTGATTAATTTTCAATAGCTTATCTTTGAGGTCATTGATTATTTCTTCTCCTTGATTTAGACTGCTTTTGAACCCCCTCTTTTGGATCTAATTCTTCTATTTGGAACATATTTTCCTGTTTCTTCATTTTTCTTGACTTTCTGTGTTGGTGTCTATGAATTAGACAAGATATCTGCTGTTCCCAGTCTTCACAAACTGGACTTGTACAGTGGAAGACCCTGATCAATCAACCTGGCCAGAGATCCTGGGCCTCTCAAAACTTTATGCTAGTCCAAACCACCATCTTTGTTATTTGCAGCCCCCATGCGTTCGGTATCCCAAGCCCCATTAGTTCTCAAATACAGGCAAGTTAGAAGCCATATCCTTGGGTATCAGCCAGAAAAGTTGGGGCAGTGAATACGTGGTCAAAACCCTTCACTCCTCAGAAAAAAAACTAAGAAATTCCCTCCTGACTGTATGGCCCTGTACCAGGAGTGGGGATTTTGGTGAGAGTATGTCCAAGTTTTTCCTAATGTGGGCAGTTTTGCACTCACTCAAGGTACAGGAGACTCTCAGACAGTTGCTACGTTTCTCATAATGAGAATTAATCTCTGTCGCCATTGAGTCAGTGTGTCCATGGAGGGAAGGAGAGTCCAGAGCCTTCTGTTCTACCATCTTGCTAATATTATTCTCCGACCTGTTTTTATTTGTTATTTTATTTTATTTTACTTCTGAGACAGGGTCTTACTCTGTCAGCCAAACTGTAGTGCAGTGCAGTGATGTGATCATGTAGTCTCAATCTCCTGGGCTCAAGTGATTCTCCCACCTCAGCCTCCTGAGTAGCTGGGACTACAGTCGTGCACCACCTCATCCAGTTAATTTAAAAAACTTTTTTGTAGAGACAGGGTCTCACTATGTTGCCAGGCTGGTCTTGAACTCCTGGCCTCAAGTGATTCTTCTGCCTTAGCCTTCCAAAGTGCTGGGATTATAGTCATGAGCCACTGCACCTGGCTTACTCCTGTTTTTAATTGCTATGCTGTACTGCATATTAACCTTCACTAAGGTGATTTACACTTTAAATCATTTGAACAGCAGCTCAGATTTACCACTGGATTAAGCAAAGCAAGTGACTCCTTGATTTTCAATGTTCTAGTCTGGAAAATGTGCATAATGGAATCTAACACATAGGGTTATTTTTAGGGTTAAAATTGTTAATATATATGAAAAGCTATTAATAGTTAAGTCATATCCTAGCTATTAATAGATATACTATTAACAAAGTTCATGCTTAAGAAATGTTAGTTCTCATCTTTCTTTGTCACTTACCTGTCCAATCTATAATGCATATGGGCTGAAATGTTGTGCAATTCAAAGGAGATAAACCAGTAACTGTCATGACTAGTCTTACCCACCCCATTTAAAAAGATAAAACATATTTTACTGAGGATTTTTTATAAAGAAATTCTCAGCATGTCTGAAGACAATCATGAGCAAAGTGTTGTGGATTCATGGAGAAAAAAATGAGCTTTTATCCTTAGAACCAGGAGGCAGAGAAAGAAATTTGGGAAAGTCTCATGGAGGGGATGGCACTTTCATTTAAGCTTTACAGAAAAAATTCAGGAAAAAAAAAGTGGAGAAGGAAGTAACTGCATTTTTTTTTTGACACAGAAACTACATTAGCAAAGGCAAACAATACACTGCAGGATTGGTGGATCAGAGGGAGGAACAGCTATGCCTGGGAGTGGTTTCAACATAAGAGGCAGGGAGGAATGTAACAGGAGATGGTAATCTCATGGTGGGAGAGAACCTGATCTCCGAGCATCTTGAGTGCTTTGAAAATTAGTGTTCCTTGTTTTATTTAAATAATACTGCATAACCACTACAGGTTTTTTCATCTTTATTGCTTTTGAGTAGCGAAACAACTGTTGTGAATTATTTTGGCATTGATCTCACCAATTATAAAGAAATCATTGTTTCATTAAATGTAGCAATGCCTAAATTTATGATCTAATACCAATGGTCTAAAAGACAATGCATGTTGAATGATAATCAATTGGATTAAAAAAAACCCTGGCTGCATAAGGCCTTGTTGGGGTCACTTGCTTTTTCGTGAAACCAAGAGATTTAATACTGTTATTTGTGTTGATTCCACTGTCTTTTAAAGTTTGGGCATATCAACTTTTTAAGAATAGCATCAAGGAGAACTCTTAGAAGATATTTGGTAAAGTTCCCTATTTCATAACACTTGAAAACTGTTTTGTTAGAGCAATTTATCAAAAACCCCTAAAAATACTTGCTGACATTGAGAAATCATTTGCTTCAAGTGTCGCAATTCATAAAACTATACGTGAATCCACTGCTTTAAAATATTTATTAACTCTATGAAATGCTGGTATACCTTCTAAAGCTTTCTCTTCCTGAGTTAAATGAGAACCATGGGATTCTGTGGTTTATAAGGTCACATATTTGAATTGAAATCTTAGAGGGAGAAAATAAAACATAGATGTTCAGAAAGGATACTTTTGTTTGTCTTTGGCAAATACTGCATTATGTAACTAATTAAAATAGTTCATAGATGTTGCATTTCAATAAAAGCAAATGTACACAGTTTATGTATGTTTATGTGTATGCCTTTAAAATGAGAATTACCTTGACTTTCAGGTGTAACTTTTTTCTTTCATTGCTAAAATAAAGGCAAACTGAAGTCTGTTCTCTGTTCTGCAAGCATTCGTAGCTTGGGATATTTAAAGGGTGTTCTTGGGATCCAGCTTCTTTTGCTGAAGAAATTTGAAATCAGGCAAGAGTGTCAATTCAAGTGCCCAGTTTCCAGCTGGCTTCCTTTTAGCCAGTGAATTTTCTAGGCCATACAATAATCCATTTTATACAGCTTTGCATTTATGCAGAATTTTTTCTTTTAATCAAGTTGATGTTGGTAAATTCATTTTGTGGGAGTGGGTACTCCTTTATGCTTTATTTTCTTCCTGTTTATTGTCCTGGTACTAACAGAACAGTTGAGTGTTTATTAAATGTCTGATGAAGTGCATTGGAGTGATTATAAACTTATGTTCCTTTCATAAGCACATAATTTATTTTTACAAGTTATGGTCTTTATAGTTTGGCTCTCACTTTATAATATGCACCCATTTTTAGTATATATATGTGTGTGTATGTACATATATATATGTATATATGTGTGTGTGTGTATATATATATATATATATATATATAACACTTTTACCCAGCCCTTCTCCATACCTAGTCAAACTCTTCCCATTATAAATTAAACTATTTTATCTTTATTACATTGAAAAGATGAAAAAATGATTAAAGAAGAAAGATGGTCAAGCCATGAACATATAATATTAACACATATTATCTGACATTCCCTTAGTTGGCCCTTCTTTGTAAAACAAATCCTGGCCTAGAAAAGGTACTTAAAATTTATTTAAATAAAGAGTGCAGAAAAATATTTGGAAATATGCACACCAAATTCTTATTATAGTGATTATGTCTGAGGAGTGGAAGTGGAGGCAGACAATGGGAAAATTCTTTCTCTTTTTCCAATATTCATAACCTACTTTTGGAATGAAAAAAGGCATTAAAATGTGTTATGAGCCAATATTTTCATAAATATAAATTCATAAGTATAAAAAAAGAATTATGTATACTGAAAACTTTAAAACATTAATGAAAGAAACTGGAGCAGACACAAATAAATGTAAAGATATCATGTGTTCATGTATTAGAATAATTAATATTATTAAAATGTCCATGCCATCCAAAGTGACCTATAGGTTCAATGCAATCTTTATCAAAATTTCAATGTCTTTTTTTTTATAGAAATAGAAAAAAATACTAAAATTTACATGGAACCATGAAAGAGCTCAAATAGTCAAGGCAATCGTGCAAAAAGAACAAAGCTGGTGGCATCACACTACCCAATTTCAAGCTACAAAGTGATGGTAATTAAAATAGCAGGATACTGGTGTATAAATCAACTCATCAACAAATGGAACAGAATAGAGAGCCTAGGAATGAACCCAGAGAGGTATGATCAGCTGATTTTCAACAAAGGTGTGAAGAATACACAATAGGAAAGGATAGTCTATTCAACAAGTGGTGTTGGGAAAACTGGATGTTCACATGCAGAAGAATGAAATTAAATGTTTATCTCATACCATACACAAAAATCAGGTCAAATATGGATTAAAGATCTAAACATAAGACTTAAAACTGTAAAACTCCTATAAGAAAACATCGGAGAAAAAACTACAAGACATTGGTCTGGGTAATGATTTTTTAGATTTGACTCCAAGAGCTCAGGCAACAAAACTATAAATAGACAAATGGAATTACATCCAACGAAAAAGCTTCTGCAAAACAAAGGAAAGAACAGAGTGAAGAGACAACCTATAGATTGGGAAAAAATACTTGCAAGCAATACATCTGATAAGGGGTTGATATCCAAAATATATAAGTAATTCAACTCTACAGAAAGAAAATAAATAATCTGATTAAAAGTTAAGTTAGGGATCCAAACAATCATTTCTCAAAAGAAGACATACAAATGGCCAATAGGTATATTAAAAAAATGCTCAACATCACTAATCAACAGGGAAATTCATATCAAAGCCATAATGAAATACTACTTTCCATTTATCCAAATGGCTATTTTCAAAAAGATGAAAGATAAGAAGTGCTGGCAAGGGTGTGGAGAAAAGAGAATGCTTGTATACTCTTAGTGGGAATATAAATTAGTACAGCCATTATGGAAAGCTCTATGGAGGTTCCTCAAAAAACTGAAAATAGGATTACCATATTATTCACAATTGTACTTCTAAGTTAAAGATTTGAAGTCAGTATGTGGAGGAGATATCTGAGCTCCCATGTTCATTGCAGCACTATTCACAACAGCTAAGTTCTGGAATCAACCTAGGCAGCCATCACAGATGAATGGATGAAGAAAATGTGGTATATATACACAATAGGATACTATCCAGACTTAATGAAAGAAAGGAGTTTTGTTAGTTGCAACGACATGGATAAACCTGGAGAATATCATGCTAAATGAAATAAGCCAGACACAAAAAGATAAATATTGCATGATCTCACTTATACCTGAAATCTAAATAAATCAATTTTAAAGAAGCAGAGAGTACAACAGTGGTAACTAGAGGCTGGAGAGGAGGGTAACAGGGGAGATGATGGTACAGGGATACAAAGACTCAAATAGGAGAAATAAATTTGATTATTTTAAGATACATTGCACAGTGTGGTAAATACAGTAGATTATAATGTACATTATGAAATTTGTAAGAGAGTGAATTTTGAATGTTCTCACCACAAAAAAGAATAAGTTAATTAACTGGATTAAATCTTTCTAATTATATGCATAAATTGTAACATCACATTATACCCCATAGAGATATAAAACTATAATTTGTCCATTTATAATTTAAAAAATAAAAATTTGAATAAAAGAACTAATGGCTAAATAGAAAATACAGTCTACAGAAATTTTCTTTAAGGCCAGATTTGTTGATCTAATTTTTTGCAATAAGAGAATCTTAACAAAGAAAACATTTAGGAAGCTCCCAATAATCTGTATTCCAGATGCATTAATATTCTATGCATCTCTATAATGTTTTAAGTTTGCTGTTTGACTTTGAGCATGTAACAAACTCTCTGAGCCTTGAAAATGACAAAATTTGAGTGAGATTATTTCTAAGATCTCTTCGAATAATATTATTTCTACATCTTTTTCTAAGATTTCTAAGCTGATTATTTCTTCAGCTCTAATATTTTATGACCACAAAATTAGTGCACTAGAAACTGATTAAAAATTTAAAAGCAATTAAAAGCATGAATTGTGGATAGGCCAGCAAGTACAACCACACTGGGTTGAGGTAGTCAGAATTCACACAGAATGAGCTGTTTGAATAAAAAAATTATAACATTAATTATTAAAATATATTAAAGTATTGCAACTGTGTTGAATATTTACTATATGCCAGGAAATATTATACATTTATTATCCCATTTAATCCTCATATCTATTGTATAAAGTAGGGATAATTATTATCCTCTTTAACAGATGAGAAAATTGTTATAGAGAGAAATTTATCTTCTCAGTAAGTGTACACAGCTAGTAAGTGGTGGGTCAGACTTTGAACTCAGGTGATCAGATTCCAGAACACATACTCTTAATTACTACTTTATTCCCTCATAGTGATTAGTTGGCCAGAAATACCCTTTTTGTCTTCAGTACTGGTGGTTGATAATCTCCCTAAGATGATTTCACTTTTGTGCCTCAATTTTTTGAGTATAACTCAATTTTGCCTCTACTGAATAATTTTTCATGTGTAAAGTTCATGTCTAGACATCTTTTCTTTTCTAGAAGACACATACGTAGAAGATTAAGTTGACTTTTTACTTCCATCAGCAGCTATCTTGGCAATTGGATTTTAAAATAAATTTCCTAATACTTTTCCCCTAAAAGTAGAGTTCTTAGGAAAAAAAAAATTGAGGATGGTCCTATTTAGATAGGTTCTTGCAAATGTGTTTTGAATTCAATATTATGTGCCCTTCCTAAAAAGGAACTCAAATCACCATCAACAATATATATTTCGTAATCTGCTATGGTATGAACATATTGAAATATATATTTGCTTTGGAAGTAGTGGGAAAAATTGGTCAACTGAATGCAACCCAATAATCATTAATTTTTAATTAAATTTCAGAGACTTGTAATCTGGAAATCTCTATAAAAAGAACTGGAGGAATGATATGGAATTTGCAAAATTAGGATAATTACAATTTTGAGGCTACATTAATCTCCCATTGAAATTACTTTTTGGCATATTTCTGAGCTAGATTGCAATGATTTCTTTATTGATTTTAAGTTTACAGTGTAAGACATAAAAATTATGATTGGAAGTTAAGATATAAATTGGAAAATTTTACTTTTAAAAATGGTGAAATATAAAGTTAAGGTTTTTTTCTTTTAAGAAAATAAATAGAAACAGGGGTCTTGCTATGTTGCCCAAGCTGGTCTCAAACTCCTGGCCTCCAATTATCATCCAGCCTTGGCCTACCAAAGTGTTGGAATTAAAGGTGTGAGCCACCATTCCCGGCCACATTTAAGTATTTGTAAATTAAATTTAAATTAAGTCTGAAAAACGGTAGGTAAAATTGGAATCCCCAAATTAGAAAAGTGCATGGATTTCAGTGTAGATTAAAATCTTACTCAGATTTTTTTTTAAATACACTTTAAGTTTTAGGGTACATGTGCACAACGTGCAGGTTAGTTACATATGTATACATGTGCCATGTTGGTGTGCTGCACCCATTAACTCGTCATCCAACATTAGGTATACCTCCCAAATCTTACACATTCTATGTAGTCACATGCAATAAAAATTGAAAAAGAATCTACCGTATAAATGAGTCTACGGAACATTGAAAAACAAAAGAAAAAAAAAGTAATTGCTGTGTTTGTACTTAAAATGGTTCATGGAAGTCTTAAGATTATCTTTTTTCTTATAGTACTTCTCATTTTTGAAAAGACTGCCAGTTACATTTGTCGCTGGTGCTCATTATTGTAGTATGTTTTTGTGATATGTTTATACAGCTGTATAAAAGCAGTATAGAAAAAAATCAAAGACTCATATTGAAGGGAAACACCTTAAGTATCACATTAACTGCTTAATTGGTTAATAAATGCAACAGATGCAAGTAATGATTAAATGGCATCTGAATCAAGAATGCTATTGTTAATAATTTAATTAGCCACATTTGTCATCCTGACCACTAATGATTTAAAAGTGAGTTTATGGTTCTCCAGAGCAGTTGCTGAGACAATGAATCCAGACTGGGTCTTTTTGTTTTTACTAGGCATTTGCTTTTTAAATATCATAGTATTTACAGCAGGGAGTGCTTCCTGGTGTAGTATATGGAGAATATAATAGATGATTGCAGGATTAACGGCTAGAAATAATTAAAATGACACTACTAAGCTCTGCCTTTTCAGGGAGAGAACTCCAATTAAGCCACATTTCCTTTCCATTATCACTCTATTGCCAATTAAAGTCTGATGTATTTTGTCAGTTTTATAAAGATGAAGCTTTTAGTCTTTAATATACTCAAGAATTTATATTTTGGCAGGATTATAGAGGGCTCTGTCATTTAACTTTTATATCCCTATAAAAGACTCCACTCAGACCTTCCTTTTCCAACTTTGCAACTTCTCTCATTGTCACCAAAGATATCAAAAAATGCCTTTTGTTGTCACAGCAATATGATGCTTGTTAACATTTAGCATTTACATTTTCTCAGAATGCAATTATGTAACCAAGGAAAATTCAGAATCATTAAAGAGACAGTACATAGCATACCCATAAGATTCTAATTTATATAACCTTTTAGGCATCATGGTTTTGTATAGGAGAAGAATAAGGCAGAGTTGCCTTTAGGCTACAGTCTTTGAGGCAATGGAAACATAGAAGGATAGCTATATTGTTCGGGGTTGAGATAATTGTTTAATGGTCATCTGCAATAATGGTAGAACAGCTTTTGGGGGAATATAGACAGTAGGAAAAATATGAAGAGTGATCTCTTTTAGAATTATATGTAGATTTAACCTACTTAATTGTAGAAAATTGATAGTAGAGAGGTAGCATGATGTGTTGGAAAGAGGTGAGTTCTGGTACAAAGCAGTCCTGAGTTTGAATCTCAGTTCTATATCTCAGTCAATTGGAGTATTAGTCAATTGTTTATTCTCTGCAAGTATCAGCTTCTTCATCTTTTATATGAAGATGATAATACGTAGTTAGGATTTCTTTTCAAGAGTTAGAGACAATGCTTGGAAAGCACCAATCATTGTGTGGAATAAATATTCAGATATTTGGTCAGTGCAAATTGTTATTGTTGGGGTTATGGTTGTCATTCTGTGGTTTTATTACCTGAGTTATTCCCAGTCTCACATGCCCCTATTGTTCCCACCCTTGTTCCTAGAGAAGCAAGCCATATGGGTTCTCAGAAAGACATTTGTATTGGCTTTCATATAAAATGATAAGCTACTCATTAAGAAGGCTCTTGAAAAAAGATAAGCATTATAAAACCAGATAAATGGTTATTTACATCACGGTTTTCCTTTTTCTTTGATTTCTTCCTCTCCCTTAGTCATTGATGTAGATAATAAAAAACTGTGAAAGACAAAATAGAGCACATCAGTTCCATTATTCATTCAGCTTTAAAGAGATTGATAGTGGAGGTGAAATCTATATGTTGCCTTAATGTTGGAAAATGAATGATTTTATCCTTGTGTTAATAAAATGGATACAAATCTTTGAAACTATATATGTCTGGTCTTTTTTGTTGTTGTTATTTTTGTTTTTCTTATTATTGTTCTGCAACTAAAACCTTAGTACCTAAAAGTCAGTGGCAGAATATTGTATTTAAGCACACCACACATATTGGATATTAGGTCACTGGTAAATCTTGAAAATGGTCCTGTTGCTACAGAATATTCATTCATTTATTCCCATTAGCACATAAACATTTTCATTAACTCCCTTATTTAAAGAGAAACTTTTTCTTGAACCCACAGTTTCCTCCAGCCACTTCTATCTGTATGTCTCTTTAGAACAAGGTTCATCAGAAAAGGTGGTCAATAAATTAACTTCACCTTTCCCTCTTATTGTTCTTTCCTATCTAATTATCTTTTGGCTGTACATCTCCACCAAAATGGCTCTTATAAACATCACCAATGACCTCCATGTTGCCAAATTAAATGTTGTTTCGTAGTTTTCACCTTACTTGACTTATTAAGTTCATTTGACATAGTGATCACTCTCTCCGACTTAAAAATTCTTTCTTCACATAGCCTTCAGGATATCAGTCTCCCTATATTCATTTTACCAGCCATGTCTTTTATGTCCCCTTTATGGGTTTCTCTGCATCTTCCTAAATAAGGGCTCAGTCCCGGGGCTTCATCTCTTTTCTGTTTCTACTCCTTTCCTGGGTAATCTCTTCTAGGATTGCTGCTGACTCTCCAACGAACATCCATCCTGGAAATCTCTTTGTTTACACAACTGCTTAATTGATGTCACTTGAATACTATTAGATATTCAATTCTACATTCTATGCTTCTCCCATGCTTTCTCCTTCTTTTGCAGTGTTCACCCTTTTAGAAATGGGAATTCCATCCTTCTAGTTACTCAGATCAGAAAACTTAGAGACAACCTTGATTTTTGTCTCTCACACCTCACACCCTATCTATCAGTAAATTCTGTTCATCCTACCTTCAAAATATATGCAGAATCTGACCTCTTCTTGCTATTTGGAGTCAGGTGTAAACCACCATCATCTCTTGCCCTGTGTATTGCAGTAAGCTAACTGGTCTCTCTGCTTCCACAGCTGCTGCTATGCTCTACTTTTAAACACAAGTCAGGTTAGGTGCTTTCCTCATACACTCCTTCTTCTGCCCTCATGGAGTGGAGTATCTAAAGGCCTTACAGTGCTTCCAGGACCCCAGATGATCTGCAGCTCCCACTCGCCCCCCATCTCTCTGACCTAATTTCCTCTCCCTTGCTTACTCTGCTCCAGCCTCACTAGCTTCCTTGTTATCCTTCAAATAAGCCAAGCAGCCAAGCACTTCACCACCTGAAGGCCATACCAATATGCTCTTCCCATTGCCTGTAACTTCCTTTCCTCAAAACTCATTTTGCTCACTGCTTCATTCTTTCATGTCTCTATTCAAATGTCGTCTTCTCTTTGAGGCTCTCCCTGACACCCTATAAGATAACATCACACCCCAACTTAACACATTCTATTCCTCTTGTTCTGATTTCTTTCTTGTCCAAGAAACTTATTCCCATTTTATATATATTAATTATTTATTCTTTAGTTTTCTGCCCACTCCATTAATAAGTTCTTGGCGAGCTTAGGCTTTATCTGCATGAACATATCCTGGTGCCTAGAACAGAGTCTGGTAAGTAATAAGCCTTCAAATGTTTCTTGCATGAATAAATGATTAAATAAAGCGTAGATTGCTGTAATCACTTAAAGACAGGACATAATCCAAATTTAGGGGATCTGGAAAGATTTTTTTTTAAGTGACTTCTAAGCTGAGACCTGAAATATGAGTAGGTGTTAACCAGCTGAGAAGAAGGAAAAAAGTGCTTCAGGTGGAGGAAAATGACTATGTTAGAAAGAATGGCATGTTTGAAAAGTTAAAGTAGTTGATTGCAACCGGTGTGTAATTTATATTTGGGACAGGGTGTATGGGTGGGAAGTGGCAATGGATATGACATAAGTACAGCATGACTTGCCAAAAAGGCTTTATATACCATGCTAATAACTTTGGAATTTTATCTGAGGAAAATAGCTGCCCCTCAAGGGTTTCAAAGAGAGAAGTGACATACATTTTAGAAAGATCACACCAGCTGCCACACATAAAATTGATATGAGAGAGGGAAGCGAAGGAGGGACGACTAGTTAAGGAGACAATTATAGAAATCTAGGTGACTGCCTAAACTGGGAAGTAGCTGTGGAGTTGGAGAGTAGTGGGTGAAGTCCGAAATATTTGGGAACTGGTAACTGGTTGGATGGGGGATAAAGAAAATGGAGGGATCCAGAATGTTTTATAATAACTAAATGGCATATTTATATTTAAGCAGATAAAATTGTGGAATTCCCAACGTATCTTTGCATGTCTGAATTTCCTGAGATAAATGTAAAATATGTTCTTGCATTAGTCTTGGCATATTTTCCTAATAGAAATTTATAAAATTATGAAGGACTATTTCATTATAAAGCATTGATGAATTATGATTTATTTAGAATAAAACCCACCAAAATTTACTAAGCCCTTGATTTGTGCTAAGTGTGGTGTTATTAAACTACAAAGATCATAAAACCTTATGTTTTTTCTTATTTTTTTGTTTTTAAGGTATAATTGACAAAAATTATATATACTTACTGTGTAGAATGTGATATTTTGATATATGTATACATTATTAAATGATTAACTCAAGCTAATTAACATATCATCACCTCACATATTTATCTTTTTTTGTGGTAAGAACATTTAAGATCTAATCTCTTAGCAATTCTCAAGCATGCAATATGGTATTATTAACTACAGTTACCATGCTATACAATAGCTCTTAAGAATTTATTCATTCTAACTGAAACGAAGTCGTTGTTAAATTTAAATTACATCTCTTTATTCCCCTACCCTCATCCCCCTCAGCCCTTGGCAATTATAGTTCTACTCTCTGCTTCTATGAGTGGACTTTTTAAGACTGCTCACATAAGTGAGATCCCATGACATTTATCTTTATGTGCTTGGCTTATTTCACTTAGCAAAATGTCCTCCAGGTTGATCCATGTCACAAACGACAGGATGTTCTTCTTTTTTATGAGATGGAGTCTCGTTCTGTAGCCCAGGCTGGAGTACAGTGGCGCGATCTCGGCTCACTGCAACCTCCGCCTCCCGGGTTCACGCCATTGTCCTGCCTCAGCCTGCCGAGTAGCTGGGACTACAGACATCCGTCACCACGCCTGGCTAATTTTTTGTATTTTTAGTAGAGACGGGGTTTCACCGTGTTAGCCAGGATGGTCTCGATCTCCTGACCTCGTGATCCACCCGCCTCAGCCTCCCAAAGTGCTGGGATTACAGGCGTGAGCCACCGCACCCGACCGATGTTCTTTTTTAAGACTGAATAGTGTTCTGTTGTGTGCGTAGACATGTGTGTGTATGTATCCACATTTCTTTATCCATTCATCTGTTGAGGAAATCATTAATGAATTTAAATGATAAAATAGTTGTACATTGGATCACTCCTTTCTTAAAGATTTTAGAATTGCAGAATATAACATGGATCTAGTAAGTGCTATCATATTCCTGATTTGGCTAAGAGTGTGTTTCTGGAATTTGAAAAAAACCCCAACAACCCCGGTGTTACTTTAGTAATGGCAGGTGTCATTTATTGAGCTCTATGTGTTAAGCATTGTGCTGAGCACTTCACATGAATATTATTCATTTAATGTTTATTACAATTCCATGAAGGGAAAAAACTATTACTATCCTATTTTTGTGAGTGAAGAAACCGAGGCCCCGAAAGGCTAGGTAACTTGCCTAATGTTACACAATAACCAAATGGTAGATCACAGCCGAATTTTCAGTTTTCTGTTTCTCCAAAGCCTGTGTTCTTACATTGAGTCTATTGCCTTTCTGTCTGTGTGATTTCCAGGCTTTTTCAGAAAACTTGAAAATATGAATTTGCTGACAGCTCTTAAGAAAAGTTTGGAACTTTGCACACATCCATCAGATTTTATAATAAGTGTCCTCTTAATGTTTCTAATTATAACTCATCTCACAATTGTGCTCAATAATATATTTTCATTGAATTTTGTGCCCTTCACAGATTTATGAGTTCATATCAGCTTCCTCAATTGCTGCATAGCTAAGCAATACTAATTTTATTCCTTTAATTTGACAAATGCGTAATGTGGAAATCAGCAATGGTGTGGGGATCCTTAATTTACCATATTCCCTCTGTTCATTCTTTTAAGTCTCCAACTCTTACATTTTCATTGCATTTAATATGCATCATAAAAGTGTCACTTTGGCTAGTTCATTACATATGCTTTTTGATTGCAGTTAGAGCCTTTGGAGCTGCTATTAGGCACAGTGGAAATAATTAAGAGCTTCGGTCCATGCTGATTTTAGAACAAATAACTGCAGTCAGTTAGGTTCTTAAATAACTTAATTACTGTAAATCAGTGTAGTAATATATACTCTATAGCAATGGAGTGAGTGGATAACAACTGTCCACTCAGCACTCCGTGGGAAGGAATAAATTAATGTCTTTTACAGATCAGAGCTGATAAACATAAACTTTTGATGTGTCTAAAATTTTAAAAAGAAATATAGTAGTGTTATTGGAAAACATTAAAGGAAATTGTTAAAATTCATTTTTGATCATTCAAAGTTGCTAGATAATATTGATAATATTGGTGAACTGTAAGCGACAAATAGCTTCTATAATCATAAAAGTACCTTGAGGTTTTTTATATTCATTTATTTAAAGCATTTCTTTTTCAAAAACCAGGCATATAACAAATTTAGACAAAGGAAACTGCAAGCATTTCTACCGAATAAACAAAATTTTAAGAATAGATTGGGAGATACATTTGCATACATATAAATGGTAAATGAACAATAGCCATAAAATACAAACTGTTCCTACAAAATGATAAAAAAGCATTAATGATACCATGGAAAATGGAAAATAAATATAAAAACACAATTCATACAAAAGAAAATTACCAGTAAATTTATACTCAGTCTCACTGTGTTCAGGGAAATGAAAATTAAAGTAACAGTGAGCTCTTGTTTTCATCTCCTTCAGATTGGCAGATAGTAAAATTAGTGATAATTCTTTCTGCTGGTGTAAATGTTAGGGGAAGTGTACACTCACATAATTGTAGAAACATGAATTGTTATAGACTTTAAACAAGCAATTCAGCAGGATCTGTAAAACTTAAATATATACCTAATCTTCAACCCAGTGATACAACCCTTGGGAATCTATCCTAAATAAGTTATCTCTCTACCATTTAAAGATGTGTCTAGTGCTATGTAGCTGGTGATAGCAACTAATTAAAAATGAAATTAATGCCAATTAAGGAGGAGATGACTAAATAAATTGCAGTACCTCAATTACACAGAATGTTAGGCATCCATTAGAAGGAGTGGGTTAGAGTTTTACTTGTAGACTAGGATAAACTTTTACCATGCTTTGTTATGTAGGAAGTGCAAGTTGCGGAAAAGTAAGCAATGTCAAAAAGCCCTTTGATTTTATTAGATATGCTTGTAAAATATGAAAATAAACACATAGAATTATTAGCATTAGTTATCAATATGTGTTGGTCAGGCAAAGAAAAGAAGGGAGAGGCCAAAAATAAGACTATAAGACATAGAAACTTCAAAAATTAAAAAAAGTACATTATATACAATTCAATGTATGAAAATGCAAAAGTATAACCATATGTGTGTAAATGTGTATATACATGTGAAAAGGGGGAGAGTTTTAAAATTATTGTCACTGTTATGGACTGAATTTTATACTCCCAAAATTCATACAATGAAGCCCTAATCCTTGATGTGACTGTGGCTGAAAATAGAATCTTTAAAAAGGTTACTAAGGTGAAATAAGGTCACAGGGTAAGGCCTGAATCCAATATGACTAGTAAGAAGAGAGACACCAGGAATATGTGTGTACAGGGAAAAGACCACGTGATGATACAGAGAGAAGGTGGCCATGCAAGTCAAGGAGAAAGGCCTCAGGAGAAGCCAAACCTCTGGACCCCTTGATCTTAGACTTCCAGCCTCCAGAACTGTGAGAAATAAGTTGATGTTGGTTAAGCCACCTGATTTGCAGTATTTTGTTATGGCAGTCCTAGCAAACTAATATTGTTATCAAAATAATGTGAGTCACCTCAGCATTTCAGGTGACTTGGTACTTTTTTCCTTAGATGTGTGCACGCTATATGATCTCTTTTTCAACAAGAATAAATTATTTACAGTCATCATTTTAAAAATATTTTAAGTGATATAAAAAGAAAATGAATGGAAGGTAATAGGCACTGGAAATGAAAGGTCATGTAAGTTTAGGACCAGGTTCAGCACAACGGAAAACTAAAGTCATGTATCTTATTGTAGCAGAGAGGAGCAGTGACACCCCAAGGAAATATATAAATAGGTGTACAAGAGTGAGATGACAGGACAACTGGTCAGAGAGAAGCAGAGATGAAGACTCAATAACCCTGGAGGAAATAAAATAACTTGTTGACTCCTTGTGGATTGGCAATGCCTTATTGCTATTTTTAGATTTTCATAAGATTTCTCATATATTTCCAAGACATTCCTTTTCTGATCCTTCTGATAACTTGAGTTGACTCTCGATGCCTTGGATTCCAGTGTCTTTTAGAAAAATATTCAAGACTTATCTATGTTCAGTGGCAGAGAAATCTGATTATCATTGCTCAAAAAGTTTGGTAGACTTGAGAACCTGGATTGTAGAGCATCGAAAGTGTTTCCAAACCAAGGCCTCTCAGTTCTCTGAAATCTTCATATTAAAGATCTGTACCTTCACTACCACATGGCCACTGTAGGAATCTATCATTATCACCTTCTATTTGGCCTTGAGCTTGTGGTACAACCAAGGAGGTAGTGACCATCTTAATTGAAAGATAAAGTCAATTTTTATTTTAAAAAAGATTTACTTGAGAAAAGATTTCAGAGCTGATGTTTTCTGTCAAATTTGCAAAATAACTACATTCAGCATATTCAGGGTTTCTTTGATAGACTACAATGAATCAATCAAAGCCTCAGTGGCTTGCTGTCACTGTTATCTAGTTTGTCTCTTAACATCTCTCCTGGTTCCTGCCTCTTTATCACTAATATATCTTTGCAGTCTCTACTAATCTGAAGCAACTTCCTCAAGGTTTTTCCTGCCAAAGACTCTAAATGGCTCATAGTCTTTGGTGTCACATAATGGGTTTGTCATTTTGTGTTTATCTTATCCATTAGTTCTCCCAACAACTGCTGATGAAATTGTGTCACACTTTGCTATTCCCTTCACATGCCATTAACATTTTGCCTCTACGTATTTTCGTGTGTTGTTTAATCCACAGAAGTCTCTTTCCCTCCTATCCTTTATATACATAAATTATTCCCTGCTTTAGGGTCAGCTTTATGTCTTTTTCTCGCCCTGTAGCATTTTCTGATCACTCAACATCATATTTAAGCCACTCTCCCTTTAATGTTCTCAAGTACTCAGTGTTTATTCACACAGTACAGTCAGATATTTGGTTGTGAAAATAATAGAATCCCATTTATAAGACTGTTGGCGGGGTGGGGGAAACACCTTTAAGTCTTGATAAAGGGTCCCCATGCAGACCTATAGTCGCTATTTATTGGTCTCAAAACCACAGCTTTTGACATATTTGAGTAGTCACACAAATAGGCTACCAAAATCCTCCAATTCTGTGCTAGAAAGAAGGGAAATGATGATATTCTGACTGCAAACATCTCTTATATTAGATCCTTAAGATGGCTTTGTTATCATATTTTCTTTTTAACAAGACTGTGCCCTCAGGGACATATCATGATTGCATATTACATTGGAATCCATAAATACTTAAAATGTCCCTTTTTATTTGACCGTCTTAGGGGTAAGAGTGCATGTAGAGTTAATTACCTCCCTTCCCTGAAACCCAGCTCTTAAATATAAAATCTGAAAAACAGGGAGGGATTTCTATCCTAATAAAACTAGATAACTGAATCTTAGAGTTTGTGACAAAATTTTGCCAGATACAGAAACATGCCTCAAATTGAAAAGGAGACTGAAAACTGATTATAAGGCTTCAGTTTTCTAGTACACACATGTTTCTCTGAATATAACTGATAGTGTCCTGAAGGGAGAAGGAAACTGGGAATATGTTAGACAGCTTTGAAGATATATGTGAAAACAAATGAACAAATATAAATGATCCCGTATGTCTGAACTTGCTAACTGCAGGACTTTCCTGTGAGCTATGGGACCACCTACAGATTAGGCAAAGATACATGTAAGTCATATATGACTGTGTATATGAGTCTATGTGCATAGAGCCTATGCAATAACCAAGAGTACACACCTGAAACAGTTATTGACTATTTAGTACAAACCATGTGCACACATGCATAAATATATTTAACAAAACCCCAGAAAACAATTTTGTCTTCTGTGTATGATAGGGGGTGTGTGTGTATGTGTGTGTGTGCACACACACGTGTGTATAGTGTTGTTGAAGTAGGGAGGGAGGAGGCAACTGGGGAGGCAAGAGTTGAGGAATTGCTGACTACCTCTTTAAAAAACATACAATAGAAGTCCATCACTGCTGAGGTGGTCTGGGAATCAGCATTACGAGTATAGATTCTGGTCTCTTTACAAAAAAGTAGTGAACCCATTTCTGAAATATGTTTTATTTGAGAAACAGTGTCTTTTGTGGTTCTGATATAAAGTGTGACTTAAGCTTACAGCTATGATGTTAAATTCCATGGAATTTTTCCACAGGAGCTTCTTGAGGAAAGCATGTCCCTCAAGAATTTTTTTGCTCAAGAGCCCAAAATGGCCCCTAGTTCCCCTTAATGGCAAATGCCCCTCAATAAGCTTATGCGATAGAAGCAGACAGACATGCACTTGTCAAGGCCCACTTTGAGGTACAAAATTTAGGCTGCTTTGAGGAACAGTTACTGAAGCTAATGGACATCTTATGAGTTTGCTCAAGACCACGTAGAAACTTTTTAGACTTAGCAGAACTCTTGCCTTTCTTTCAATTAAAATGAGGTATAGTTCAGCGGTCTTGTTTGAAGATGTTTGTAGGTAATATATATTTACATTATATTTTGCACATATATAGTGTATATATTTTAATATTGAACATATATAACCTGTGCTAGCCGGCTGGGTGTGGTGGCTCAAGCCTGTAATCCCAGCACTTTGGGAGGCCGAGGCAGGCAGATAACGAAGTCGAGATCAAGACCATCCTGGCCAACATGGTGAAACCCCATCTCTACTAAAAATACAAAAATTGGCAGGGCATGGTGGCGTGTGTCTGTAATCCCAGCTACTTGGGAGGCTGAGGCAGGAGAATAGCTCCGCCTCCGGGAGGCGGAGGTTGCAGTGAGCCCAGATCGCGCCACTGCACTCTAGCCGAACAATTTAAATTGCCTTACCATTTCTTCTTTTTGAATTTCCTGCCTCCTTCCCCAGACTTCTTTTGCCTCTTTTAATATAAATCAGTATATAATCAGGCATAAGAACCACTGGCTTAGATATTCTAAGACAGTGATACCTTTCTGTTGGTTAGGTTGAAGAATAACGGAGATTGTTTTGTGCCAATATGGTGCTTACATATATCACCTTTTAACAAGATCCAGAAGAATGTGTGAAGTGAATGTCCAGCTATTCATTTTTAAGATGGGATCTAAAGTCTGTGATTCCAAACTCTCTCATCACACTCACTCAGACTTTCAAAAAAAAAAAAAGCTCCATTTATTTTTCAAACAACATAAAGCTTTCAGCAGTACATGAAATAAAACACAACAGATTTTTACTCAAAGGTTGCAGATGCTGTGTATATTTTTTTAGGTGTTCTTTTTTATTTCAATTTGTAAAAGCTCAACAGTAACTTAAAATCATTTCTTTTGTAAGTATCTTACCATATGGTGATTGGAAGAAGATAAGTTTGTCATAATTTAAATGTATTTATTTATTCATTCAATGATATGTTTTAAGCGCTATGTATCATCCAGGTTTAGGAACAAGTACTAAGGATAGAGTGATAAACACGACAGGCATATAGTTTATTGGTGTATAGAGCTACTGAACAAGAAATTATGAATGCAATGAGAAATGAGTACTATAAACGTCCCATGGAAACATAGAGGAGTGGATTATGACCTGATCTGGATTTCCAGGGAGAGCTCGTTTGAGTAGTAGTTTGATACTTGTATTAGTTTCCTATTGCTGCTGTGACAAATTCCCACAAACTCAGTGTCTTAAAACAAAATAAATCTGTTAATCTTATAGTTCTGGAGGTCAGAGTGTTCAAAATAGGGCTTAGGGGGCTAAAATCAAAGTATCAGCAGAGCTGCATTCATTTCTGAAGGCTCTAGGGAAGAGAATGCATTTTCTTGCCTTTCCTAGTGTCTAGAGAGTTCTTGTGATTCCTTGGCTCCTTTTCCCCTTCTGTCTTCAAAGACAGCAGTGGCTGCTTGAGTCTGTCTCACACTGCATCACTCTGACTCTGTCTCTTCCGCCTTTCTGTTTTACATTTATAGGATCCTGGTGATTACACTGGGCTCGCCTGTATAATCCAGGATAAACTCCTTATCTTAATGTCAGCTGATTAGCAACCTTCATTCCTTTTGCTGTGTAACATAACATATTCACAGCTTCTAGGGATTAGGAAGGACATGGACATCTTTGAGGTGGGGGTACTGTCATTTTTTTTTTTTTTCCCAAATACTTGAAGAATGAATAGGGATTATTTGGACAAAAGAACATGAAGAGGATTTTAGCTTGAGAGAACAATATGCATGAAGGTCCTGAAGTGAGAGGGACCATGCCACACACAATGAGAACCCCTGTGGCAAAGCCTGACAGAATAAGGAGGTACATTTTCAGTGAGTTCTACACACATCTTGCAATATCAGTAATCTCCATTCAGCTCACAGTTTCTTAGCAGGTGCTCTCTGTCATACCTTGCAAAGTCTTTTCCTAAACATGAGAAGCTAACTTTTTTGGTCAGTGATTCAAGGGGAAACCTAAGCAGTTTCCTGGGGTGCTCCTTCTTTGAATTTCTCCTTCCTTTCTGGTGCCCAGCTCTTCAAATTTTAGCTACTTCAGAAGCTATAGGCATGAGGATACTCCGCAAAAGAGGTACATGCCCTAATGTTTGGAACCTGTGAATATATGACGTTACGTGGCAAAAGATAGTCTGCAAATATAATTAAGGTGGCAGAGTTTACATAGGGAGATGATCTTGCATTGTACAGGTGTATCCAATCTAATCATACAAGCCCTTAAAAACATAGCACTTTCTCCACTTAATCAGAAAGATGTAACAGAAGGGGAAATCAGAGAGATTTGAATGTGAGAAGTACTTGACATGCCCTTGCAAGCTTTGAAGATGGAAAGGCAATATGATAAGGAATGCTTGTGGCCTTGAGATGAAAGAAGCTCCTAGCTGACAGCCAGCAAGGAAACAGAGACCTTAGCTCTTTAATCTCAAGGAACTAAATTTTACCAAAAACCTGAATGGGTTTGGAAGTGGATTCTTCCTAGAGCCTACAGAAAGTAACGTTGCCCTGCCAACACTTTGGTTTTGGTCTTATGAGACCGTAAGTGGAGAATTGGCTGATTCATGCAGTACCCAGATTTCTGATTCATGGAAACTGTGATACAATAAATGTGTATTGTTTTAAGCCACTAAACTTGTGTGAATTTGTTACAGCAGCAATAGAAAATTAATACAACACTCATAAATTCCAATATCTTTTCCCAGAAAGATTACTGCTTTGTTTAGGCTCCACTTCTCTGTGCCATGGTTTGAAAAGTGCCCCCAGGAAGAATGCGGCTTTTGCCTCATGTTTTTCTTTTCTCTCAAGGATTATAGCTTCATATTACCATTGCCTAATGTCTGAATATAGATACTTCATATACTTTGTTCAGTTTTGTAGTTGTTTATAGCAGGATGGTAAGTCTAATTTCACTTACTCCATCATGTCTGAAACTATGAATTCAAATAGATTTCTGATTCATGGTATGGTATTTATTTTTGTTTGTTCTTTGTTTTGTTTCTGAGAGCTTGAGAGCTTTTAGAAACATGTCATTTTGTTTTTTTTTGTTTTGTTTTGTTTTACCAGAGGTTTGAAATTTCATGATAACATGAGTTAGTGTGGGTCTTTTCCCATTTGTTGTGCTGTACAAATGCCCATCAACTTAGAAACAAGTTTTTAAATTCTGGGCAATTTATTTAAACTATTTCTTTGACAGTTTCCTTCTCTCTGTACACTCTTCTATTTTTCTTGAATATATGTTGCAGTTGGTCACTATTGTTCAAATCATATAAATCCTTATTGAGTTTTTGTTCTTCTATCAATTAAAAAGAGATAGGTGTTAAAATATTCAACTTTATGGATTTCCCTATTTCTTCCTTTAGTTCTGGAAGATGTTTCTTTGAGTATTTTGAAGCTCACTCATTAAGTTCATATACATATAGAAATGTTACTATTAAGAATTAATATTGCCTATTAAGAAATTTCCCTCTTTATCTCTAGTAATACTCCTCGTCTTGAAGCCTACTTTATCTAGACTCATGTGCTTTAGATGAGTTTATTTACTATTTTTTGTAGTGCAGGCTGGCTGATGATGAATTATCTTAGCCTTAGTTTATTTAAAAATGTCTTTGTTTTGTACTTCTTGAAAGATAGTGTTATGGGCTGACAGTTTTTTTTCTTTTAGCATATTAAAGGTATTATTCCATTGTATTTGGTCCTTCATTATTTTTTGATGAGATGCCAGTCATCATTTATATCATTGAGTCCCTAGTAGTGGGTGTGTGGGTTTTTTTTTCTTGCTGTTTGTTTTTAAGATTTCTCTTCTTTGGTTTTCAGCATTTGACTATGATATCCCTAGGTATGTGTTTCTCTGTACTTGTCTTATTGCTAAGCTTCTTCCATTCATGTGTTTATATTTTCTTCAAATACCTTTTCTGCCTCATTCTCTCTCTCACCTCCTTTCGGCATTTCCGTCATGCACATACTAGACTTTAATATTGTTCCAGAGTTCACTGAAATTCTGTTTATTTCAATACTTTTTGTCTCTTTCCTTCAAATTGGATAACTTCAGTTGCTTGAACTTCAAATTTATTGATGTTTTCTATTGCCCTACATAATCTTGTGTTAAACTTCTTTAGCAAAATTTACATCCTCAATACAGTACTTGTGATTTCTAGAATTTTTATTTTGCTTATTTTCATAATTTCCATTTCTCTGCTGAGATTTCTGATATGTTAATCTTTATTACTATACTTTTCCTGTAAGCCTTTGAACATATAGAATTTTTGATGTTTTGAAATTTTTCCCTGATAATTTCATTATCTGTGTCATCTCATATTCCCTTCTTATTGATTTTTTTCTTAACGATAGATCACACATTGATTTTCTAGGGAAAGTCTCCAGGAAAGTGGAAGTGTTTACCAAGCCCCTCTAAGTTGGGTAACTCCAAACCCTGTCTCCCTTGTGGTGAGTAACATCTGGAACCGACACTGAATTCTTTTAGCTGATGTTTAGTTGATGTTACCCACGCAATCTTCTTTCAATCTTCCATGTGGAGATGTAATCCTGGGAATTAGTCAAGATTTGAATTGAGTTATATGTAGACTTAGTTCTCTGCTGTGCTTACCTCCTTTTGAATGTTCTTCTCATCAATTTTCAGTCTGGGATTCATCTTCTAGCACCTCAAGCTCAATTCTAACTTCTGCATCATGAGCACTGCTGAATGTATTTCAAATTAAAGCCATGTAATCATTCATTTCACTCAGGATGCTTCACTTTCTTCAAAGGTCAAATCCCTCTAGGATCTCTCAGCTTTTGGCTACTCTCTTTTTTATTTTTATTTATTTTTAAAACAAATTTGGGAAAGGGATAGTAGAGTACTAAATGCTGACTTTCACAATAACATTTTTAATTATGATCTAAATGAGTGTCACTAATGTGTTAAAAGTCTTTTGTATTTTAATTCCTACAACATTGTAGTTGCTTATTCTAAAAGTTTATTCATA
Source organism: Homo sapiens (assembly GCF_000001405.40). NCBI lineage: Eukaryota > Metazoa > Chordata > Mammalia > Primates > Hominidae > Homo > Homo sapiens. Next base: position 119,900,565 of record NC_000005.10, read on the forward strand.
CATTCTTTGGGTTTCTCCATAGAAAAATATTATATGTGAATAACTATCATTTATTTCATCCTTTTTTGTTTTTTAAATGTCTTTTAACAATCTTAATGATTTTAAATGTTTGATCTTAATGCATTGCTAAGAACAGTCACATAAAAGTAGTGATAGTGCATAAATATTGTTTTTGATGTTAAAAGAAACAATTTAAATAGTTCAACATTGTGTTGCTGTAGGTTTTTATAGATATTCTTTAAGCAAGCTTTCTTTTTTATCATAATGTTAATTATATTTTGTTATCTATAGAATTAATTACTATTTTTCTACTTTTAATCTTGTAAACTGGCAAATTACATTAATTGCTTGCTTAATGTTAAACCAATTTTGCATTCTTGGGAAAATCCCAATTAGTTCACAATATAGTATCTTTTTCATTCATTGCTAAATTAGGTTTGTTATTATATTTTTAGAATTTTTGCATCAGTGTTCCTGAGTGATTGTTCTTTGTAATTTTCTTTTTATGTTCTCTTTATTAAGCTTTGTTCTCAAGGTTATACTTGCTCCTTACAATGAGCTGGAGACTGCTTGCTTTATTTCTATACATTGTCATAGTGTGTATAAAACTGCCATTATTTGGTTTTGGCTTGCATTCACCAGTAAAATTGTCTGGGAAAAAATTAAACCACTAGTTCATTATTTCTTAATGTTTATAGGATTTTTGTGGCTTCTCTTTATCTTTGACAAACTTGTTATTTCATCTAAATTTTTGTGTTTATGGACATAAAGTAATCATATCCTCTTATCTGCTTAATATCTGCTGCACTGATTTTTATGTATAGTTTTCTTTTTTATTTCTAATACTGTTCGTTTGTGCCTTGTCTTTTTTTACTATGGTAAGTTTAGGCATCAGTTAATTAAATTTATTATACAGCTCAAAAGACTAGTTATACATTTCTTATGTTTATCATTTCATTTCTTTTTGGGGGGAGGTCTATTCTTTGTTGTGTGTTAATCTCTTAACTTAAATGCCTAATGTGTAATTTTGAATGTCTCTTATTTCCTATTACAAGCATTTGAAATATACATTTTTTACAAATATCTGTGATAGCTGTATTCCATGAATTTTTTACGTACTATTTTTATTATAACTCACTTCTAAAATATTTAGAATTTTTAATTATCATTTTTCTGTGATTCGTAAATTTTAAAAAGAGTGTTATCTTTGAAATTTTGATTTTTAAATTGATTTTCTTATGAACAGAAAACAACAACAACAAATTGTCTTTATGATACAAATCTTTCCAATTTCTTGAGACTTGCTTCATGACTCAGTGGTCAGTTTTCATAATACTCTATGCATCCTTGAAAATAATGGGTATTTTCCATTTGTTATATGCCATTACTTCACATTTACATCAAGTTGTTTGTCCTCTAATTACTGATTTTGTATTGTTCTAGATCTATAAAAGTTAAAGAAAAATGTATATGAAAATCTAAGCACATTGGGTGATTTTTCAATTCCTTTTTAAAAAGTATTTCTCAGTTTGATTCATATATTTTGGAGCTAATTTGGATGTATCCAAGTTTAGAAATGGTAAATCTTCCTGACCTATATTTTCTTTACAGATGCTTTTTGACTTAAAGTCTATATATTCTTATATTAATAATGGCATACATGGTTGATTTTGAGTAGCAATTTCCCAATATATATCCTGTATTTTTCTTTATTTTTATATTTAAATAGAAGGCAATCATCAGAATTTTTTTTGGTTGCTATTTTTGCATAGGTATATATTTACTTCAGTCAGGTAAACTTGTCTTTACTTACATTTATTATTATCACTCTTATTTTTTATTTGTTTCTATCATCTTATTTCATACTTTCTATTCATTCTACCTTTACTAAATTTGCTTTTCTATTTTTCTTTTTGTCTTTTGTTTGTATGTGTGTGTTTGTTTTAAACTTTCAAACCTCTGTTCTTATAGAAGCTATATTCTCAATGGGCTTTTTATTTATAGTTAACCTAGACATTTTAATATCCATTCTTTGTGAAATTAAATACTTTAAGCCTAAAGCTGTTGGAACTTTAAACTATTGAGCCTTGAGAAAAATGTGACTATGTGGCCTGAGTCACATAGCATAAGCTCCAGCTTCTGCTTCTACAATTATAGATTAATTCCCTTTCTTATTCTTGTACTGTGGATGATTAGGAAAGACTGAACTGTGCCAGGGGTAAGAGCCCCCTTGAGTCCACTACCCCTCCTTATGGAATGTTAAAGCAATCTTCCTTGGAATGTAACAAACTGTAACTGATCAAATTGCTGTAATGTATGTATTGGCCTTGTGTGGAAAATGCTGCAACCCTGTTAAGTTTCTCTCTCTTTGCTTATATAAGCGAAGCCTTAACTTCCCTCCTTAGGAGCACTGACTACATTCGTTTGGAGTCTATGTTATCCAGGTAGCCATGATCACATTTTGTAATCTAATAAACTCTATAATTAATCATATTTTCTAATTTTCATTATTTAAGGCTGACATTTTATTTGAAAATCAAAAGTCAGTTAACAATTTTACATTCTTCTTGAATAATTTGAAGGTCTTAGAATCTGTTAACAGTCATAACACTTCTCCACTCTTACGTGACATTTATTTCTATCCCATTTGTTTTTAACCCCACATAACAGTATTTACATTCAATGTTTGTTTAAATTAATCTTCATATTTCTCTTATTTCCATTTCAGTATTCCTTCATGCATTTCAGATGACCATTTTGGATTATTTTCCTTCGGCTTGAAAATTTTTGAATTTCTTGGTTCTATTCATGCCAAACTTAAGTTTGTGTGTGTTTAAAAAATTCATATATTTTACCCTAATTCTTGGAAGTTATTTTCTCTGTGAATACAATTCTAGAATGACAGTTATTTTCTTTAAGGACATTGGAGAGACCATTTATTTGTTGTCTGGTTTTTATTCCTGTTATTGAGAAACCAGCTTTCAGTCTTATTTTTATTCCTATGTAGGAAATTTGTCTTTTAAATTTTTCTTTAGTGTTCTTAAATTCTTCTTTGTCTTTGGTGCTGTGTGGGTTTTTTTTTTTTTCTAATATATTATCCAGAGCATGGATTTCTTTTTATTTATTGTGCTCTGGATTAACTAGATTTATTATATCAGCAGGATGATATCTATCAACATATTGGAAAATCTTCAGTAATATTGTCTTGAAAATTGCCCTTTTTTTACTTTGTCTTTTCACCCTTTTTGGAACTCTCATGTGAGAGTTCCTTTCTCATGTCTCTTAAATTCTTTTTTATATTTTGATTTCCTTATCTCTCTGTGCATTACATGCACACATGTAGACATGCAATAGTGATATACATCTAGTATTATATATACCTCTAATATATAATCAATTGTTTAATCAAGTGATGAATTTGTAAAATTTTGATCTTTTTTATTATTATTATACTTTAAGTTTTAGGATACATGTGCACAACGTGCAGGTTTGTTACATATGTATACATGTGCCACGTTGGTGTGCTGCACCCATTAACTCTTCATTTAGCATTAGGTATATCTCCTAATGCTATCCCTGCCCTCTCCCCCAACCCCACAGCAGTCCCTGGTGTGTGATGTTCCCCTTCCTGTGTCCATGTGTTCTCATTGTTCAATTCCCACCTATGAGTAAGAACATGTGGTGTTTGGCTTTTTGTCCTTGTGATAGTTTGTTGAGAATGATGGTTTCCAGCTTCATCTATGTCCTTACGAAGGACATGAACTCATCACTTTTTATGGCTGCATAGTATTCCATGGTGTATATGTGCCACATTGTCTTAATCCAGTCTATCATTGTTGGACATTTGGGTTGGTTCCAAGTCCATGCTATTGTGAATAGTGCCACAAGAAACATACGTGTGCATGTGTCTTTATAGCAGCATGATTTATAATCCTTTGGGTATATACCCAGTAATGGGATGGCTGGGTCAAATGGTATTTCTAGTTCTAGATCCCTGAGGAATTGCCACACCAACTTCCACAATGGTTGAACTAGCTTACAGTCCCACCAACAGTGTAAATGTGTTCCTATTTTTCCACATCCTCTCCAGCACCTGTTGTTTCCTGACTTTTTAATGATTGCCATTCTAATTGGTGTGAGATGGTATCTCACTGTGGTTTTGATTTGCATTTCTCTGATGGCCAGTGATGATGAGCATTTTTTCATGTGTTTTTTGGCTGCATAAATGTCTTCTTTTGAGAAGTGTCTGTTCATATCCTTTGTCCACTTTTTGATGGGATTGTTTGTTTTTTTCTTGTAAATTTGTTTGAGTTCATTGTAGATTCTGGATATTAGCCCTTTGTCAGATGAGTATGTTGCAAAAATTTTCTCCCATTCTGTAGGTTGCCTGTTCACTCTGATGGTGGTTTCTTTTGCTGTGCAGAAGCTCTTTAGTTTAATTAGATCCCATTTGTCAATTTTGTCTTTTGTTGCCATTGCTTTTGGTGTTTTAGACATGAAGCCCTTGCCCACGCCTATGTCCTGAATGGTAATGCCTAGGTTTTCTTCTAGGGTTTTTATGGTTTTAGGTCTAACATGTAAGTCTTTAATCCATCTTGAATTGATTTTTGTATAAGGTGTAAGGAAGGGATCCAGTTTCAGCTTTCTACATATGGCTAGCCAGTTTTCCCAGCACCATTTATTAAATAGGCAATCCTTTCCCCATTGCTTGTTTTTGTCAGGTTTGTCAAAGATCAGATAGTTGTAGATATGCGGAATTATTTCTGAGGGCTCTGTTCTGTTCCATTGATCTATATCTCTGTTTTGGTACCAGTACTATGCTGTTTTGGTTACTGTAGCCTTGTAGTATAGTTTGAAGTCAGGTAGCGTGATTCCTCCAGCTTTGTTCTTTTGGCTTAGGATTGACTTGGCGATGCGGGCTTTTTTTTGGTTCCATATGAACTTTAAAGTAGTTTTTTCCAATTCTGTGAAGAAAGTCATTGGTAGCTTGATGGGGATGGCATTGAATCTATAAATTACCTTGGGCAGTATGGCCATTTTCATGATATTGATTCTTCCTACCCATGAGCATGGAATGTTCTTCCACTTGTTTGTATCCTCTTTTATTTCTTTGAGCAGTGGTTTGTAGTTCTCCTTGAAGAGGTCCTTCATGTCCCTTGTAAGTTGGATTCCTAGTTATTTATTCTCTTTGAAGCAATTGTGAATGGGAGTTCACTCATGATTTGGCTCTCTGTCTCTTATTGCTGTATAAGAATGCTTGTGATTTTTGTGCATTGATTTTGTATCCTTAGACTTTGCTGAAGTTGCTTATCAGCTTAAGGAGATTTTGGGCTGAGACGGTGGGGTTTTCTAGATATACAATCATGTCATCTGCAAACAGGGACACTTTGACTTCCTCTTTTCCTAATTAAATGCCCTTTATTTCCTTCTCCTGCCTGATTGCCCTGGCTAGAACTTCCAACACTATGGTTATTGCTGTCTTTTTTTTTGTCTGTGCCCTGCCCCCAGAGGTGGAGCCTACAGAGGCAGGCAGGCCTCCTTGAGCTGTGGTGGGCTCCACCCAGTTCGAGCTTCCCTGCGGCTTTGTTTACCTGCTCAAGCCTGAGCAATGGCGGCCCCCCTCCCCCAGCCTTGCTGCTGCCTTGCAGTTTGATCTCAGACTGCTGTGCTAGCAATAAGTGAGGTTCTGTGGGCGTAGGACCCTCCAAGCCTTGTGCGGGATATAATCTCCTGGTGTGCCGTTTGTTAAGCCCATTGGAAAAGCGCAGTATTAGGGTGGGAGTGACCCGATTTTCCAGGTGCCATCTGTCACCCCTTTCTTTGACTAGGAAAGGGAACTCCCTAACCCCTTGTGCTTCCAGGGTGAGGCGATGCCTTGCCCTGCTTTGGCTCATGCACGGTGCACTGCACCCACTGTTCTGCACCCACTGTCCAGCACTCCCCAGTGACATGAACCCAGTACCTCAGTTGGAAATGAAGAAATCACCCATCTTCTGTGTCACTCACGCTAGGAGCTGTAGACTGGAGCTGTTCCTGTTTGGCCATCTTGGCTCCATCCCCAGAATCTAATTTTCAAAATTTTGATCTTAAAATGTTTTTATAAGTTTCATTTACTCATTTTTATGATTTCTTATTTCTCATTCTGTCAGTTTGGACTTTTATTATTTAATATTAATTTTGTTATTTTTCATGTTTGAATATTTTATACTTCAAATTTTAAAATATGTTTTACACTATTTCACACATATATTTTAAAGTAAAATTTATGACATGCCATTGTTTTGGGCTGAGCTTGTGCAGTAGGCTCCAACAGAGCAGAGCAAAATACAATCACTAGTGTCATATAATCAAACTGAAGCCTTAAAAAAGATAAAAAGAAGAATCCTCAACATACCAGCTTTTCCTTAAAACAGGATATTACAGCAACTAATAAAAAAGGGCCCAGTTAACCTGAGCCAGCATAATATGGAAGTCCTCTCCGTTTGAAATCTATCAGGAAAGTGTCTTTAAAGTGACCAACCTTTTTATTCCTTGTTTCTGCTTTTTCAGCTCTTTTCTGCCTGTGAAGCCCACCTCCTCTGCTCTGCTCATCAGAGCACCTTTTCTAAATCCTTAAAATGGATGCTGCCTGACTCATGAACTTCTAGTAAAAGCAATTAGATTTTATAATTAAATTTGTTGAAAATTTTTAAACACTGTATTTCTACAAACTTTATTATTATTATTACTATCTAATAGTTTTTGAGGAACGAGTGGTGTTTGGTTAAATGGATAAATTATTTAGTGGAGATTTCTGAGATTTTGGTGCACCCATCAACCAAGCAATGTGTACTGTACCCAATGTGTAGTTTTTTATCCCTCATGGCCTCCCCACCTCCCGCTCAAGTCCCCAGAGTCTATCATATCATTCTCATGCCTTTGCATTCTCATAGCTTAGCTCTCTCTTAGTAAGTGAGAACATATGATGTTTGGCTTTCCATTCCTGAGTTACTTAACTTAGAATAATGGTCTCAAACTCCATCCATGTTGCTGTGAATGCTATTATTTCATTTCTTTTTATGGCTGAGTAGTATTCCATAGTATATATACTCACCACATTTTCTTTATCCACTCATTGGTTAATGAGCCTTTTGGCTGCCTCCATATTTTTGCAGTTGCAAACTGTGTTGCTATAAACATGTGTTTGGAAGTGTCTTTTTCATATAATGACCTCTTTTCCTCTGGGTAGATATCCAGTAGTGGGATTGCTGGGTCAAATTGTAGTTCTACTTTTAGTTCTTTAAGGAATCTCCATACTGTTTTCCATAGTGGTTGTACTAGTTTATGTTCTCACCAACAGTGTGAAAGTGTTCCTTTTTCACCACATCCATGCCAACATCTATTTTTTTTTATTTTTTAATTATGCCATTCTTGCAGGAGAAAGGTAGTATTGCATTGTAGTTTTTGACTTGCTTTTCCCTGGTAATTAGTGATGTTGAGCATTTTCTCATGTATTTGTTGGCCATTTGTATATCTTCTTTTGAGAATTGTCTATGTCCTGCACACATTTTTTGATGGGATTGTTTTTCTCTTACTAATTTGTTTCAGTTCCTTGTAGATTTTGGATATTCGTCCTTTGTCGGATGCATAGTTTGCGAAAATTTTCTTCCACTCTCTGGGTTGTCTGCTAACTCTGCTGATTATCTCTTTTGCTGTGCAGAAGCTTTTTAATTTAATTAAGTCTCATCTATTTATCTTTTTTTTTGTTGCATTTGCTTCTGGGTTCTTGGTCATGAACTTTTTGCCTAAGGTAATATCTAGAAGAGAGTTTCCCATGTTATCTTGTACAATTTTTATGGTTTCAGGTCTCAGATTTAAGTCTTTGATCCATCCTGAGTTGAGTTTTGTAGAAGATGAGAGATGAGGATCCAGTTTCATTCTTCTACATGAGGCTTGCCAGTTATCTCATCATCATTTGTTCAATAGGGTGTTCTTTCCCCACTTTATGTTTTTGTTTGCTTTGTCAAAGATCAGTTGGCTGTAAGTTTTTATCTTTATTTCTGGGTTCTCTATTATGTTCCATTGGTCTATGTGCCTATTTTTATACCCATACTATACTGTTTTGGTGACTATAGCCCTGTAGTATAGTTTGAAGTCAGGTAATGTGATGCCTCCAGGTTTGTTCTTTTAGCTTAGTCTTTCTTTGGCTGTGTAGGCTCTTTTTTGGTCCTGTGTGAATTTTAGGATTGTTTTTTCTAGTTCTGTGAAGAATGATGATGATATTTTGATAAGAAATTCAGTGAATTTATAAATGGCTTTTGGCAGTATGGTCATTTTTACAATGTTGATTCTACCCATCCATTAGCATGGGATGTGTTTCTCATTTGTTTATGTCATTTGTGATTTCTTTCAGCAATGTTTTGTTGTATTCACTGTAGAGGTCTTACTCCTCCTTGGTTAGGTATATTCCTAAGTATTTTATTTTAATTTTCAGCTATTGTAAAAGGGGTTCAGTTCTTGATTTGATTCTCAGCTTGCTTGCTGTTGGTGTATAGCAATGCAACTGATTTGTGTATATTAATTTTGTATCCTGAAAGTCTACTGAATTCATTTACCAGATCTAGGAGCTTTTAAAATGAGTCTTTAGGGTTTTCTAGGTATACAATCGTATCATCAGCAAACAGTGACAGTTTGACTTTCTCTTTACCAATCTGGATGTCCTTCATTTCTTTCTCTTGTCTGATTGCTCTGGCTAGGACTTCCAGTACTATGTTGAATAGAAGCGGTAAAAGTGGGCATCCTTGTCTTGTTTTGGTTCTCAGGGAGAATGCTTTCAACTTTTCCCTTTTCAATATACTTACTGTTGGCTGTGGGTTTGTCATCGATGGCTTTTATTACCTTAAGGTATGTCCCTTCTATGCCAATTTTGCTAAGGGTTTTATTCTTAAAGCAATGCTGGATTATGTCAAATGTTTTTTCTGCATCTATTGAGATGATCGTGTGATTTTTGTTTTTACTTCTGTTTATGTGGTGTATCACATTTATTGACTTGCATATGTTAAACCAACCCTGCATCTCTTGTATAAAACTGACTTGATCATGGAGTATTGTCTTTTTGATATGCTGTTGGATTCAGTTAGCTGGTATTTCGTTGAGGATTTTTGCATCTATGATCATCAGGGATCTTGGTCTGTAGTTTTCTTTCTTTTGCTACATTCTTTCCTGGTTTTAGTATTAGGGTAATGCTGGCTTAATAGAATGATTTGGGGAGGGTTTCTTCTTTCTCTATTTTTTTGGAATAGTTTAAGTGAGATTGGTACTAATTCTTCTTTGAATGTCTGATAGAATTCAGCTGTGAATCCATCTGGTCCTGGATTTTTTTTTGGCAATTTTTAAATTACTGTTTCAATCTCACTACTTGTTATTGGTCTGTTTAGAGTTTCTATTTCTTCCTGGTTTAGTTGAAGAGGGTTGTATATTTCTAGAAATTTATCCATCTCCTCTAGATTTTCTAGTTTCTGCACATAAAGATATCCATAGTAACCTTGAATGATCTTTTGTATTTCTGTGGTATCAGTTGTAATATCTCCTATTTAGTTTCTGACTGAGCCTATTTCAATCTTCTCTCTTCTTTTCTTGGTTAACCTCTATAAAGGTTTATTGATTTTGTTTATCTTTTCAAAGAACCAGCTTTTTGTTTCATTTGTCTTTTGTATTTTTTTTGTTTGAATTTTATTATTTCTTTTCTGATCTTTGTTATTTCTTTTCTTCTGCTGGATTTGGTTTGTTCTTGTTTCTATAGTTCCTGGAGGTGTGAGCTTAGATTGTCTATTTGTGCTCCTTCAGACTTTTTGATGAAGGCATTTAATGCTGTGAACTTTCCTCTTAGTACTGCTTTTGCAGTATCTCAGAAATTTTGATAGGTGTTGTCACTATTATTCAGCTCCAAGAATTTTTAATTTCCATCTTGATTTCATTGTTGACCCAGAGATCATTCAGGAGAAGGTTATTTAATTTTCATGTATTTGTGTAATTTTGAGGGTTCCTTTTGGAGTTAATTTCCAATTTTATTTCACTGTGGTTTGTGAGAGTATTTGATATAATTTAATTTTCTTAAATTTATAGAGACTTGTTTTGTAGCCTGTTATATGGTCTATCTTGGAGAATGTTTCCTGTGTTGATGAAAATAATGTATATTCTGCAGTTATTGGGTAGAATTTTCTTGTAAATATCTGTTAAGTCCATTTTTCCTAGGGTATAGTTTAAGTCCATTTTCTCTTTGTTGACTTTCTCTCTTGATGACCTGTCCAGTGCTGTCAGTGGAGTACCGAAGTCTCCCACTATTATTGTGTTGCCATCTATCTCATTTCTTAGTTCTAGTAGTAATTATTTTACAAATCTGGGAACTCCAGTGTTAGGTGCATATATATTTAGGATTATAATATTTTCCTGTTGTACTAATCATTTTATCATTATATAATGTCTGTCTTTGTCTTTTTTAACTGTTGTTGCCTTAAAGTCTGTTTTGTCTGATATGAGAATAGCTACTCCTGCTTCCTTTTGGTTTCTATTTGCATGGAATATCTTTCTTCTACCCCTTTACCTTAAGTTTATGTGAGTCCTTATGTGTTAGGTGAGTCTCTTGAAGACAGCAGATACTTGGTTGGTGGAGTTTTATCTATTCTTCCATTCTGTGTCTTTTAATAAGTGGAGTATTTAGGCCATTTATATTCAATATTGGTTTTGAGATGTGAGGTACTGTTCCATTCTTCATGCTAGTTATTGCCTGAATACTTTTTTTTTCCATTTTGTTATTGTTTTACAGATCCTGTGAAATTTAAATTTTAAGGAGGTTCTATTTTGGGGTATTTCAAGGTTTTGATTTAAGATTTATAACTTCTTTTAGCATTTCTTAAAGTGCTGGCTTGGTAGTTGCACATTTTTCCAGGATTTGTTTTTCTGAAATTTTTCAGCATTTGTTTTTCTGACAAAGACTTCATCTTTCCTTCATTTATAAAGCTTAGTTTGGCTGGATACAAAATTCTTGGCTGATAATTATTTTGCTTAATGAGGCTAAAGATAGGACCCCATTCCCTTCTGGTTTGCACCATTTTTGTGGAGAAATCGACTGTCAATCTGATAGGTTTTTCTTATAAGTTACTTGATACTTTTGCCTCATAGCTCTTAAGATTCTTTCCTTTGTCTTGACTTTAGATAACCTAACTATGGCTATGTGCCTAAGTGATGATCTTTTGGGGATGAATTTCCTGGGTGCCTGGCTTAGTTTACCTAACATAATGACCTCCAGTTCCATCCAGATTGTTGCAAATGACAGGATCTCATTTTTTAAAAGGCTGAATAGTATTCCATTTTGTATAAGCACTACATTTTCTTTATTCATTCATCTGTTGACAGACACTTGAGTTGCTTTTAAATTTTGGCTATTGTGAATAGTGTTGTAATAAACACTGGAGTGCAGTCTATGAGCTTCTTGTATTTGGATGTCTACATCTCTAGCAAGACCAAGGAAGTTTTCCCCAATTATTCCCTCAAATAAGTTTTCCAAACTTTTACATTTTTCTTCTTCTTCAGAAATACCAATTATTCTTGTATTTGGTTATTTAACATAATCTCAAATTTCTTGGAGACTTTGTTCATTTTTAAAAAGTTCTTTTTTCTTTGTCTTTGTTGAATTGGTTTAATTTGAAAGCCTTGTCTTCAAGCTCTGAAGTTCTGTCTTCTACTTTTTTGATTCTGTTGCTGGGACCTTCTAGCGTATTTTACATTTAAGTGTGTCTTTCATTTCCAGAAGTTGTGATTGTCTTTTCTTTATGATACCTATTTCTCTGAAGACTTTTTCGCCTGTATCCTGTATTTTTTAAAAAAATTATTTAATTCAGTTTTTAGTTTTCTCTGGCACTTCCTTGAGTAGCTTACTAATCAACCTTCTGAATTCAGAGATTTCTTCTTGGTATGGATCCATTGCTGGAGAGCTAGTGATCTTTTGAAGGTGTTATAGAACCTCATTTTGTCATATTACCAGAATTACTTTTCTAGTTCCTTCTCATTTGGATAGACTGTTTCAGTGGAAATATCTGGAACTCAAGGACTGCTGTTCAGGTTCTTTTGTCCTGGGGGTAATCCTTTGATGTGGTGCTTTCCCCTTTCTCCTATGGATGGGGCTTCCTGAGAGCTAGACTGCAGTGATTGTTATTGCCGTTCTGGGTCTAGCCACCCAGCAGGGTTACTGGGCTCTGGGCTTACTGGGTCTAGCCACCCAGCTGGGGAATGTCTGCAAAGAGTCCTGTGATGTGATCCATCTTTAGGTCTCCAAGCCATGGATACCAGCACCTGCTTTGGTGGAGGTGGCAGGGGAGTAAAGTGGGCTCTGTGTGAGTCCTTAGTTGTAGTTTTGTTTAGTGCACTGGTTTTCTCAAATGCTGGTTATGCTAGCAGTAGAATTGTCACATGAACAAACTCAGGTCCTCTGGTTAGTCAAGGTGTTGCAGGCAGTGGAGTTAGCTTTTGTTTTATCCTTCTTTGGAGTAGGTTTGTTTGGTTATAAGTTGCTGTAATGGCTTGAGTTGGTTGGCCTCCAGCCAGGAGGTGGCACTTTCAAGAAAGCACCAGCGGCAGTAGTAGAAACGGGATATAATCTTGCCCTGTGTTGGTCAGAATAAGTACTTGAGTTTCTCAGGTGATGGGCAGGGGCATAGAGCTCCCAAGAGTTTATGTCTTTTGTCTTTGGCTACCAGGGCAGGTAGTGAAAAACCAAGTGGGGGCAGGTTTAGGTGGGTCTGAGCTCAGACTCTCCTTGGGTAGGGCTTGCTGTGGCCACTGTGGGGGATGGGAGGGTGGTTCTCAGGGCAACAGAATTATGGTCCCAGGGGAGTGATGGCTGCCTCTGTTATGTCCTACAGGTTGCCAGGGAAGTGGGGTAAAGCCAGCAGTGACAGACCTGACACAGCCCCCATGCAGCCAGCAAGGCCAGTCTCACTCCCACTGAGAACCCCCAACTGCACTGAGTTTATATCCAGGCAGCCATCGAGCAGGGATGAGATCTTTCCCAGGCTACAATCCTCCCCACTGAGAGAGCAAACAAAGCTCTCAGGCCTCACCCCTCCCCACCTGCCTGAACCTTTAGCTTTGGCTTCTGTATTTATATCTGTACTTCCTATTCACCCCCTATCCCCCGGAATCTGCTCAGGAAAATTTGTGCTTAGTCAAACTTACTACAATTTCAACTAGGAGTTTCCGTCACCCTGTGGCCCCTCCTGCCTTCCACTCCCAAGGACCCCTGTGAGAAAAGGCCAGGAATGGCTTCCTTGAGTTTGAGCTTGGATCAGGAGTTCCTACAGGTTCCCACTGCTTTTTCTACTTTTTCGCTCAGCTCCCAAAATCCATTTCAGCTCTAGGTAAGGTTAAATCTTTCTCCCATGACTGGGATTTTCAGGTTCCCCAGTGGGGATGTTTGTTTGGAGGTAGACTTTTGCCTCTCTCACACTTTGGGAACTCACAGTTTTATGGCTCTCTCACAGAGTTTATAGCAGCAATCTGCTCCTTTTAAAGGGTCTGTGAATTCTTTAGGTTTTCCTGGCATGTTCCTGTGGTAGTTCTTGGAGCAAAAGTTCACTGCGTGAGTCTCCACATGCTGTTCTGTCCGTCTGAGTGGGAGCTGCACATTAGTTCTGTCTCCTATCTATCATTTTCCTCAGATGTCTGTTTATACAAACTTCTTGATGACAGAGAGTTTTCTTTGTTTTATTCACTAATGTATTTTAAGAATATAGGACAATATTTGCCAAATAGAAAACACTCTGTGATACTCTGTTGTATAAATAAATGATACACTATTATCTGTCTGATTTTAAAGTATTTGTGTGTCTCATTTCTTGCCTGCTTTTTGGTCTTGTTTCTTGATCGTGGTGCTTTGTTTCCAGGTATGTTTTGTTATTTTTGATTTAAGCTCATCTTCTTTTAACTTTATTTATGAAAATTGTGTTCATCTAGAGAAGACTTATGTTTATTTCTGCCAGTTTCTTGGATGCACTGCAAAGTTGGAGCTACCTGAAACTTAATTACTGGCTTTATGGTTTTTAGACTACCTAGGTAGTATTAATTCAGGCTGCAGCAAATAAAAATCTGGATTTGGGAGGTTTTTGTTTGTTTTTTTCCTCCTCTTCCCATCATTAAAGTTCAAGGCAGACAATTTTCCTTGCTAGTGGTGTTTGGTAAACACATTTTTAGTCTACATGTACATTGGGCATTAATTTGCTAGGCCAGCACTGCTCAACAGATATGTAACATGTGCCATATATACATAATGTAAAATTTTCTAGTAGCAATATTAAAAAATAAAAAGATACAGGTAAAATAATTAGTCATATATTTTCTTTAATATTATTTTAATATGTATATAATCATATAGAAATTATTAATGAGATTTTTACATTTTTTTCACACTAAGTCTTTGAAATGTGGTTCTTCATACAGAGCACAGATCAGTTCCAACATTACAGTTTTATTGAAAAAGTATCGGTGTTTATGTTTTAAAAATGTTACAGTTGAAAAAGTAGTTTTGAATGCCTAGGTTGTCCCAAACATAGCTAAAATTTTCAAATAACTGAATTGAGTATCAGTTTTTAAATTAAAATTAATTAAAATAAAATTAAAATTTAGTTTTTCAATATCATCAGACAGGTGCCAAGTACTCAATATCCCTATGTGGCTGGTGGCTACAGTATTGGACAGTACAGATCTTGGGTCCAAATAAATGGGGGCATCTTATATTAGATACTCACACCTTGGGCAGGCCCTGCTGCTTTTTCATGTGTTTTCTGAACACTAAGAGACCGTTGATAACCACATTCCACAGCCAACCATGAATGGCAAATGTTTTTATCGAGTATTTGTATTCAGTGTTCTTCTTTCCACTCATATTTAGTCTTTCTCTTCTTTTTTGTCTTCAAACTTCTATGTTTGCCATCCTTTTAATATATATTTTATGTAATGTTTTCAATACTTTATCCTACATTTAAAAAATTTAGTCAATGGGACAGTCAGCTATGTTACCCAGTCTTTGTTTCTCCCTGAAAAGGAAGTCCATTTGAATCATTTGATCCTGGGGAGAAAATACAGAAAAGATTATTCTTCCAAAATACTTAACCCCCTCAAATTCCTCTACAGCTTCAGGGAAAAAACAAAGCAGTGATTTAAGTAATAAATGTAAAAAAGGGCTTACAATTTAAATGGGCTAGTTCATACCAAAGTTTATTGTTTGTAAAACAGTATAGTTCTCCTGATATTATTAAGATTAATAATGGGTATCCTATTTCTTGCTCTTGAAATATAAGAAGTAGAAAATTGCAAATGTTTCAAAATAAAAATAGCATCTACCGTGAAGGGTTTATTTACTCTCTTTGAGAAACAGTACAGAAACAGTCTTAAGGGCAAATTTCTTATAATCTCTCTCATAGTTCTCAAACTGATTGCTATTTTTCTTTATGTTTTAATACTAACATTATTTTGCTTCTCATACTCACAACTCTTCTTTATTTGCAACACATAGTGCACAAAGAGACATAGAAGTCTGTGTTTTAAAATGAGGTTAGTTGTCTTTTCATCTGAATGAAACAAAAGTTGAGAGTTTTATTTTAAAGCATGGTGAAACAAAAATGTACAATGCCTGAGTTATTGAACAACTAGTTTTCTTAGTAAACACATGGAGTTCTTATAAGTTAAAGAGGAACTAGGAATATGTATCATAAAGCATTTGACAACTGATTTATTGCCATACAAGTTAATAGCATAAATAAGTGAATATCTACAATAGAAGTATACAGTTTCTTGGTACACTTTGTG
The DNA here is from genome assembly GCF_000001405.40 of Homo sapiens. NCBI lineage: Eukaryota > Metazoa > Chordata > Mammalia > Primates > Hominidae > Homo > Homo sapiens. The sequence continues at coordinate 119,916,405 of NC_000005.10, forward strand.
CTATTTATTTAAACCATCAAATAAGTGTTCCATGAAGTAGGTTTACATTAGGTAGTTCATCAATTTAGCAATGACTTATTGAGCAACTGCTACAGGCAAGGTGCCTTTTTGTAAGAGATACATAAATGAAAAGACCTTTTTTTTGTCCTAATGGAGCAAACTGAAAATGTGCATTTTAAGTCATGATTTTCTAAGCACAAGAAAGGCCATTAACACTTATTAATAACATAAATGTATCCCATAAACTTTTTGTGTTTTTTTCCAACATTTGGTTAAACTAAATGACCAAATTCTTCTCATCAGCTAAAGCCATATGCAGTTGATTTCTGCTATATATGTACCTTGATTTGCCCTCCATCGAACCATAGCCAGAAACCGTTTTTATTCTTCTCTAAACTTTTAGAGAATGGAGTCATGTCTCTTCTGTGCTATATTTCTTATATTGCTTTATATTTTGTCTCAACCATACTTAATTTTCTTAGCTTTTTTTTTTATCTTAAAGTCAGAATCAATTTCCCGCCTTGGCATAGTGCCCTATCTATATTAGGTTTTCCAACACTGAAAAAATGAAAAAGCAAAAAAAACCCGTATTTTATATATTTTCCTTTACATATAGGCAAGAAACATTGTTCTTTACTTTGAATAGTAAAAGCTTATCTAGCATTTTTATTAGCAGGAAAATTCTAGAAGCTGGAAATTCTGGTGTAACTCAATACCAGCTTTCAATCCAGTATTAGATAAGCTTAAGGAAGTTAATAGTAAATATATGTAACTTATTGTATTCAGAAAACTATTATTTACTATTCCTGCAGTTCTTTAGTAAAATGGTTAAGACAATGCCCTATAGAAATTTTAGAAATAATTACAGTATGTAATTACTACAACACTGCCCTGTTAGTCACTGAATGATTTCTAAGAGGTAGTGAAAGAGAATTGCTTAGAAAAGAAAGCCATTTGAGACAAAAAAATTAAATTTTGGAAACAGTCTAACACCAGTATTTCATTTTGATGAATTGACTTTTAAAAACACCCAACTTTTTTTTCTGATTGATTGGTGCTTAATTAAAAATGTAATTTTTTATTGTAGTTTTAAAAGACACTGAAAACTGAGTTACATAGTAATTTGTAAGATCTCTGGACAGATTACAAAGTAAATAATTTTACGTATTTTGGAATTGGGGCATCATCAAAAAATACATTATTAACTTAATGTAAATAACACACATTTATACTTCAAAATTTAAAATTTTAAAAAGCTTGTACTTAGACTTTGGCTAAATTGTACTTTTCATGGATAAAGTATTGTTATTTTATCTGAAACTTTCTTCTTCTAGCCATAAAATATCATTTAAAATCAGAAGATGTACTTTATATTTGCTTATTCAAATTTCCTAATATTGGTCAGATTTAAGAAATATTGTACAAACACTTTAGTTTTGCTTTAAACAATGTGTCATTGAAAAAGCAGTTTTTCTCTGATTATCAGAATGTATTTTTCTTTTAGTATAATGACTGAGCTTTCCAAAATATTCACTGGGAGGAGAAAATATTTACATGTTGCTGATAATAGACCTATTCTTCAAAATGCCAAAGGAAGTTGTGCTGATGAACATTTTATTAAAAAGTTGAGTGGAATAGTAATATAAGTGAGGTTTTTCTCTCTACCTTGAATTTACATTTTCTCATTTGGCTCACTTAAAATCCCAGGGGGAAGTACTTACCTTGGATAACCCTTTTTTCCCTGTCCTCTTTACCTTGACTTTACACATAGAGGCAAATATGTTTTGTCCAAGAGTTTTGAATTCCCAGGTATTACAAGTTTTTATTAGATTATGGAATAGTCTGAATTTAGCCATTTTGGAGAATATATCATGCATGGTTATGATGATAAAAGAGTCAAGGGCTACATGCTGACTGAGATAACAAGCCAGCTTCCAAGTAATTTTGAAAGTAAATGTGTTTGTAAGAATGGTTTTTGGTTTCAGTAAGATCTCTGCTACATTTTATTTATTCCTACTGAGTGCTGTATTTATCATAATATGTAGTCACTAATTAGAAATGTTTGAAAAGAAAATCAACCTGATATGAAACTAATCTAATATCAGAATATTAAAACTAACATTGCATATCATGAACTTACGTGTATTTTTATCTATGACGTTTAAGGGTATAAATGTTTTACATGAAGATGTGGGAGAGTTACAAAAGGTACACAAATATCAGCCTTCCAAAATTATTTTAAATCAATATAATAAGGATTTTTTAGTGTAATGCTCTTTGTAGCATTTTTGTAATTATTGCATTAAAAACTTAATATAAAATTTATTCATTACTTAAACTATTTTTGAATGTAAATATTGCTTTATTTTGAAATATTCAACAAATCCATGCATTGAAGTTGAAAAAAGTTTTTAAAACTTGAAGGAAAACTCAGTGAATAATAAGATTTAAAAAAATTTATTGTAATTTCTCTCTTTTTAAAAATGCATTGCTTATCAATGTGGAACAAGGGCTTATTTCATTATTAAGCAAGACAGCTTTAATCTTAAAAAATGAATCAAAATTTGTTCTGTGCCTGAAACCATTCAACACTGAAACAATTTTGGATATCTTATTTCCACACTCCCTATTTTCGACTTTGCCTTAACAATAGGTTCCACAGAAAATAGTATAGAAATTGAGCTTATTGCTTAGTCAAATGCATATGTAGGGCTGATTTAAAATAACAGAAAATATCTATTTCACTTTTCTTTGATATTATAATTATTATTTTTCTTATATTTTAGGTTCAGGAGGTACACGTGCAAGTTTGTTACATGGGTAAATTGCATGCTTTAGCAGTTTGGTGTACAAATTATTTTATTACACAGGTAATGAGCATAGTACCCAATAGTATTAGGTTGGTGCAAAAGTAATTGCGGCTTTTGGCATTAAAAGTAATGGCAAAAACCACAATAAGTGTTCCCTTTACTCTGCAATCTTACCATCATCAGTTATATTTGGACTTTTTAATAATAGCCATTCTGTCTGGTGTGACATCATATCTCACTGTGGTTTTGATTTGCATTTCCCTAGTGATTAGTGATATTGAGCATATTTTCATATGCTTGTTGGCCACATGTACATGTATATCTTCTTTTGAGAAGTGTCTGTTCATGTCCTTGGTGCATTTTTTAATGGGGTTGTTTGTTTTTGTGTGTTAATTTGTTTATGTTCCTTATAGATTCTGAATATTAGACCTTTGTCAGATGCAGAGTTTGCAAATATTTTCTCCCATTTTGTAGGTTGTCTGTTTACTCTTTCGGTAATTTCTTTTACTGTGCAGAAGCTCTTTAGCTTAGGTGCCATTTGTCAATTTTTGGTTTGTTGTAATTACTTTTTGGCATTTTTTTCAAGAAACCTCTGCCATGGCCTATGTTCATAATGGTATTTCCTAGGTTTTCTTCTAGGACTTTTATAGTTTTATGTTTTACATTTAAGTATTTACTCCATCTTGAAGTGATTTTTGTATATGGTATAAGGAAAGGGTCCAGCTTTATTTTTCTGCATGTGTCTAGCCAGTTATCCTAGCACTATTTATTAAATAGGGAGTCCTTTCCCTATTGCTTGTTATTGTCAGCTTTGTTAAAGATCAGATGATTGTAGATGTGTGGCTTTATTTCTGGGTTCTCTAACCTGTTTCCTTAGTCTATATATCTGTTTTTGTTATTGTAGTCTCATAGTACAGTTTGAAGTCCAGTAGTGTGATTTCTCAAGCTTTGTTCTTTTTGCTTATGATTGCTGTGGCTATTTGGGCTCCTTTAAGATTCCATATGAATTTTAGAATAATTTTTTCTTATTCTGTGAAAAATGTAATTGTTATTTGATAGGAATAGTATTGAGTCTGTAAATTGCTTTGGACAGAATGGCCATTTAAACAATGTTGATTTTTCCTATCCATGAGCATGGAATTTTTTTATTTGTTTGTGGCATCTCTGATTTCTTTTAGCAGTGTTTTGTAATTCTTACCATAGACATCTTTTACAAATCTGTTTAGCTTGTGTTCCTAGGTATTTTATTCTTTTTGTGGCTGTTGCGAATGAAATTGTGTACTGAACATTGATTTTGTATCCCAAAGCTTTGCTGAAGTTGTTTATCAAATCTAGAGGCCTTTGGGCAGAGACTGTGGGGTTTGCTATGTAGGGAAAAATATCATTCATGAAGAGAGATAGTTTGACTTTCTCTCTTCATATTTGGATGCCTTTTATTTCTTTCTCTTGCCTGATTGCTCTGGCTAGAACTTCCGAAACTAAGTTGAACAGGAGTAATGAAGAGTGGTCATCCTTGTCTGGTTCTGGTTCTCAAGAGGAATGTTTCAGCTTTTGGTTATTCAGTATGATGTTGGCTGTGGGTTTGTCATAGATGGTTCTTTTTATTTTGAGGTATGTTCCTTTGATGCTAGTTTGTTGAGGGTTTTTAAAATGAAGGGATGTTGAATTTTATCAAAAGGCTTTTCTGTGTCTGTTATAATGATCATGCTTTTAGTTTTGTTTATGTGATGAATCACATTCATTGATTTGCTTATACTGAACCAATATTGCATCCCAGAGATAAAGCCTACTTGATCACGGAAGATTAGCTTTTTGATGTGCTGGCGGATTTGGTTTACTAATATTTTGAGCATTTTCACATCTGTGTTCATCAGGAATATTGGCCTGAAGCGTTTTTTTTTTTCATTGTGTCTCTGCCAGATTTTGGTATCTAGATGATGCTGACCTCTTAGAATGAGTTATCGAGGGGTCCCTCCTCCTTGATCTTTTGGAATAGTTTCATTAGGACTGGTACCAGCTCTTCTTAATACATATGGTATAATGTGGCTGTGACTCCATCTGGTCCAGGGCTTTTTCTGGTTGGTAGGGTTTTTTTTTTTTATTACTGATCAAATTTCAGAACTCATTATTGGTCTGTTCAGGAATTCAATTTCTTCCTGGTTCAATCTTGGGAGGTTGTAGTTTTCAGGAAATTATCCATTTCTTCCAGGTTTTTTAGTTCATGTGTGTAGAGATGTTCATAATATTCTTTGAGGGTTTTTTGTATTTCAATGGGACTGGTGGTAAGGTCCCCTTTGTCATTTCTGATTGTGTTGATTTGAATCTTCTCTCATTTTTATTTGCTAGTTTATTTAGTGGTCTTTCAATCTTAGTTCTTCATTGATATTTTGTACAGTGTTTCTTTTCTTCATCTTGTGAGCTCAGTTCTGATTTTGGTTATTTCTTTTCTTCTGTTAGCTTTGGGGTTGGTTTGCTTTTGTTTTTCTTGTACCTATAGGTGTGATGTTAGGTTGTTAATTTGAGATCTTCCTAACTTTTTGATGTGGGCATTTACTGCTGTAACTTTCCTCTTAACACTGCTTCAGCTGTGTCTCAGAGATTCTGGAATGCTGCATCTTTGTTCTCATTAGTTTCAAAGAATTCCTTGATTTCTGTCTTAATTTTATTTTTTACCCAAAAGTCTTTCAGGAGCAGGTTGTTTAATTTGCATGTAATTGTATGGTTTTGAGAGATCTTCTTAGTATTCATTTCTATTTTTACTGTGCTTTGGTCTGAGAGTATGGTTGGTATGATTTCATTTTTTTAAAATTTGTTGAGAATTGCTTTATGGCTGAGGGTGTGGTCGATTTTAAAGTATGTGCCATGTGCACACGAGAAGAAGGTATATTCTGTTGTTTTTGGGTGGGGTTTTTGGTAGATGTTTGTTAGGTTCATTTGGTCAAGTGTCAAATTTAATTCCTGAATACCTTTGTTAGTTTTCTGTCTCAATGATCTAATACTGTCAGTGGGGTGTTAAAGTCTCCCACTATTACTGTGTGATTATGTAAGAATTTGTTTTATGTGCTTCAGTGTTGGATGCATATATATTTAGGATAGTTAAGTCTTGTTGAATTGAACCCTTTATTGTTATGTAATGTCCTTCTTTATCCTTTTTGATTATTGTTGCTTAAAAGTCTCTTTTGTCTGAAATAAAAATAGGAATCCCTGTTCTTTTTTGTTTTCCTTTTGATAGGTTTTTCTCCATCTCTTTACTTTGAAGCTATGGGTGTTATTGCATATGAGATGGGTCTTTTGAAGATAGCATGGAGTTGGGTCTTGCTTCTTTATCCAACTTGCCACTCTATACCTTTTAAGTGGGGTGTTTAGTCCATTTACATGCAAGTTTAATATTGATATGTGTGGAATGATCCTCTGTCATTGTATTATTAGCTGGTTGTTATGTAGACTTCATGGTGTAGTTGCTTTAAAGTGTCAATAGTTTATGTACGTAAGCGTGTTTTTGTGGTGCTGCTAATGTTCTTTCATTTCCATGTTTAGCACTCCCTTAAGGACCCCTTGTAAGGCAGGTCTGGTGGTAACAAATTCCCTTAGCATTTGCTTGTCTGAAAATGATTTTATTTCTGCTTTACTTATGAAGCTAAGTTTGGCTGGATAATTCTTGGTTGGAAGTTCTTTTCTTTAAAGATGCTAAATATAAGCCCCAATCTCTTCTGGCTTCTAGGCTTTCTGCTGAAATGTTCACTGTTAGCCTGATGTGGTTCTCTTTGTAGGTAACCTGCCCCTTCTCGCTAGTTGTCCTTAATATTTTTTCTTTAGCATTGACTTTGGAGAATCTTATGACTGTGTGTCTTGGATTTCGTTTTCTTGGATAGTGTCTCACAGGGTATCTCTGAATTTCCTTAATTTGACTGTCAACCTCTCTAGTGAAGTTGTGGAATGTTTCATGGACAATATTCTCAAATTTGTTTTCAAAGTTACTTGCTCTCTCTCTCCCTCTCATGTATGGATTCCAATGAGTTGTAGATTTGATCTCTACATAATCCCATATTTTTTGGAAGTTTTGTTCATTCTTTTTTCTTGATTTTTCTCTGACTTAGTTCAGATATCCAGTCTTCAAGCTCTGAGGTTCTTTTCTCCATTTGGTTTATTACACTGTTAATACTTCCAATTGTGTTATGAAATTCTTGTAGTGAGTTTTTCAGCTTGATCAGATCAGTTTGGCTCTTTCTTAATATGTCTATTTCATCTTTCAGCTCTTGTATCACTTTAGTTAATTTGTTAGATTTCTTGAAGTGGGTTTCAACTTTCTCCTGAATGTCTATGATCTTCTTTGCCATCCGGATTCTGAATTCTATGCATGTTATTCCAGCCATTTTAGTCTAGTTAAGAACCATTGCTAAGGAGCTAGTGCAGTTTTTGGCAATAAGACATTTTGAGTTGCCAGAGTTCTGATATCGGTTCTTTCTCGTCTGTGGGGGCTGATACTCCTTTAATCTTTGAAGTTGCTTTCCTTTGGATGGGGTTTTATTGCTTTTATATTCTTTAATGCCCTTGAGGATCTGACTGTCGGTTCAGTCAACTAGTTTAGTTTTGATAATTTCAGTGGACCAAGGCTCAGCTTGTTGCTCCTGAGTTGCCTGCTGTAATGCTGGGGGGCTGGGACCAGGCCCAGCGCTTTGTTCTCTGGCCCTCGAGGTTAAGCCGCTGCTTTGCTAGAGGGGCCAAGATGTAACTGGTCCACTGTCAACACTCTGATGGGGGTGCTGGAAAAAGTACTTTATCAGAGTGGTGGCAGTGGGGACCATGCTTGGGCACACATGACAGCAGCAGGAGGAAATGTTGTTTTTTAAATTTTTATTTCATTCATTTAAGAGAATGTTAAGGGGTCATAAATGAATTTATTAGCTATAGAAGCTTAATTTCACATTATTCATTTTAATAATATTCTGTATTTCACAGATTAATATATAATTTAACTTTTGAAAATGTTATCTATGTCTCTAATTGTGTTTTACTGCATACAACTTATGAAATTACTTTCTAGTGTTACAATAATTGGCATTAAATATTGCTAAAAAGTATCAGGAGTTCTATAAACTTGAAGAAGATTTCTTTGATATATCATTTTTATATGCTATTGGAAGTCTCGTGAAATGTTAATACTTGATAAATTATTACTATATATAAAGTATATTTCAGAAGGCTGAAAATATTTATGTGGTAACTAAAGGCACATTTCAATTTGACAAGATTGGAATTTGTTGTCTAGAACACTATATATTGCCCTAACATCTCAATTAGCCTACCTAGTGAACACATTTGCTATTGTAGTGAGCAAGCAGGGATTTTTCTGTGTGGTTTTGTTGTCTTTCAATACTTCATTTTAATCAGAGCTGAATTAGAGAACTGGGAATGTCAGACCTGAAAGGAACCAAAAGTCAACTTTATCATTATGTTTTATGAGACTTTGCCAGGAGATTCTCCATTTGTTCTTTTAGTCCATATAAAAGCAGGTATAGTCATGCACCACATAATAATACTTTGGTCAATGATGGATTGCATACACGATGGTGGCCTCATAAGATTATAATGTATTTCTGCTGTACTTTTCTATGTTCAGATATGTTTAGATACACCAGTACTTACCATTTGTTACAATGCCCTACAATATTTATACAGTAACATGCTGTACAGGTGGGGTGGCTCACACCTGTAGTCCCAACATGCTGGGAGGCTGAGGCAAGAGCATCCTGTGAGGCCAAGAATTCCAGACCAGCCTGGACAACAGAGCAAGACCCTGTCTCTAAAACAAAATCCAAAACAAACAAACTAAAAAACCCGCATTTAAAAAACAGATGAAAATGTTTACTACTTGTATGTGTTAAGCACTTATTATATAAGCCAATGCTGTTCTATGAGCTTTACTTGTGTTAATTATTTTTATAATTCTCAAAACAATCCTATAGTTTAGGTGTATTATTTTTGTTTTATATATAATGCAACTGTAGAAGGGTTGTTACAGCACAGTTTATTTATAATGGCCAAATCCTTCAGTGGCTTATAAAAACAACTTCATTGTATGAAAATAGTAGCCCTATCAGTGGACTAAAAGGCAGTACTTCCACTAATTTGGGCAAGTCACTTAGATTTTTCTGTCTGTATTTACTAAGGTTTCATGCAATTGTAACATCATCTGATTTTATTGCTTAAACTCTAGGAATACTGTCTTTTTAATTATTTAATAACGTAATGATGTGAGTGAATTCTATTATGGTGTCCAGGGTGACAAAAATATTGTCCCTAGGAGATATTAAGAATAGATGTTAAAACTAGGTATTCTTTTGTCTTTGCTTCTTTGTTAATATCTGTGGAAATTCTTTGTATTAGAAAATCTATAAGTGAAGAAAATGTTAAAGTAGCTTATTTAACAACATGTGTTTTTTAAAAAGTTACTTTGGTTCTGGGTAACATAAATCAATGTGAGCAAGTTTATGCAAGACAGGGAATTGATTGGAATAGTCTGGAATGTCACCAAATCTAAGGAAATATTAATGTTCAGATCTTATGGGAGATGGAGTTCAGATCAGCTCTACTCCACGAATCTTAGCGGAGGATTTAATGTTCCTTCATTCTGTGGCTTAGCCATTAATCTCAAAGACTTATCTCTAAATCACCCAATTCAAATTATTGGGTGATGATTTGATTGGCCCATTTCACATTATATGCCCACCCTGTTCTATTATTTCTGGCTGGAGGGCCATGTTCCCTTAATAAAAGAAAAAAGGTCCTTGCTGTTGGTAGATATCTTTATAGATGAGGAAGGCAGTTCTCAAAATAACAGACCAGGATATACATGCCAATATGATCTATGTTAATATTACAGTTGGGAAAACCATCAGAATAAAGTTATTTTCCCTTCCTTCGCCCATGTAATAAATGCATTACAAACATGGCAACAATACTACCTGCTTTACCGAATCCACACTCTCTATAATGTGGCCTTATAGCTCCGCTCATCTAGAGATGGAGTCTTTGAATCTGAGCTGGCCCTGTGACTTGTTTTGGCCAAAAGACATTGTAAGTTATGTAGTGTTAGTTCTGAGGCCTGGTCTATAGCATCTTTTTTTTTTTCTTTTATCTCTATCCATATCTTGTGAAAAAGCCAAAACCATCCTTCTGGCTTCTAAAAGACACCTCCTGACAGTGCTGTTGTGCAGCCTATGGCCACAGTGTGATTGAGGCCTTTCTAGACCAGCCAGTTTTCCAGCCAACTCACCAGCTGCTTGCGGATGCATGATGAACAAGCTCAACCAGGATCAGTTGAGACTGGCTTAGTTCAGTAGAACCACCTCACTGACCCATAGACTTATGAGCAATAATAAATGCTCATTGTTTTAAATCATTGAGTCTTGAAGTTGTTTCTTTTGGAGTAATAGCAAATGTGCACACCCAGTTCAACAAATAACTATTTTTCCCCAATTTTTTAGTTTTCCTGTATAGTGAAAATAGTTTTCCCATTTGGTGTTAGAATGAGTCCTTAGTTAAATGTAAGAATGCGAAGTAACTCAATTTTCCCAAGATTATTTTATATTCTATTTGGTGAAAATAGTTATAAGTATTTTGTAGAAAATTTTGGCTACTCTCAAGTGTTTTGTAAACTTCTATTTTTGAAATTGATTTTGTGGTATAGTTAATTATCATGTGATCACCAGACTGCTTATTTGAACATTTCAAATTATTTTAGCTTTGCCTGTCCAAATGTGTTCTTTTTCAAAATAGCAATAGAAATATAATTATACATAAAGAATATAATGAGAAGAAATCAAACACATTTGTTTTGCTATAATAAATACAAATAAGGATTCACATGAGTGAAATACTTATTTATGAATTTCTAAAAGTGAAAACCAGCTATGAACTCTTTTTTTCCTGTTCCAACTTCTCATAATTTTTAAATTCATTTATTATTATTTTCAGTAAAGCTTGTGCTTCTGATCACAAGTGGATGTATCTAGACTGGAATCAAATTCAACTTATAAACCCAATAGAGAATCATTGACCTCCTCATACTGTTGGATCTTCGTTTCCAAACATCTCTTGTCAGCTTTTTTTATTTGTACAAATCTATTTCTTATATTTTTCATAAATACCTTACATTAATTTCCTAATATTTACATTTTTAAAGATAACTTTTGATAGAATCTTGGTAATGTACTTTTTAAAAACTATGAACATGCACACATGACATTCTCATTGATTCCATTAATGTGATTAATTGTATTACTGGCTTTCCAAATGCTAAATTTCATGTGCATATCTGGCATAAAGGGCACTAGATTATGAGATCATGATATAATGCTTCACTGTGCTGAGACAATGATTTCTAAGATTTAAAATTTTTAAATTTACATTCATATGTCCTATATGTCTATAAAAAATTTTTTAAACTTTTAGGTTCAGGGGTACATGTGCAGGTTTATTTTATAGGTAAATTGTGCATCACATGGTTTCAGTGTACAGATTATTTCATCACCTAGGTAAGAAACATAGTATCTGACAGATAGTTCTTCAGTCCTCTGCCTCTTCCCACCCTCCACTTTCAAGTAGGCCCCCATGTCTCTCGTTTTATACTTTGTGTCCAAAGGTACTCAATGTTTAGCTCCCACTTATAAGTGAGAACATGTGGTAGTTGGTTCTCTGTTCCTGCATTAGTTGGCTAGGGATAATGACCTCCAGCTCCATCCATGTACCTGCAAAGGACATGATCTAGCTCTTTGTTATGGCTGCATAGTATTCCATGGTGTGTATGTACCACATTTTCTTTAATCTGTCATCGATGGGCATTTAGGTTAATTCCATGTCTTTGCTATTGTGAATAGTGCTGCAATAAACGTACACATGCATGTGTCTTTATGATAGAATGATTTATATTCCTTTGGGTATATACCCAGTAATGGGATTGCTGAGTCTCATGGTAGTTCTGTTTCTAGCTCTTTGAGGCATCATCACACTGCTTCCACAATGGTTGAACTAATTTACACTCCCACCAACAGTGTATGAGCAGCCCCGTTTCTCCACAACCTCACCAGCAACTATTTTTTGATTTTTTTAGTAATAGCCATTTTGACTGTTGTTAGGTGGTATCTCATTGAGGTTTTGATTTGCATTTGTCTAATGATTAGTGATGTTGAGCATTTTTTCATATGCTTGTTGGCTACCTGTATGTCTTCTTTTGGAAAGCGTCTGTTCATATTCGTTGCCTACATTGCAATGGGGTTATTCATTTTTTGCTTGTCAATTTGTTTACTTTCCTTATAGATTCTGGATATTTGACTTTTGTCAGATGCATAGTTTGCAGATATTTTCTCCCATTCTGTGGGTTGTATATTTACTTTATTGATAGTTTCTTTGGCTGTGCAGAAGCTCTTTAGTTTAATTAGTTCCCATTAGTCAACTTTTCTTCTTATAATTGCTTTTGGCATCTTCATCTTGAAATCTTTTCCAGGTCCTATGTCCAGCATGTTATCTCCTAGTTTATCTTCCAGTGTTTTTATATTTTTAGGTTTTACATGTAAGTCTTTAATCTGTCTTGAGTTAATGTTTGCATATGGTATAAGGATGGACTCCAGCTTCAATCTTCTGCATGTGGCTAGCCAGTTATCACGGCACATAATCTGCTGTCCAAGTGCTTCCTGGGGGAACATGGGTTGTGCCTGCCTGCAAAGTTCAGGCAGATGTACATCTGCTGGACTGGAAGCTCTAGCAGGTATGGCTTGCCTGGCTATGAGAAAGTGGAGGTAGGTGTAGTTGTTCACCCTGCCATCCATGCATTTCCCTGGACAATAGGAGGCTGCACCCTCTTGCTGGCTTCACACAGAAGTGGGATTTCTGGGCTGGAGCCTTCAGCAGGTATTTCCCACTTGGCTACCAGTGATGGGGGTGGCTGGGGTTGCTTGCCATGCTGTCTGTTTTTTGCCTGGGGCAACAGGATGCTGTGGCTACCAGCTGAGTTCAGAGAAAAGTGGGACTGCTGGGCCAGAAGCTGGCACTGAACTTTGTCTGGTGATTGGGGGTGGAGCAATCTTATTGCTCCCAGGCACCATGACTGTGGACTCTGCTGGGCCTATGGTGCCCATGCTGGTCAGCTCCAAGGCCCAAGGCTTGTAGTGGTTCCCTTGGACTTGAGAGTTGCCCTTGCAAAGCATCCACATGGTGCTGTGCCTGTCTAATATTGCAGTGGGGAGTGTAGGGGGCCAGGCGCATTCTCCCATTCCTAGTCTTTCACAGTTCTCTTTGGAGAATGTGAATCCCCCAGAGGGCTCTCCCTCATTCACATTTCCCATGTTGGAGAGGTTCTCCTGGCGCCACGCTGAGTCTAGATGGGTTGGTACCCAGCTTTGCTCCTCCCTTGCTCTCTGTGTCACCCTGCTGCCTGATGGATCCCAATGTGGTTTCTCAGATGACTGGCCTGTAGGATCTGTGTTCACTAGCCCTTTTGTTTCCTCTCTGTGAGAGCAGCACACATGAGCTGCTTCTAGTCTGCCATCTAGAATTCATCTTAAAATGAATTATATAGTGTGTTTATTAACTTAAGTAGAAATAGATTACTTTCTGTCATTTACATTTTTGATTATTTCCAAATTGCTTATAATATGTTAGTGGAATAGAATAGAATTAAGAACAGAATTACACAGTTTGGTCTGATAGATTGGTAGTTTGATAGATAGATGTAAAAATGGATGGAATGCATGGTAAACTGGTTAGTACAATATCTGGTATGCAGTTTTCCCTCAATAAATATAAGTTGGGTATCATAGAGGTTTGTTGTTAAAATTATTGTATACACCATGGGGAGGTATTAATCTTAAAAATAAAACAATTATTGAGAAGTAGCGTCATTAAACAGAATATTTTGAAAATGTCATATGATGTTCTTCATTATGATTTAATTTATTTGCCTGAACAATCAAAATTGTTCATAAAAGAGGACTCAGCCTTGGACCTTTTAAACAGCTGCAATATAGAGCACTTTACTTAAAATACATATGCTGCAAGATACTTTTCAATTTAGGATTTGGAAAGGTGGTGGCAAAATTATAGTTATCAAAATGGTGATTTTCAATAAGTACTGTAATTAGCATGCATTGCTTCTAGAAATTATACTTTTTAGCAATGGGCCATGACTCACTTGTATTTGCATATAATCAGTGCATGTTAGAAATGAATGTCCATTTATCTTCAGAATACAAAGAATGAAAATGTGGCCTAAAAAGTGATGTTAATTAAAATACCTTATCAGATCCTACCCATATCTTATATGAAATGTTATTTTTGTGTTCCGCAGAGAACTCTGTTAATGTTTAGTTATGTGCTCTTTCAAATTTAGTCTGTGCCAGGCTGTGAAAGCCACTGGAGAGCTCCTTCTTTTCTCTGATTCCTGGACAAATAGACCAAGAATTCTCTTTAAGCATTTGGTAAATATGTGTAACTCCTCTTGAAGCCACCTGCCACACCCACGCCTGTTGTAAAGAAAGCACCATACTTCATCGCAACAGATTTTTCAGAGTGAACTCCATGGAATAAGTCTAACAATTGTTCAGAACTCGCAGCAGACAGCATTTGTTCCTTTGCTCTCAGAAGCTTTGGCTCAGATGCTTATCACTGTGCCTGAGCTTTCATATCTGCCTTTGGGTTCCTCTGATCTGGGGACCCTTCTTGACTCCTTTCCTGTCTTTTTTGAATCTTGTCTCTCTGGCATGATTTTGGATCAGCACCTTGTTTTAACTTCAGTACACCAGATATGCTGCATTCAGAGAATACTTCCATCTCTAGATCCAGAAAACAAGTTACCTCCTAGGAGACCAGCTTCCAATCTTCTCATGACAAGAGATATAAATACTGGGAATTCTTGTAATAAGAAATTTAATTTCAGCTTTTCTAACAAGTGACTCTCACCAACTTACCATTCCCACCAAATATACATATTCTAATCTTTGATAAAAGGTCGATGATATGTTCTTGCTTTTCTCTTTACATATATTTTATCAAAGTTTTCAGGTCATTGATTATTCTTTTATGTGCTCAAATATCCAACTTAATTTTAAATTACCCCAAACAGGAACTCCTTAAAAAAATCTCTCTGTTTCTGGGCAATATGGTGATGGAAAAGCTTGTAAATATCATCAGTCTTATCCAGCTCCTTCATTATCATGTAAGGAAATGAGCAGATTATCTTTATTAAAAGTATACTTGTTAAAACCTGATTGGGTGAGCCCAGTTAGCATTGATTTCATTCAAGATTTCAGAAGTTCTAGCATTTGTGAAACACTCATATTTAGATTAGACATTTAATAGATGTGTCTCATTTGCAAAGAAAACATTTTGCCAGACTTTCAGTAAAAGTGTATATGAAATCATCTAGAGATTATGACATTTAGTATGAATAGCCAAGATAATTCTTATGAATTTCTTTGAAAATGGGGAAAAAATGTCCAGTTGCATCCTTCTAAAGCTGGTTTCTAGAGATAATTTTTTTACTAATATTTTAAATAAACTACTTCTGATTGAATCTGTATACCCAAAAGTATGTGCTACTGCATTAATTTTCAGTTTAATTCAGGATATCACATTGAATAATATTATGTAGTATTGACAACTAGTATTATATTTAAAGCAGCCTACAGGACAAATGGATTCCTGTAGACATTTATTTAAGAACCTATACTTTTTCTCAGAGAGAAGTTAATTCTGACTGCTGGAAACAGAATGAAATCTTGTTCCACTGACTTAGTTTGCCTTCTCTATTTCCCATGTGGTGATTCTAAATTCTCTGCATTCTGCATCACTGTTCTCCAATTGATAAAGGAGTTCTGGTCCTTAGTTACCTTTTGCCCAGAATGTAATGTTTCTCCAAAGTGCTATCATAATGAAGTTAATTTTGCTCTCATAGTCTCAGGCTCTGTTTGTTGGCAACTGATAGGTGTGCTGGATATATCTTAGCTTCTTGAGTATGGCTGAGCAAGTGTGTCCCTGGCTCTATTTAAGTGCTTTTTAATATAAGAAAGTGATGCTTAAAGAATGAAAGTGATTTTTTAAATGATGTTACTTAACTCCTGAATCTATACTCAATTTACAATAATTTATTTTTCAAATTAGCAAAATGGTATAAGTTATTTTAAAAAATCAAACATTGCTGAAACTTATAAGGTGAAATAGTAAAATTTCAATTCCCTAGAGTAATTCCTTTAACAAACATTTTTCTATACAAGTTATATATCTATTAAGCTTGCTAGTAACATCTAAGTGTGAAGCAAACTTTTTTTTCCTCTCATAGCCTTTTAATTTGCTCAATGTGGTTAGTTTATTCACTGTATGGAAATGTAGGAAATTCCATGAATTTTGGTTTTATTTAAAGTAAAAAGATCAGTCTGGATTCAAAATACCCAATTTCATGTAATAGTCAATATATCAATATTCATTCAGAGATTAGATGTCACGATGCCTGGCTCCAGCTAAGGCTGCTGTGGAATAAGCCTAGAAAAACCTGGAGGAATCACGTCAGCTTATTCTCTCTCTTTCTTATGAATGTCCTCAATCAATCTCTCTCTAGCTTCTGCTACTGATTTCTTATGGTTTTGGCATTTTTGGTGGAGGAGTTAGCGGGGTTAAGGAAAATAAAAAAAAAAAAAAACATATTTGACAGGCACAGTTGTAAGCTAGCTTCATTTATAAATAATTTTTTAAAAAATCATCTGTGACTTCTTCAGAATTTCTCCACCCCCATAGCTGGGTGTTGAGAGATAATTCTCCATGGGTCTGTCCATCTTGTAAACAGAGGCACTGTATTAATATGTTCTGGACATCTTTTTTGTTATTGGACATCACATTTGTATAGCAAACAGCCTTGGAAGGGAGAGAGAGCGTCTATCTTCAGAACAAACAAAAGACATGCTTAATTCCTTTTATAAAAATGTTGGATTCCTTAAATTCAGAGACCTGTTCAAGGCTGGGTATGAATGTACTCTATCCGTAATAAAATAGATTGCTTGTTCAACCCCTGACATTATGACTCAATAGAACTGTTTTAATAGGCACCTCAGATAACAGTCACTTCATGCATCATGGTCAGGTGCTAAGTCTCTACTAAGGCCCATATGTGCTCCAGAGTTGTTCTCCAGTAAGGAGAGCATCACCGTGCTTCAGAAACTGGGGTAGAGCTTGCACTTTATGTAGTTATTTAATTACTCCAACACCATATAAAGCTCTCTTTCTCTGATGAATTTCCTTTGTACCCTTGTCAAAAATGAATTGACTATGTATATGCAGGGCTATTTCTAAACTCTGTTCTATTCTATTCTGTTGATCTATTTATCTTTATATCAATATCATATCATGTTGATTATTGTCACTATTACTGTCTATTAAGTTGTTCAAAATCAGATGTTGTAAGAAATCCAATTTTATTACCTCTTTTCAAAGTTGTTTGACAATTTTAGGCCTTTTGCATTTCCATATGAATTTTAGGATTGGCTTGTCAATTTTGACCAAAAAATTTGCTGAGACTTTTATTGGACTTCTGTTGAATTTACATTTGTAAATAACGTGATAGTGACTTTATATTTAGTATTTTGATCCATGAACACACCATACATCTCCATTTACTTATATCTTTTTAAGTTTCTTTCAGCAACAATTTGTAGTTTTCAGGGTGTAGATGTTTTGTCAGATTGAGGCTTAAGTATTACCTACTTTCAATTCTATTATAAATGGTATTGCTTTTGTAATTAAAATTTCTGACTGTTCATTTTTAGAATATATTAATCTTATATATTGATACAATATTGTATCAATTTAGCCAACATTGCTAAATTCCCTTTTTAATTCTACTTTTTGTCAATTTTATAGGTCTTTCTATTTAGATGATTATATCACATGAAAATAAAGACAGTTTTACCTCTTTTACAATCCTAGTGCCATTTATTTCTTTTTCTTGCCTTGTTACACTGACTACAACCTCCTGTCAAATGTTGAACAGAAGTGATTGTTCCTAACCTTAGTGGTATAGGAGCAAATATTTTGCTATTAGAAAGATATCAACTGTGAATTTTTTATAGATGCTCTTTGTCAGTTGAGACAGATCCTTTATATTCATAATTTGCTGAAAAAATTTTAAAATCAGAATTATATGTTGGCTTTTGTCAAATGATTTTCAAACATATTCAAGAAGATTGTATTATATGATCTTTTAACATTCAATATGTAAATATGGTGAATTACATCCATTATTGAATGTTAAACCAACTTTGCATTCCAAGCATAAACTCCACCCTTTAGTGTTGTGGTATGTTTTTACACAATGTTGAAATCAATTTATATAATTTTGTTAAGATTTTTGAATTTATGTTTATGTGAAATATTGGTCTATAGTTTTCTTTTAATATCTTTTCTGGTTTTCATAGCAATGCTGGCCTCAGGGAATGAGATGGAAAGCAGTCATCCTATTCAATTTTCTGGGAGAGTATGTTTAGAATTAGTATTATTTTCTACGAATGTTTTGCTGAATTCACTGATGAAAACATTTTTACCTGAATTTTTTTCAAGATAATTAGCTACAAATTCAATTTCCTTAAGAGATATAAAACAATTCAGGTTATCAATTTCTGTTTTAGTGAGTTTTGGAGATTTGTGTGTTTCATAAAATTTTCCTATTTTATCTAAGTTGTCACATTTATTGGCACAAAGTTGTTTATACTGTTATCTTATTATTCCTTCAATATTTGTATAATCTGTAGAAATATCATGTACCTCATCCTAACACTGGTAATATTTTTCCTCCCTTGTTTTTCTGATAAGTTTGGCTAGAAGTTTATCAATTTTATTTGCCTTCTTAAAGAACCAGCATTTGGTTCATAGATTTTCCTCAATTGTTTTTGTTTTCTATTTCATTGATGTCTTCTCCTGTTTTTAAAGTGTCTTTTCTTCTGCATATTTTGGGCATATTTGCTCTTATTTTCCCAGTTGTTTACCATAGAAGTCAAGCTCATTGATTTAAAAACTTGTTTCTTTTCTAATGTAGATATTTCTGTTATAAATTTTCTTCAAAGTACTGCTTTAGTGCTACTAAAGTATGTTTTCAATTTTCTGGAAGAGTTGTGTAGAATTGGCTTTTAAAAAAACATGGTATGTTGTGCTATTATTTTTAATGGATTCAAAATACTTTATTTTCTTTTACCTGTGTGTAACTTAGAAAAGTGTTATTTAGTTTTTAAATATTTGGGGATTTCTCAGACATATTTCTGTTACTGATTTCTAGTTTAATTCTATTGTGGTCAGAGAAAATACTTTATATGATCTGAATCTTTGAAAATTATTAAGACTTATTTTATGTTTGACAATATGCTTTATGTTGGTAAATGTCCTCTGTGTACTTGAAAAAAATATATTTTCTGTTCTTATTTTGTTTTATTCATGTTAATTAGGTCAAATAGAAAATGTTGCTCAAGCCTTCTATATCTTCACTGATTTTGAACATACGCTCTCTATAAATTATGGTAAGAGAGGTGCTGAAGCCTCCAATTATATTTATAAGTTTATTTCTAAAAGTATTTCTGTTAGGTTTTGCTTCATAAATTGGAGCTATATTATCAGGTGCATAAATGGTTAGGTATATTATGTCTTCTTGATAAATTGACCCTTTTATATTTATGACATGGCCTTCTTGGTCTCTGGTAATATTATTTTCTTTGAAATATATTTTGTCTAATATTAATATAGCATTCAAACTTTCTTTTGATGTTAGCATAGTATTGTTTTTGCAGCCTTTTATCTTTAACTTTTTTATGTCTTTATATTTAAAGTGGATTTGTTGTAGGCAAATAATGAGTATTGCTTTGTG
Source organism: Homo sapiens (assembly GCF_000001405.40). NCBI lineage: Eukaryota > Metazoa > Chordata > Mammalia > Primates > Hominidae > Homo > Homo sapiens. The sequence continues at coordinate 119,936,109 of NC_000005.10, forward strand.
TCACAATCTCATAATTTCTACCTTTTAATTGTGGTGCGTTTGGACTATTTCATTTGGTATGTTATTGATATGATTAGGTTTAAGCCTACATTTTGCTATTTGCTTCATCTCTCCCTTGTTCCCCTTTTTCTTTTTTCTGCTTTTTTAAATTAATTGAGCATTTAAATTATTTTATATTATCTCCTTTGTTGACTTATAATTTAAAACTACATCTTTTAAATATGTGAATTAATTCTTTATCATTGGCACTTAGACAGCATGGGTAGCTACAAAATAAAATTTTGTTAGGGCAAAAATATGACATACTGTTTCTTACAAGGCCATAGGGGTATTGAAAGCCTCTAACCTGCTTATTCAAGATCCACATGATTCCTTTCTCTTCTCTCCAAATTCCATGATTTTAATTGCCGAATTAAGATGAACTTCATTGCCTAATCAGCTTTCCCAGGATGTTTGTGGGTTGATAATAGTTCTTGTTCTTGTCTTAATATTCCAGGTTTGAAAAATGAGCTGGGCAACTAATGTTAACTGCTCTGATACTCATCTCTTTTACCACCTTTCCCCAGCATCACTAGTATCTGAATTGCCAAAATTCAATTAAAACTAAAATTTATTCTTTTTATTCGAGTTGTTGCTTACAGTTTGTAGTGGACATTTTTGCCTTGTTACAGCTTAGATTCTAGTGATGATATACTATTTTACATATAGTGTAAGAGTTTTACAACAATATGCTTTTATTTCTCATCTCCTAAATATTGTTTTAGTTTCCTGTCTTTCCTTCTACATTTTGTAAACTCCAGACATATCACATCTTTATAATTTTTGTTTAAACTCTATATTTTAAACAGTTTTAATAATTCTTAAGGAAAATTATGTTTATTCAGTGAGTTACCATTTCTGGTCTTCCATATTCCTTTCTGTAGAGCATTCTGACAGGATTACTTTCTTTAACATTTCTTATAATACAGTGTAGTTCTGCTGATGCTATTTCCATTTAGGTTTTGTATTTTATTTCCCTTTTGTTATTCAAAGAGATTTTAGCTGTGTTTAGAATTCTTGGCTGACAATTTTCCTTTCCTTTTAGTATTTCCAAATGTTATTCCAGTATCTTTTTATTTGAATTATTACCTGTTAGAAGTCTGATATCATTCTTATCTTTCTTCTTCTGTACATGTTTTTTCTCTTTCTTTAAGATTTTAATTTTTCATTAGTTTTACTCAATTTGATTATTAAGTGCTATTGAGTACTTTTCTTCCTATTTTTATACTTGGAGGTTTCTTGCAGTTTCTAGTATTCATGATTTATGGTTTTTATCAGATTTGTAGTGTTTTGACAATGATTTCTTTAATTTTTGTCTTCTCTCATTCTTCTCTTCTTTGGAGGATTCCAATTTTGAAGGATTCCAATCCTTCTTTGGAGGATTCCATATGTTAGGCTGCTTAATATTTTCCTAAATGATCTGATTATTTTTTAAAGTATTTTTTACACTTTGTGCTTCATTTCAGATCCTATCCTATCTACTGCTATTCTTCAATTTTATTAATTTTCTTCTGCATGATTTCATTTGATGTTGATTCTATCTGCTGTATTTTTCACCTGCATTGTGGTTTTCATCTCTAGAAGTTCAATTTAGGTCTTTTTACATATTTCATGTCTCTACTTAACAGGTTTAATATTTTATGTAGCTTTTAGATACATGTACATATTCCATGTCTCTACTTAACAGGTTTAATATTTTATTTAGCTTTTAGATATATGGAATTCAGTTATTAATGGTGGGTGTAATGTTTTTGTCAAATAATTCAATCATGTATGTCATTTTAGGGTCTGCTTTTATAGACTGATTTTTCTTCTAATAATTGGTCTTATTTTCCCATTTTTTTGATTGCCTGGAAATTATTTATTAGATGCAAAAAATGTAAACTGTACCCTGCTGAGAAATGGATAGTTCTGTATTCTTATACAAAAAACAAATGTTGACCTTTGTTACCTGACCTGGTTAAATATTAAAATAAAATAAAGTTAAAATAGATGGATTATTTTGAATCTTGCTTTTAAGCTGTTAGATGGAACCAGGACAGCATTTATTTTAGGGCAATTTTGCCCCACAATTGAGGCAATTTCCTTTTGTGGCTTTATCTAGTGCTTGATGAATTATGAGGATTTCTACTCTGGCTGTTGAGAATGGGAAATATTGCTGTCTCTGTGTAAGTTTCATAGCTTTCAGCCTCTAATCCTTTTTGTTGGTTGTTTCCTTAAGCAGATTAATCACAAGTGTGTACTGATTAGTACCGAGCTGGAGACTTGCATTTAACCACTAAAGCTCTTCCAAACTCTCTCTCCTTTAAGTTTTCTCTTGTCTTATTCTCTGTTATTTTTGAGCCAGTTTTGCCTCCTTATATTTCATATTTATTCCCGCAACTCAGAGAGATCCAGTGGTCTCTGTGAATCTCTTCTTGGGTTTTCTGGCCCTGCACTGTGGTCTGTAAATTATCTGTAGGTAGTGAACTGGACAATTATAATTTTCTCATAAATTGTCTCACATCTCTTGAGATCACTGACCTTTTACCCTTGTTGCTGTAGTCTGGAAAACCATTGCTTCAATTACTCTGTCTGGTATTTAATTGTTTTCTGGCAACAGAGTAACTCTGGTTCTTGTTACTCCATCTTGACTAGAAGTAGAAGTCGTGGAGTTTGTACGTGGAGTCTCTTATTGGGTCTTGATAAGGAACCAATTCTTATCCATTACAGATATTTCTAGCATCATTGAAACCTCATTGGCCCAAGATATAGGGAAGCTTCCACCATAGCTAGTCTTGTTGCAAAGTCTTTTCTTACTCTCTGCTCTACTCAAAAGAGATAAACTTGTGGGTCATGCAATAAGTGGATCAAAGCAATATTCCCATGTGCAGTGTATTCTACCTCAAAAATGGACTCAAGTCCACCAAATGCTTTGCCACTTTTGCAATGGTAGGAGGCATGGCTTGAATAATTTTCTGCTTTTCTTTATGAGGGGTATTTTGGCATTCTCCAGTCAAGTGGATCAATACACAATTCACTGATAAGTCAGGCTCATGAATCTTCATAGTGTTTAATCTCAGACCCTCTAGCTTGTAAGCACTAGGGCATATAAATTACTTGACATTTGTTGCTCACTACATCCAATTAGCTTGATATCATTAACATAATGGATCAACCTGATGTTTTGAGGAATATCAAGTCAGTCAAGATCCCTATAGACTATGTTATGATAGAAAACATGAGAGTTAATATAGGTTTGTGGCAAAACAGTGAATGTGTACTGCTTTTGCCTTGAAAAAACAAACTGGTATTGATTATCTCTACCAATGGGTAGGAAAGTAAGCATTAGCTCAATTAATAGCTGTATGCTGATCACCAGGTGCTGCATTAAACGTTTTCGTAAAAATTCCACATCCTGCATTGTAGCTTTGCTTGGTTGACTGAGGCTACTAGTTGATTATATTTATGCTAGTTCATTATCTACTCAAAGTACTTTTTTTCAGGGACAAAATACAATAACTATAAGATGATTTGATTGAGACTATCACTCCTACATCCTCTAAGCTTTAATAGTAGCTCTAATCTTTGAAAGTATGCTCAAGATGCAGTTTTGTTTTTGATTTATTCTTTTGGCTCCAGTACAGAAAGTGGTTTTGGGGCCAGATACATAGAGTATTCATTCCAATTAGATATGTGGGGACTAGTATATGATTACAAAGTGAGTCCTTAGACCTGTTGGGCCTATTGTGAGACAAAATTGAACAAAAACTCCATTTATTACCCATCCTCTATAAACCTAATACATGATGTGAAGAAGCATGATGACATTTTGAGTGCTTTGGTACCAGTGCTAGCTCAGTCCTGTGGCATGTAGTTCTGTGTCTACAAGTCTGTCTCTACAGACTCACCATACAGAGGTTACCTGGGAAATTTCAAGAACATAAGCCCGAGATTGAAGTTATTTGAAAAACCTGGAGAATGTCTTACTTTTTCCGGTGTTGGAAAATCTCCCTTTGTCTTCTGGTGCTTCTCTTAGAAGCAAAGCTATTGACTGATAGTATTGCCTGACAGTAGCTCTTTAAGATAGTATTGAGTGAGAGCTATTGCCTGACAGTAGCTCTTTCAGACTGTTTGTCACATAGCCATGTTATTCTCTAATTGTGTAGGCTAGAATTTTTTCTGTCTTGGTGGCACCTTATAGCTACTGTTGGATTACTAAGAATAACATTTTATTTTGACTATTTCTGCATGTCCTGAACTTAGAACTGAGTGCCTTTCTTCTTGCCATGACTTCTTGGTTTGAGCCCACTCATTTTCTTATTCTTTTATTTGCCATTCCAGCAACCTCTTCACTGGTAGCATCAATCAAAGATGGAAACTAATAAAAACTATAGTCCTGAAATGTGCCTTTCACTTTCTCTCCCTACTTCAACTTCTACCATTAGCCTCTTTCTTTTGGGTGTATCTGGAGACTAAGCCACTTTTATAGGCATTCAACACAGCATTGGTTTGGGGTCTTTTAAAGATTTCATTATGCATAAAATTCACATATTGATATAATGTTAACTCAAAAGATTATAATATATTGTGAGTCCGAAAGAAGAATCATTTACGTAAGATGCAGTTTGATATTGTCTTTGACATTCTCCATTTTCAGGAAAGTTATTTTGCCTCCTAGACCTCTTTTTAAAAATCATCTTACTTAATTGATTATTTTCAGAATAAAATTAATATATTTTGAAAAATTAATTTTATTTTAAACAGAACCATGTATTGTGATACTGAGGATGTTTTGATTAGGGTTACTAAGTCTCAAAATAATACAAAACAAAGATAAATACTCAGATTCCGTTAACATTCATATAATGTCTTTCATTAACTTAGCTCATTATTATTATTTCTAATGATTATTTTTACTTAGTGAACTTGAACAGGGTTTTTTTGTCTGTTAAATAAAAGTGATACCTGTCTCCCAGGTGTACTGGGGAATTTAAATGTAAAATCGCTGAGCGCATTAAACAGCATGCCATAAGATTTCAGTATATGTTATCTTCCTGTTTCTCTCCCTCTTCCCCCTTAATATCCAAAATGAGATCATCAATCCTGAGAGCTATTGTCTTAACTACTCAGCTTATGTTACCAGATAGTTGCATAAGGAATTTGATGATGGACTGAAAGGCATGATTGTGAAGCCATTAAAATAAATCCCCAAATGTGCAAAATAGAAAGCAGAAGAGAGAGAAGGGAGAACTAAATTATTTCATCAATGGATCATGTTATCTGTGTGATTGGGAGTCAAGTTTATTTCTTTATAATATTATAGACAGTTCATTAAGCCTCTTTCTTTCTGTTCTGCTAGACTATTCACTATTAGGCTCATAAAGTCACTACCAGAGCTTTCTAATTTTTTTCCAAAAGTGTTTTTGCAGCCAGCCTTTTTATTCTATCTACATTAATAACAAATTTAGTTTCCCTGAAGCAGTTCTTCCATATACAATTCTCGCCCACCCAAACATTTATTGGTCCTCCATTCCCAACAGAATAAAATCTAAATAAGTTAGCCTCAAGACCCTCCTAGAACATCCTAGTGATGTCTACCTTGTATTTGCTTCTCTAGATCCATTCTCCACTCTTTTTCAGTTACTCTTTGGCTCTGGGTGACTGATCTGCATAAACTCCATCAATGAGACCTCCAGTGGGAAATAGAAACAAAGGAAGAGGGTCAGGTCAGGGAATTTATTTACCCAGCTTCCTCTTTTCTACAAAAAGTCATGCATCTTGTCAGGCACCCCACTCCCCAAGGCTCTCTCCTTCTGGGGTCTGGAAATTCCCACACCTCACTCCATCCTTCAGGATGAGGGGTGGAAGTGGTTTTTCCTAGCACTGGAATACTGCCATATTCTTGTGGCTTTCCTACACTCTGCACATACCTTTGTAAATGTTCCCTGTATCAAAACTCAACTCGAATAACCCAATTTCAATGTACCATCTGTTGCCTGGCTGTTATACCTCCCAAATTTATCTCATGCCATACACTCTTTTCTTTAAAGGCAGATGGTTTATTTATTGCAGGCATAGTGGTTCAGAGCACCCAATTTGGAATGATAAAGTATTGGGTTTGAATTCTGATTTTGCTACTTATCAGTTCAAAGGCTTTGGTCAAGTTATTCAGCTTCTCTGAGTCACAGTCTCTTCATCTATAAGACAGGAATAATAATAGTAGTCACCTTAAAGAGTTATTGTGAAAAATAAAAAAGTTTATAGATCTTTAATAAAACAGATGCTGAAGAAATATGGTTTTGGCCATGAATGTTTCTTGAGCATGTATACCTCATGATTTTTGCTGCCACATCTCTTTTGCTATTTTCCCCTCCACTTAAGTTTATCAGTTTTAGGTCTAATTAAGAACCTAGTTATTCTATAATCTCTTGTGTTTCTCAATTTTTATGACTCTTGCTCCCTGGAACTCTCCTTTGTGTTTTGATTTGTATAGGTCTCCTCTCCCTAATTACATTGTTAACAATCTGATGACAAAACTTTTCATTTCCTTGTATCACCTCTAACTAGCTCAGTGTTGGGAACATAGCAGCAGCTTAACAAATATTTGCTTGGTTATTTAATTTTAATCATTTAATTTCAATTAAGGCAGGTCAATTTTATAATGCAATTAATTTCAATTAAGGTAGATAGGCAAACTGCATAATGCAAATCTCCAGAATCGATTTTTTGATTATCACAGTGCCCATTTCAGGGTAGGTACTTATTTAATATTTGATGATTTTTGGTAATTATTATACAGATAAATTATCTGTAATATCATCTAAGTGCCTCACTGATTACTGTGTAGACATAACCTATACCTGTAATGAGATCCTTTTTATTAGCTATCAAAGGTTAATGATCTAAGCAGGTTAAAAAACACAAAAAGGAAATAGTATTAATGTCAATATATTTGTTATTAATTCTTTTGTCATCTTTTAAATATACCAGATTGTAGTCTCATTAGAATACTAGAACTTTGTTATATTTTATATTGTACTCACTGTGGAGTACTTATGGGTCACTCAAATAACATTAAACTACCGAAGGGCTCAAACACAAGAATCAACTTTAGTTTCTTGTGAGCAGTGTAACTTACCACCTCTCTTTAAATATTGCATTTAATCTTGTCTTAATAAAAAAATTAAATAAAGTTATAGCCTGTAGGTGGCATTTGAGTCCACTAATCACTGTCCTGTGCTTATCTTGAATCTTTATATTGGTGATTCCAGTACAGCAGCATGTCTGTAACTAGTGTTGGCTTCTCAGTATGATGATGAAGTTTAGTGATATCTTAGACCATAAGCTACTATAAAAAATCCTCATTGAATCTTGCCAGATTCCTGTTGGAATGCGGCAACTCCCCAAACTTCTGTCCTGTTAGTAGAAATGAAGTATAGTACAAAAAAGCAATGAGGCCTGCCTGACTGATGTACATGTCCCTGACAGTGATCTTGGTGGTGTTTCATGGGAATTAAATGTAAGTTGATTGTGAACAGTGAGTTAGCTGATGATTAGAAAGAGTTGGGGTTGGTTTCTTTAGAGGCTAAGAGCACAATAAGATGAGTCTTGTTTGGTTTTTGATGTAACACATTAAGAGATTTAGGACTTTTAGAATTAGGATATTAATTGTCCTAATCACCCAAGGTAATATTTTTAAGCAATTGTCCTAATCACCCAAGGCAATTGCTTAAAAATATTACCTTCTCCTAATTGTCCTTATCACCCAAGGTAATATTTTTAAGCAAAAGTAAATGAAAAAGTAAAAATTAAAAGATGTATTTATGTGCTGAATGACTTTATGAAGATAGTTTATTTTGTTCTTTTTATTGACATGACTTATTTTCTTCTCATACATAGCCTTTATATGAAAGAGGATGAGAGATGCCCATTTTGGAGTATTTATAGGCCTCCAAAATAAAGTTAAAGTATAGGGGCCCAAGTACAAAAACCAGCTTTAGTATCTGGTAAGCAGTATAACTTACCACCCTTATTTAAATGTTGCCTTTAATTGTTTTGAATCTTGAACCTAAAAATCCTCAGTCAGTCTTTTACCTACTTTTTAGATTCATACAAGATGTAAAAAAGAGTCTTTGGGCAAACTCACTGTTCATTTACTTTCTGTCGTATTCACATGTACACCACTAAAATCCCTTCTTGGAAGTTGGGGAGAAGTGGGTTCATGTATAATACCCTTCCCTCTTCACCTCTCTACCTGTCAGTGTAGAAATATTGCAGGTACTCACAAGTATGGATATTGTCTGCTTTTGTCTAATCCACTGGTACTTGTGCTGTTTTGAATATAATCTTTGGGTTGTATTGAATGCAGAAAATGATTGCTTTTTAAAGATCCTTCATAATTGGAACCTTAGATATTTAGATCAAAATCAGTATAATATTAATCTATCCAGTTTACTCTCAAACTGTCAAACACTTAGTTTGTCTTTGTTTTTTTGGTACCAACAATATGAATTACATTACTATTAGTTGATAAGGTTTTTCAGGTAAACAATTTGAATAAATATATGAGTTTTCAATTTCTGATGATATAGTGGTCCAAAGACCCTTAACAAACCTTTCACTTCAAAATAATTAGAACATTGAAAAAACATTAGCAAATATATTAAATTTTTTTTTTTACTTTGAAGTTCAGGGGTACATGTGCAGGTTTGTTACATAGGTAAACTTGAGTCATGGGAGTTTGTTGTATAGATTATTTCATCACCAAGCTATTAATCCTGGTACTCATTAGTTATTTTTCATTATCCTCTCCCTCTTCCCACCTTCCACTCTCTGAAAGGCCCCAGTGTGTGTTGTTCCCCTGTATGTGTCCATGTGTTCTCATTATTTAGCTCTCACTTATAAGTGAGAACATGTGGTACTTGGTTTTCTGTTTCTTTGTTAGTTTGCGAAGGATAATGGCCTCCAGCTCCATCCATGTCCCTGCAAAGGACATGATTTCATTCTTTTTTATGGCTGCATAGTATTCCATGGTGTATTGAGCTGACAAGAAAATAAGGAAAATATTCAGAGACTAAAAACAGAATGTAAGCAGAAGTTCAGAAAGTTCAGCAAGCACAGAATAGCTGGCCATACTGGGGCAATTATCAATTAATGATAACTCTGAAGATCCATTTTCAGAGGTTGGGGAAAAGAATGTAAACCCGGCCTGCATAAGTTAGGGAAACTGAAAGAAGATTATTCCCCAGAGCCAGGACCCAAAAAGCTATATCCTCAGTAGAAGAAGACATTCACCCACCAATGGAGGTAGGAAGGACACTCCCTTGTTTCAACCATGATGGTGTAGAAAGAAGAAAGTTTGTAACTCAAATCCTGTCCCCACATGAATTTATGGCCCAAATTCACACTCTCAATCTGGAAACATTCAACTTCATCTAAAACTTTATTTGAGGTGATATTTGATTAGGAGTATAGCTGAAGAGCTGACAGAAACAAGAACAGATTCTTTAGTAAAGAATGCAATTTCAATCCAGGCTATAATATTTGCCAAAATGAAAGTCTACCTGAAATTTTGAACAGAAAAAATCTACAGTAACAGTTGGAAACCTCAATACCCCATTCTCAGCATTGGACAGAACATCTAGAGAGAAAATTAACAGAGAAACATTGGATTTAAACTGCAGGTTAGATTAAATGGATGTAACAGACATTTACAGAGCATTTCATTCAACAGCTGCAGAATATGCTTACTTATAAGCACATGGGACATTCTCCAGGATAGACCATATGTTAGACCACAAAACAAGCTTCAACAAATTTTTTAAAATTGAAATCATGTCAAGCATCTTCTCATACCACAATGGAATAAAACTAGAAATCAAAAACAAGAGGAAGTTTAAAAACTGTACAAATACATGGAAATTAAACAATGTGCTCCTGAATGAGCACTGTGTCCATGAAGAAATTAGGAAGATGAAAAAATTTCTTGAAACAAATGAAAATGTAAATACAATGTACCAAAACTTATGGGATACAGCAAAAGCAGTGGTAAGAAGGAAGTTTACTACAATAAATACCTACTTCAAAAAAGTAGAAAGATTTCAAATAAACAACCTAAGGAACCTGAAGGAACTAGGAAAGTAAGAATAAATGAAACTCAGGAATTAGTAGAAATAAAGAAATAATAAAGGTCAAGAAGCAGTAAATGAAATAGACACTAAAAAGAAACACAAATAAATAAAATAAATGAAATTAAAAAGTTATTCATTTGAACAGGTAAACAAAATTGATAAACTCCTAGCTGGACTAAGCAGGAAAAGAGAGTAGACCCAAATAAGTAAAATCAGAAATGAGAAAGGAATTATTACAACTGATACCACAGAAGTACAAAAGATCATCAGAGACCATCATGATAAACTACACACTAACATTAGAAAACCAAGAGGAAATGGATAAATAAAATCCAAGATTGATACAAGAGGACAGAGAAAACTTGAACAAGACTAATAACCAGTAAGGAGTTGGATTCGGAAGTAAAAGATCTCCCAACAAAGACAAACTCAGGACAGGATGGCTTTAGTGCTGAATTCTACCAAACTTGTAAAGAAGAACTAACACCAAATCTTTTCAAGTGATTCCAAAAAATAAAAAATGAGAGAATTCATTCTAACTCATTCTATGAGGCCGGCATTAGCTTGATACCAAAACCAGAGAAGGACACAACAACAAAAAAAGAAAATTACAGGCCACCATCCTTGACAAACATAGATGCCAATATCCTCAACAAAGTAGTATCAAACTGAATCCAATAACGTGTTAAAAAGATAATACACCATGCTCAACTGGGATTTATTCCAGAGATGCAAGGATGGTTCAACATATGCAAATCAATATATTGCGATTCATCGCAAAACAGAAGTAAAAACAAAAACCTTATGATCATCTCAATAGATGCAGAAAAAGCATTTGAAAAAATTCAACACCCCTTCATGATAAAAAAAACCCCTCACAACTAGGCACAGAAGTAATATACATTGAAATAATAAAGACCATATATGACAAAGCCACAGCCAACATCGTACTGAATGGGGAAAAGATGAAAACAATCCCCCTAAGAACTGAAACAAGACAAGGATCCTTAAAAAAAGGCACAATGACTGGGTGTGGCATGATGGCTCATGCTTGTAATCCCAGCATTTTGGGAGGCCAAGGTGAGTGGATTGCTTGAGTCCAGGAGTTTGAGACCAGCCTGGGTGACATAATAAGACCTTGTCTCTAATTTGAAAAAAAAAAAAAAAAAAAAAAACTGGCAAAAGAGAATACATATAGTGTTACTCCATTTTGTTAAGTGTAAAATTAAATAATGTATTATTTGGAATTCCATAATTATGTAGTAAGCCTACAAAGATTAGTAAGGGAATAATAAATAAACAATTCAAGTTGATGGTTACCTTAAGTGGCAAGGAGAAAAGGAGCTGGGGTTGGGAATGGGTACACTCAGGGCTTCAAAGACATTTGTAGTGATTATTTCTTAGGCTGGGTGGAGGGTATGCAATATTGATTTTTATTGTTACTTTAAAAATGTACATATATACATATATTAAACATGTACAAATATTTTCTATATATAGTTAAAAATATTTTTTTCTAACTGAAAATGGGAGCAACGCTGTGTTATTCCTTCCAATACTGATAAAGTTGGGGAATCATTTAACATGGGCTTACAAACAGCCAACATGAGGCATTACTGAGAATTCTTAGTTATTATTGGAGATTAAAAGAAATTTAATGTCCTATTAATGGATATATAGGGGCCAAGAAAATATTTTTAATTTTTTAAAAATAGTAAAGATGATATATAACCTCGAATATTTTATATCAAATTGCTAAATTTTTTAGCTTTGGCTGAAAGTAGACAAGAAGAATGGCTGCAATCATAACAAAATAAGGGTTGAGTTGTTTGTTGGGTTATCCTTCCCACTATTTGGAATGTCACACTAGATCTATAACCTTCTGTGCTTAAACCAAGCCGGAGATGGCTGCTCAGGGCTCTCTCATCAGCAATCAGTGACCTGCTTTCCAATTGCCTTCCCCAAATACCTCCCTAGTGTAACTATTTCTCCAGGGAGAGCTGTGTCTTTATTGAGCCCAGAAAGCACTCATCTGGCCAGATTGGAAGTCTTCAAAATGTCCCCAGTGGGAAGCTACCCAAGGAGAGTAGGTACTCTGAAATAATTGTGTAAGCACCAGGCTACACACGGGTGTTAGCTGTACCAAAGCCAAAGAATGAAAGGACATTTCCAGAAACACATTTTCCAAGCCTTTGAATGGCTTTGCCATAACAACCCAATCAGCCTCATATTGTCTGTCTGAGAGAAACCACTGTCATTAGCAGAAAAAAATGAATAGGGCTTATACTTTCTCTGTATTAGAGTCCATTCCGTTTAAAATTATCAATTTGTTTGGCCATTTGCAAATAGTTTCTCTGATTCAATTTCTTCTCTGGCTCGCGGGAGTGGTGATTGCTGTAATAGATAACTCCCCTCCAAAGAGCCTGAAATAACCTCGCTTGGGATCAATACTCAGTAAAATTAAAATTGAATTTCTTTGGTGAGGTTTAAATTAGATTGATGTTTGTAAGGAAATTCATGTATTCCTGCACAGTATGTCATAGATATTGAATATATTTTTTATTTTAATTTTTCAACATTCTGATATTATTAATAAAATATGTGTTTATCATATATGGCAGCTTATATAAAAATATTTCTCTATGTTTTCTAAAAACATAAATGGAAAAGAATACAAAATAAAATCAGAAAAAAAGAAAAAGAGAAAAAGGCATCAAGAAACAATATTGGAATCTTTTCCATTAACTCATAGAGAAGATAGCCCCTCCCCACAGGGGATTAAAATAGTTTTCAAATAGACCTCAAGACATCCCAAATCCTTATGAGGAAATGTTCTATAATGATGGATTACCACATCCTTTCTGGTTTATTATATGATTGTGGATAAGCCATTTAAGCTATCCTCTGTTCTCTCTGCTGTCCCCTTGAACAAGGTCTAAAATGTATTGACATAGATGTTTGACAGTTGAAAAAGAGGATGAATGATTTTATAGTACTCCTTGGTACTTTTGATTTAAAGGGAAATCTTAAACCTCTGTTAAGCTTTAAAATCTTTGTCTCTCTGTTGGTTTCTATCATTCCTAACTCTATAGATCTAACCATCACAATACCAAGTTGCTGATATCCTCACAGAAATTATACATAATTCTTTCTTAGGAAACACAAATGTTATTATATATCTTTTGCAACATATTTCAAGAAATAAAAGAGATATCTTAAACACTGAGTTGAGGATTCTATAAAAGCACATACATGAACATAGTTTAAAAGCAACTTTGTAATTTATGAAGATTTATATTAATACAAATTGTGCAGTATTGTCAGAGGCATTTGAACCAGAGCAACTCCATCTTAAATAGGGGCTGGGTAAAATAAGACTGAGACCTACTGGGCTGCATTCCCAGAACATTAGGTATTCATAGTCACAGGATGAGATAGGAGCCAGCACAAGATTCAGGTCACAAAGACCCTGCTGATGAAACAGCATGCCATAAAGAAGTTGACCAAAACCCACCAAAACCAAGATGGCAATGAAAGGGACCTTTGGTCTTTCTCACTGCGCATATGCTAATTATAATGCATTAGCATGTTAAAAGACACCCCCACCAGTGCCATCACAGTTTACAAATGCCTGGAAGTTATCCTATAACCTGGAGGTTATATATCCAATGTTACCCTATACAGTCTAAAAAGGGGAGGAACCCTCAGTTCCAAGGAAATTCCCATGTCTTTCCTGGAAAACTCATGAATAATCCACTCCTTGATTAGCATATAATCAAGAAATAACTATACATACACTCAGTCAAGCAGCCCATACCGCTGCTCTGCCTATGAAGTAGCCATTCTTTTATTCCTTTACTTTCTTAATAAACTTGTTTTCACTTTACTGTATGAGTCACCCAAATTCTTTCTTGCACAAGGTCCAAGAACCCTCTCTTGTGGTCTGGATCGGGACCCCTTTTGAATATTGCTTTCCTGTGTTTTCAGAAAAAAATGTGTTTCACTTTAAATTTATTTAATAGTGATTGCTCAAAAATAGGTATTGAGCCCTTACTCTCTACTAGTCAGTCATTGATAGATTCTGAGGGAAAAATAAATACAACATATTAGTTGTACCTTCAAGAAGTTCATAGAGTCTTGAGGAGCTTAAACAATGACAATAAATTAATGATATAATAAGTGTGTTATATTAGAGTTTATTCAAAGCTCATGAGAACACAACTGGGGAAAGCTGTCTTCCTAGAAACCAAAGAATCAAGGAAAATTGTAGAAACTTGAAGTTTGCAGTTGGTCTTCAAAGACACAAGCAAGAAATTGTGGAGGAGTTGAGGGGCAATCACAAAAGACTTTTTTACATTTTTTTTTGCTTTATTTCATTTGCAAATGGACACGCCAGAATAATGATTGACAAAATGAGTGGAAGCTCCTTGAGGCTCTGCAGAACTCTTCATTTATATGTGGTGTTGTTGTCCCCACTCACAAAAGGGTTTAGTGTGGTTTGGTGTTTCTGACTCTACCATATGCAGAATTTACACTCTAATTAGCTTCTTAGGTTTGTGATTTGAACTAGTAAGAGACCTTAAACTATATTTTTTAACTTATCACTATATCTACATGATAGAATACATTGTACTTTATATGACCTAAAAGAAATACTTTTTAACAAGTAAGCCAGGTATCATTAAAATGTAGTCAGTTCAAAAAATATTTATTTTAATAACTGAAAAAGCAGAGTATAATATTTCATATTTAGTATATCAACCATGTAAAATATGTGTAAAACTAGAAAGAAAAATGACAAACTAGTAGTGGTTGCCTCTGGGATGTAGGATTATGGTTTTTTCTTCCATATTTTTCTGAACTTTATAATTTTTCTACTAACAACACTAATTTCTTTTAGAGTAATAAAAACTATATTTTAAACATAGAAACTTTTCAATTCAACATCATCTAATTATTTCTCTCCTGGAAGTGGAGATAATTATTTTACACCTCCATTAGATGGGAGCAGCAGAATTTCGGATAGTCACAGGCAGCATTGTTTTAAATCATTTTGTTTTCTCTCATTTGCAAAGACAAGGCTACCGTCCTTGGCTAGTTTTGTTTTTTCTTCCTTCCTCTGGGCACCTGAAGATTATTTTATGTTTAAAGTGTTTAACTTTCTAGTCTGTTATCACGTATGAGCTAATATTTAGACTCTGAGCTGACCTGCAGTGTGGCTCAAAGAGGCAGCTACATTCTGGAGCCTGCTCTACAAGTCTGTTGGTTACAGTGGTTATGCAGCCAGCCTACAATTATGCTTCGGGCATTGTTTTTGCAGCCTTCCCTTCTGCAATTGCACCTTTCAACTTCATTGTGTATCAACTGCTTTGGTGCTCTTTTACTTTCTACCCTTTGCCAGTAGGCAAGCAAGGCCAAAGTAAGAACTTTCCCCATTTTATGTTTGAAGAATTCTCTGCGGAAGCAGCTAGTTAACATCTCACTAATGTAGTAGTGCTTAGGAAGTAAAACTGAGAGCCCTGCACTTTGGTATGCATCTTGATGTCACAGTCTCTTTTCAGAGGTGCCAGCCTCCTAGTTTTAATTCTCTCCCTCTTTGATGATTAAAACACCATCTGGCCAGTGTATAGCTTTAGTAGCTGAATTCTATAGCAGCTTTCCTCATATACCTTGGATAAAATTCTTCAGTTGCATGTAGGTGTTCTTTAGTGTGGGCTAGCATAGGCTGATTGCTTCAGTACCTGGTAATGAAGCTGTGTTTAAGGGGCAGAGAAGGAACACTACCCACCAGTGGAAAGTCATGTAATTGCTGTGGGGGTCTTACTTCATAATATTGCTGCAAAGAAAATAAGGCAGAAGCAATGTATGTTGCTGAAGAAGGCATACAGAGAAGCGATTTCCTCAATCCTTCTAAGGCTTATCTGACCTCCCAATGTGCTGTTGGATGTTAGGTGAGACAGGAGTCTGGGTGAGCACAGCCCATTCCACAAGAACTCCTGGAGAAAGAAAACAAAGATTCATAACTTGAGTCAGATGTGGTGCTCTCTCTCTTTCTTTTTTTTCTCACTCCATATATATATGTATAAATTAATTTATATATAAGATATATTTATTTATGGATTCAATTCAGAAGATCTATTTTTGACACCAAACGCCATGCCAAGAGAAGAGCTATAAAATGAGAACTGTAATTTAGTTATTTTTTATGAGTTAGCTCTCTAGGCAGACCCTCTTCCTATATTCACACAAGTGATAGGAACTTTCCTAAGTTGACAAATATGCAAAACTGGAGTGAAAACATATTTTCACAGTTTTTGAAAGCTGATGATAAAAGCTGGTCATGGGGTAGAGACTTTCATGTGTGAAACATATGTTAAAACAAGCAATGGGGGATGGGAACAGAATAGTTTATTTGAGAGACCTATATAGTGTAACTGTTGAATGACGTATGTGCTGTTAAACTTGTTTTTTATTGTAATAGAACTGAGAATTTCCTGAGCTGCAGCCTCATTATTTCCCTCAACCATGATGGATTCTGACTATGTTTTCTCGTTAATCTCAAAGTGTTTTCTTTGTTTCTATAGGAAGATTTGCAATTATGAATATATTCCTTAACTAAACCTTTTAATTGTCCACTGATAGAGTTCTTTGGTAGTAAATCTTTCCAATCTGATGAATTTATTAACTTCTTTGTTTACACACAGTTGGAAAGTATGCAGACAGGAGAATTCTGTGTTATTTCAAAATATTTATATTTTTTATCTTCTTTATAATTGATACCATCAAATTATAGGAGTAATTTTTAAAAGTCGCCTGTAAGATACATAAAATGTTAGCCTATGGTCATGAGCACTATTACATTGACCGTGTCTGTCCATTCCCCTGCCTCCTTCATCTTGCCAACCTTGATGGCCATTATATTTTTTGGGAAATGCCAACAGGATGGGCTACTACACTACATGGTATAGTTTTTAGAAGTTAATTGTAGCTTAAATTCCATCACGCTGAAGTAAGCCACAATGCCATGGGCAATTCTCTGTGGTGACTTCTTGTAGCAGTAGTAACATTGGTTGTCTTTTCTCATTGCCCAGACTATGAGGACAAATCCCTCATGCCTCGTGTCCTTGTTTATCTGAGTTTCCACGAGAGAGTAAGCCTTTTCTGCCATCTCTCACCAATTGGAATCTCTTCCCTATGGTGCCCGTGGATGACTGATCTGGTCCTCCTTTTTGTACCCAGACTGTTCCATGATGCCCTCTGAAATGCCTTCCTCCTCATTAGCAGGATTCTTTTAATTTTCACATTGTCACAAAGTATTATCTTGACTTCCCTGCGTAAACCAAAACCTGACTATCTTCAGAGGATATTGGTTTTCTTACAGTACTCACAAGTGGAAGCAGTTTTCTCTTTCACAACCCCAAATCTCAGGGCTTGAAAATAGTTTCATTATCTACTTTGCTGCTCATTGTCACTTCCAAATTGCTATCCAACAGTCTGCTCTTCAATCCTTATCCTGTGACCATATTTCCATGTCAAGTTCTGAGCAGGAGTAGCTGAGGATGTGGTGTGCACTTTGGACAAGGATATTTGATATATATTCATTGTAACTTGAAACAACAGAAAATTAGGCTTTTTATAACTAAATTTGGCTGGGATGAACATAACAGTAGGTGCAAGAGAATGTATTGAAGGAGGCATGAATTAAGGAAGATCAAAACACACCAGTTGACTATTATTCTCAAATATTAATTTTCCTATACAGGCTTTTGATTGGAACCACATGGCTGTCAAGTCAACATTGAAAGCTTTGTAGAGTGCTAAATATAGGTATTTGGTGTTTTGAATATTTAACTTCAGGATCAGAAGTATAGGAGGACAAATTTGGCATTTTTAGAATGCAAATTGACATACCTGACTTACCATGGAGAGCCATGTATCTCTGCATGAAGATAAGCTGAAGGAGCTATTGGCAGGGTTGAGATACCAGCATTGTATAGTATTTGGATTTGTTTTGGCAGGCTTTTGCCACATTGTAAGGCTTAAAGTCCATCCCTAACTACCTTGCCAAGGGTGGAGGTGTAATTACTGAATGCATATTATGTCTTCAAGTGGCCATTTGGTAGAGCTAAACAGAGAACAGTGTGTGTTTGTGTGTGTGTGTGTGTAATTGATCCTAAAGCACAGCATATGAAAAAATGCAGTTTAATTGAACATGAGGACTTCAGAGCACAAATCAGGATTCTGCCTGTTTTAACAAATTTATCTTCTACTGTGCCTTAAAGTGATACATGTGTTATCATACTTTATCATTACAGTGTGGTTGTGATTTTGACATTACTTTCATTTAACAGATGACAAATCCGAAGTACAGAGAAGTTAAGTAAAATTTTCAATGTATGTTGGTAGCTGAAACTTAGCCTTTAGGTCTGCCAGTTCCAACTCCAGTGTTTTTTGTGCTGTCTGAATTGGAGGGCTAGACAGGATAAACAGTTCTACAGAGTACATTTCTACAACAGATGCTGAAAGAATCTGAGACAAATTACAGCGTGGAAAAATTGGTATCCTATCTATCCTGAAGTTGAGTGAGAGATCAGATAATTTGGTACTTTTCTGTTATAGATTTCATAGCTATATTGATGTCTGGAGGTGTTTGCTATAAAGCATCAGTTATTTAAAATTGGATGAACTAAGAGAATGGCATTCAAGTCTGTCAGTATTTAGAGAGGAGGCCCTTTTGGCTAATGATCAGAAATTGTTTAGACTTTGAAATAGACTAAAATAGAATAAGAGAGACTAAGATGCCAATGGTGTAGATTATGTGATTCCATGTACATGATGCCAATGCTCCTGAAGTGGTTCGGTTCTCAGACTCAAGTCCCATTATTTCCTAACACCAGAATAAGCTGGGAGAGCAGATGGCTTTGAGTACTGAAGCTGATCTGTGATTCTGGTGTAGAAGAAACAAGTCATTTATATTTCTTAATACATTATTTGATCATCAGTTACATATTCAGGCCTTGTTTTTGGCCCGCTTGATAATACAATGCATATAATCATCCCATGGTGTATAATAAAGGATTTGGCTGGATATTGTCCCTGATTCTGGGAGGGAGCCTCTAAGCTCTTGAGATTTTCTGAATAACAAGAGTGTCCTTGTTACTTATGAGCCCCTTGGATCATGCCTAAGTTTATGCTAATTAAGTAACACATAGTGGTACCCTGGATAACTTCAGGATGAAGCCTGGCCACAGAAAATCACATGATTAGAGGGAGGGAACTTTGATATAACCCAACCACCAAGGAGGTGGGGAAAGCTGGAGACTGATTTTAATTCTGTGCCCAAAGAATTAATGAACTGCAATAAAAACTCTGGATGCTGAAGCTCAGTGGAGTTTCCTGGTTGATGAGCACATTAATGTGCCAGGAGGAAGACACACCCTGACTTCACGAGTTGAAGGCTGTGGAGTTCTGTGTTTGGAAAGCACTAAGACCTTGTCCCGTGTGCCTCTTCATTTCGCTGCTCTTGAGTTGTATCCTTTATATTAAAAAAAAAAAACAAAAAAACTGTAATTGTAAATAAAGTACTTTCCTGAATTCAGCAAATTAAGTGTGAGTGGGCTCAATATGGGGAAATCCAAATTTGTAGCCAGTTGTTTAGTGGTGTGGATAGCCTGGGAATCACTTGAACTTGTGACTGGTGTCTGAAGTGGGGGCAGTTTTCAGGATTACTGAGCCTGTAAATTGTAGGGTCTATGCTAATTCCAGGACTTTGTGCCAGAACTGAATTTCAGTATACAACTTTGTGTTAAATTAATTTAAGTTGAAACAGAGGATCCCTAAAAGGAAGAAAGATGTATTATTAAATTACCCGTTGGCACTTTTTTTGTTGATAAAGAATGACAACACGCTTACCATACATAGCTATTTTCCAAAGCTTCAAACCAATTAGGAATTATCTTGTAGAACTCCAGTTATTTACTGGTGCATTTTTTGATTACAGGCCTAACCCTCTCTGATATAGCTATGATAATTTTATCTGCACTGTCTGACTCCCTGATAACCATTATGAGTGTACCATCATAGGTTATGTGCGTATATGAACTTGCTGTGATATTTAGTGACCAAGATGGGGTGCCAATGGTAGAAGGTTGGTCCATAATGGGATTGTATGATTGATCCTCTTTACTATCAAGGTGAACAAGAATGCCTAACATGATAGATACAGGCCACACAGTCTACACATACATGTTGGCTGTACTATGGTGACCTCCATGGTTATGTGTTCAAACTCAGTCAAAGTTCAAGAAACCTGAAATAGACTTCTGCTCAAAAGAAACTGCCCCATGTTTAACATCTGAGTCTAAGATGGCTTTTTAACCTATTATCGATTGCTGGAGATCCAGGGAATGACTCATAATCTATGCTCTTCTTTTGTGTTCTCTTTAAGAAAATTCTTTTTTTTTTTATAGGATGGAAACCTCTATAGCGGTTGCTAACTATTATATTTTGAGTGACTTGGCCACTCAAAAATGATAATGTTTTTGCTTAATATTTTATATTTATTATAAAAGATGACGATAGTTTTGGCTTATTTATAGAAGGTTTACAGTTATGTTTCTTTGTTTAATTCAGAGAGGATTCATGAGGATGAAAAGTTTTGAAAGATTTGGAAGAAGAAATTTGAGACATTACTGAGGAATATATAAGAAGCTAGAAGAATAAAAACGGATGTTCTTAATGTTTTACCACTTATCCTTCATGAACTAAATTGGGAATCTGATTTAAAACAAACATCCTCCCATCCCCTTCCCTCGACTCCCCTGAGAAAAGAAACTAAGGGAGGAAATGCAGAGCATTGTATAATCTTAAATGGTTTAAAGACTGCATATTAGTTTGTCCCTTCAGCTGTGTACAAAGCTAACCATAACCTAAAAGTTGTCCCTCCAGGTTGTCACACTGTAACCACTATAATTTTTTTCTGAGACACTGTTTGATGGATATCAGAACTTCTGAGTCATATGACACTTGTTTGTCTTACATTTTTTCAAGAAAACACATTTTTCATCACATTCATGTGAGTCTTGAAATTAGCTGTTTTGTAAGTGTGTTATTGAGAATTCATATCTTACAGGTGCTGACTGGAAAAAAATTTAGTTGAACATTCAGATTCACTATTTGCTCTCTGAGACTACTTAATAGTAAAGTATATTCTAAGTTCTTGTGTACTGCCTCATTGTGTTTTGAGGGCTATGGAATGATCTGGAGCAGGGCTAGAGTTGAGCAAAGGGAATTAAAATACTGAAATCTTACTTGTGTGTCAGATGGTATATAGTCATTATCTCATTTTACCTTAGTAGCTTAGTGCTAGGTGGTCATATCCCCATTTTATACATGAAGGACCTGACTCTGAATAAATAACTTGCCCAGTGTACAGAATTGCAAAACAGAATTCCTGACTCCATATATATGTTGTTTTAATTTATCACATGCTGAAGGCTGCTGCTCCTTCTCATCATCATCCTCCACTTGTTTCTCTCTCTCTTTTTTTTTTTTTTTTTTTTTTGAGATGGAGTCTCGCTCTGTCACCCAGGCTAGAGTGTAGTGGCGTGATCTGGGCTCACTGCAACCTCTGCCTCCCAGGTTCAAGCAATTATCCTGCCTCAGCCTCCTGAGTAGCTGGGACTCCAGGCACGTGCCACCACTCCCAGCTAAATTTTTTTTTTTTTAATTTTAGTAGAGACAGGGTTTCATCATGTTGCCCAGGGTGGTCTCGAACTCCTGAGCTCAGGCAATCCGCCTGCCTCGGCCTCCCAAAGTGCTGGGATTACAGGCGTGAGCCACTGCGCCGAGCCCCTTCACCTGTGTTTTCTTTTACTCCTTCTCTGATTCTTTTTTCTTTTTTTCACTACATATGAAACAATCAAAACCAGCTAATAATGTCTGCTAATCCAAAGAATCAGTAGAGAGAAGAAAAACATACTTGAAATTTCCTAATGTTCCAACTGAAATGAATCACTGGCATGTTTGATTGCTGAGTTTGTACAATATTACTTTGTTTATGCTTCACCAGGCTATTATTAACATTTTTATTACCATACAGAAACTATGTTGAAATGTAATTAGCAATACTGTCACTAATTATCTAATGAGTGGTAATTATTAGTTGGTTGGATTTTCATGCTACATATGATCCAGTGTTCTATTAAAGGCTCTAGCATACAATATTCATGTGATTTTTTTTACATTAATAAAATTTTCATGTATGAGAAAAGTATGCACTTTGAGTTCAACAATTGTGTATTCAGAATAGTAGTAGTTCCGCAGTGGGCTAGTTACTCAACTTTTCTGATCCTCAGTTTCTCCATCTGTAAAACTGGGGAATGATGATAATACCTGTAAAAGATTAAAAAGATAAAATCATGACACACACAAATATAAAATAAACGTGTCAAAGATTTAATTTACTCATTAATTATTGAGGAAACCAGAAAGATATTACAACTTTAAAGGATAATACAAAATACCACACAAATATAGTAATCAGGAGTATTTAAATGAATTTACAATTACAAAGAGTGCTCACCCCTCCCTGCCCTCCAACCCCCAACTCACAAATGGTACGGAAGTCAGTTGTCCCTCTATGGGAAGAATTAATTTGCCTGTCTATGATCAACAATTATTTCTTGAGTTTTTCTTTGTTAAGAGAACGTTTGTTACTGATTTAATCTCGTTACTTGTTATTGGTGTGTTTGGGTTTTCTATTTCATCCTGATTCATTGCTGAATTCTACAAAAATTACAAAGAAGAACTCATGCCAATTATCCTCAATATATTCGAAAATATACAAAAGGAGGAGATTCTTGCTAAGAAGTCATTCTATGAAGCCAGCATTACCCTGATATCAAAACCAGAGAAGGACACCACAAAAAGAAAACTATAAGCCAACATCCATGATAAACATAGATGCAAAGTCCTCAATAAAACAGTAGCAAACTACTCACTTTCAAAGCTTTTTTTTTTTTTTTTTTTTTTTTTGAGACAAAGTGTTGCTCTTGTTGCCCAGGCTGGAGTGCAATGGCGTGATCTCAGCTCACTGCAACCTCCTCCCCACGGGCTCAAGCAATTCTTCTGCCTCAGCCTCCCAGGTGCCCACCACCACACCCGGCTAATTTTTGTATTTTTAGTAGAGTCGCGGTTTCACCATGTT
This sequence comes from Homo sapiens, assembly GCF_000001405.40. Taxonomy (NCBI): domain Eukaryota; kingdom Metazoa; phylum Chordata; class Mammalia; order Primates; family Hominidae; genus Homo; species Homo sapiens. The sequence goes on from NC_000005.10 coordinate 119,959,467, forward strand.
GGCAAGGTTGGTCTCGAACTGCTAACCTCAGGTAATATATCTGCCTCAGCATCCCAAACTGCTGGGATTACAGACGTGAGTCACCGCACCCGGCCTCCACTTTCATCACTCTTATCGAACATAGTACTGAAGTCCTAGCTGAAACAATAAGGCAATAGAAAGAAAAAAAAAAAACAAACCCCAAGCTGGAAATGAAGTAGTCAAATTGTCTATCTTTGCAGGTGATATGATCTTATATTTAGAAAAACCTAAAGACTCCACCATAAAAGCCATAATAAACAATTTCATTAAAGTTTGTAGGATACAAAATCAACATGCAAAAATTAGTAGCCTTTCTATACACCAGCATTAACTAGTGGAAAAATAAATCAAGAAAGTGTTCCCGCCTACAATAGCTACAAAAAAAAAAAATTCTAGAAATAAATTTAACCGAAAAGGTGGAAGACTTTTACAAGAACAACTAGAAAACACTGATGAAAGAAATAAAAGAGGACAAAAAAAAAAAGGAAAACCATCCCATACTATCCAAAGCAATATACAGATTCAATGCAATCCCTATCAAAATACCAATGATATTCTTCAAGAAAGACAAAGTTCTAAAATTTGTTTGGAATCAAAGAGCCTGAATAGCCAAAGCAATCCTAAGCAAAAAGTACAAAACTGGACACATCACACTACCTGACTTTAAAATATACTGTTAAAACAAAGCTATAATAACCAAAATGGCATGATATTGGTATAAAAACAGACACATAGAGCAATGGAGCAGAACAGAGAACATAGAAATAAACCCTTGTATTTACAACCAACCAATTTTGAACAAAGGTGCCAAGAACATATACTGGGGAAAGGATACTTTCTTTAATAAATGGTGCTGGGAAAACTAGAAATCCATGTGCAGGACCTAGGTCACTAGACCTCTATCTCACCATACATAAAAATCAACTCAAATTGGAATAAAGACTTGAACATAAGAGCAAAACTATAAAACTACTAGAAGAAAACATAGGGGAAACCCTCCAGGACATTGGTCTAGGCAAAGATTTTATGGCTGAGACTCACAAAGCATAGGAAACAAAACAAAAAGTAGACAAATGGGGCTACATTAAATAAAGACCTTCTTCACAGCAAAGGAAATAATCAACAGAGTGAATAAACAACCTGCTGAATGAAAGAAAATATTTGCAAAATATCCAGACTATGCAAGGAACTCAACACAAGAGCAAAACACACAAGCAAACAAACAATCTCATTAAAAAGTGGGTAAAGAATCTGAATAGATATTTCTCAAAAGAAACCATGCAAATGGCCAATAGGTATGTAAAAAAATGCTCAACATCATTAATCATCAGTGAAATGAAAATCAAAATAACAACAACATATTACCTTACCCAGTTAGAATGGCTGTTATTAACAAGGCAAAAAATAACAGATACTGGTGAGGAGGAGAAAGGGGAACTGTTACACACTGTTGGTGGAAATGTAAATTAGTACAGCCATTATGGAAAACAGTATGGAGGTTCCTCAAAAAACTAGAAATAGAACTACCATGTTATTCAGGAATCCCACTACTGGGTATTTATTCAAAAGGAAGATTATCAGTATATCAAAGGGATAACTGCACTCATATTGCTGCAGCATATTGCAGCACTAGTCACAAAGCAAAGATATGAAATTAACCCAAGTGGACTTACATGGATGAATAGATAAAGAAAATATCATTAATGGATAAATGGATAAAGAAAATGTAATGTAGTTACACAATGGAATACTATTTAGCCATAAAAAAGAATGAAATCATGTCATTTGCAGCAAAATGGATGAAACTGAAGGTCATTATGTTAAGTGAAACAAGCCAGGCACAGAAAGACAAATATTACATGTTCTCACTCATATATGGAAGCTAAAAAAGATGTTCATATGGGAGTAGGGAGTGGAATGGGGGTTGCCAGAGGCTGGGATAAAGAGAAGTTGGTTAATGGGTACAAATATATAGTTAGATAAAAGCAATAAGTTTTAATGTTCAATAGTACTGTAGGGTGACTATAGTTAAAAACAATGTATTGTTCATTTCAAAATAACAGAAGTGATGACTTGAAATGTTCTCAAACATAGAAATAATAAGTGCTTGTGGTAATGGATACCTTAACATCCTGACTTAATCATTACACATTCTATGCATGTAGTAATATATCATATATACCACATAAATATATGCAAATATTATGTATTGTTAAAAAAACTCAGAAAAATAATTATTTCCATTTTGATCAGTTATTTACAATATACAGAGTAGTAAACAGTTCTGTCAATGAAAGGCATGAATCTGATAGATAATGAGGAAGGGTGTATCCTAGGAAATGCCTAGTTTTTTACTGAGAACTCCCACAAGCCTTTTCTGTTCCATTTCTAAGTCTTTCACAATTTGTCTCTAAATACCTAATTTGAGAGGTTATTGAGAAGATTGTAACAAAATCACAAAATGCTTTTTCATTTTAACTATTATATGTACACACACCCCCCCAAACAGTAGAGTAGATTTGGTCTCTTTTAAAATTCCTCTTGTTATAAATTAATAATTTAAACACCTGAAACAAAAATTTATACCAATTCACCCAGATTACTGATATCAAGATTCAGGCTGATGTATTTAAGTGGTTTGCTGATTGAATGTAAAAGCTTTGGCTAAAGGTAAATGTTGGCATTATGAATCATTCTGTAGAGGAGAGTATAGTAAATAAGCAAAACCAAAATGAGCCATTGCTTTGTTTGCCAAGCAGTCACAAAAATGTTGAAAGGCTCATTAGATTTTTACACTCTATCTTTTGCATGAACAAACTGACAACAGATTTATCAGACTTATCGTACTTTTTAATCATCAAGAATTGTATTCCTTTTGACTATGAATTGGAGCAGTAAAAGAGAAGCAGAAATGCCTCAAAATGAAGGCTTACCCTTCACTGATCAAGAACCCAGAAGATAACAGGTGTGGCACAGCTATCACACTAAGTCTGTCCCCTGCCAAAAAAAGGACTTGGAATAGATGGAGAACTGAGAATGGAGTCCAGTGAGCAAAATAAAGGGTCTGGCCTAAGTGTAACTATGAGGAATACAGGGTTCGATTTAATTATTCAATTATAATTTAGGTTGGATAGACTCTGTTTAACCTTCCAACCCCCCGATTGATTCTCTGCTCTTCTCTGCCCTTGGAGAGCCTGTCCATGGAGGATGATTCCCATGGACTCCAGCACCTTGGCTGTACAGTTCTTTGCCCTCTAGCTTTCTGTTGGCTTTAGTCAGTTGAAAATAGAAATATTTCTCCCCTTCCCTTTGAGTACTGTAGTTCTGCAACCCTTTATGACCACCAGGTTGGCTAGAATTGTCTTCCCCTTGCTTACCTCTACATATCCTGTTGTAATGATGGCTTCTGATTGTTGACAGTCCTGGGTCTTATTGGTCCCTACACCTCTGAAAATAGCCCCAACATTAAATTCTCTTCATATCCTTAGCTGAGTTTTTTCTGTTTGTTCTCAGGACCCGGATGAATCTCGAAAGAATAACAACAAACTGTTGAGAAATAACTACTCTTGACAGTTATATAGCTTATATATTAATCATTTAATCTTTAAATATTGCCATTATTATTTAACAGAAAAGGAAATTGAGGCACAGAGAACTTCGATGACTCACTTGAAGCAAATCTGACTAAAAAAAGCCATGTTGTTACTGAGCATGCTGTATTTTGTAAAAAGTTTCAGACAACCTTTTTAAAGCACAGTTTCTTTTTTTTGCATGATGTGTTTTTCTCTTCTAAACAGGCCTGCACTCCTATTTTAAATTATTTTATATTTTTTGAATGGGGGTCAAGTGTGGGCTGTCCTACCTGTCTTTAATTGCATAAATCATCTCATTTTGTTCTACTTATAATGCTTCAAGTTACAGAACTCATAACATTATCACATTTATTACTAGCTAAGAAAGCATTAATCATAGATGGTCATAAAAGCTAGAGAAATTAACCATAAAGTTTGCTGAAAATTGCATTAATCATATGGAATCTAGAAAATGTCAGATTACAAAAATGCTGCTTTCTTGTTAATACAAGTAGAAAAAATTGTGGGAGAGAAAAAGAGATCAAACAAAATTAATGTTATTCTTTAAAACTAGTCTACCCAATTACATTGCACAGATATATGGACTAGGCTCTGTTGTAGGCAATTTATATATGCTATCTTTTTTTTTTTTTCATTTTTGATTTTTTTTTTTTTTTTTTACTTTTCTTTTTTTTTTTATTATACTTTAAGTTTTTAGGGTACATGTGCACATTGTGCAGGTTAGTTACATATGTATACATGTGCCATGCTGGTGCGCTGCACCCACTAACTCGTCATCTAGCATTAGGTATATCTCCCAATGCTATCCCTCCCCCCTCCCCCCACCCCACCACAGTCCCCAGAGTGTGATATTCCCCTTCCTGTGTCCATGTGATCTCATTGTTCAATTCCCACCTATGAGCTATCTTTTTTAACCTTCCCAATGACCCTGCAAGTTATACACAACCATCCATTTCTCATATATGGAAACCGAGATCTCCTAACATTTTCAAGATCACATAGCTATTAAGAAGCAGAGCTGGAATTTTGACAATGTCTGATACTGAAATCCTATTGCGCCTCATTTAAGAAAAATAAATTATCACAAAACTTTGATTTGTAGGTTGGTTAGGTTACATTTCAATTCTTAGTGCTAATATTTGACTTCACTTGAACTATTTGTCCCTTAGGCATAGGCCAGTCCTAGTCAACATCCTTTTGTGGCCTTTGGAGTTGAGGACTCTGCTTCAGAGAAGGCTTATAAAAACTAGCAGTATTGTGTATCAGTAGGAGGTATGCAGTTTTACAGGCCTAAATTTATGAACTATTTGTAGGTCCTTTCAACATTAATATAAAGAGACCTGTGCTTATGACTAAAAATATAAAACACAATGGCTTTAAATGCAGACCTATATTTGTTATGTAGAACCTCATATGTTCTTTCATTTTGATTGTTTTGAAGTATAAAGCTTGCTGGTGGCAATTTACCCCAGTGTGACTATCGGGAGCAGTGAAATCTGCTGGAGAGAAGCCACATGTACATTTTTCTCAGTAAAATGTAAGTGAATTATAGTGCATTTCATTAGATTTTCTTTTATATTTTCATTTCATAATTAAAAACATACCCTTGTATGTACTATAAAGATTCCGTGCTTCATATTTTGAAAAGAATTTTCTAAAGCTAACCCCACTTTCATGACCACTAACAAATGGCCAAAGAAGTGCCTTTAGGGAGAAAATTTGCTAGAGCAGAGGATAATTCGTGGTCTTTATTTTGAAGTAATGTATGATAAGACTGAAAGGTTCTAGATTATGTGGTGTTTCTCTTCTTAACTTTCTGGCTGCTCCTTATTTATGTTCTTATTTTGATTTCATCATGTTCTGTTGACTTCACATCTGGATGATTTCTAAAATTCTGTTCTTGGCTTTTTGCTCTTCTTTTTCCACTTCTTTCTTCATGTTTTTATCATGTCACCAAGTATACATCAAAACTGAGTTCTAGGTCTCATTTTTAAATTCCTGCTACAAGTAGAGACATCTCTTCCATAAGTACATCCAAAATGCCACACTACCTTCCCCCTCTCCAGCTGTCCTTCTATTCTGACTGTTTTGCCACTCAAACATCCTGTTTTACCTCAGGCACTCAGACCTGAGAACTTGGAATCCAGCTTAATCCTTGCCTTTAATTCTCTCTCCCATATGGTTATTCACAGAGTCCTATAAGTTATTCATTACTCTAGATTGGTTTCTGCCTTTCCCTCTTCTCTGCTTCTATTCTAATTTAGGGATCTGCAACCTTGTAGTTATATAGGAAGACTTTTTTTTCTTATTTTGCATATCATTTAGGACTAGAAACCCTAATTAGGATCATAAATAAATAACCTATTGTAGCTCTTGCATGGTCTTTGTACATCTACTCTCTCTAATCTCAACTCCCTTATTTGTGCTCTCTTAACATTTTATGAATAATCCCTTCTAGCAGTTGCCACATATTTTGTAGTGGTAGAAATAGGGGTGACAAGGTGGGTTGGGGAGCCCTTTAAACTCTCCTACCCATCACAGTGAGCTCTTCAAAGTCAGGGTCATGTCTCACTCATTGTTGCTTCTCCAGTGTCAAGCATGGTGCCTGGCATATAATAGAGGACTAAGAAAAGTTGAATTGAATCTACAAATGTGAAATCAGATTTAATTTATCTAAGAGAAATAGTATCTCCCAGAAAAACTGGTGAGGCTTTTTGGGCTATTTCCTTGTGTTCAACCCACAGGAAACCACCAAGGGCGAAAAGGTGGTAGAGTCTAGGTTGGGGAGAGACTTTGATGCTAGGCTGAATAATTTAGCACTGATATTTTTAGAGATCGCATTTTAGAGGGATTAATTAGGTAGTGCTCTATTATATGTCCTAGAAGAAAAAAGACTTTATGAAGATAGTAGAAGTATTGAAGTGATTCTGGTGTAAGGTTACTAGAGTCTGGAGTTTGGTAATGGAAGAGAAAATAGAGACGTGTTGGGAAAAGGAGGTTGAGTCAAGGGAAGAAAACGTTTAAAATATGAAAAATAAAAGTTGACTGTAAGATTTGAGGCAGAAGAAATCAGACATAGGAAATTAGAATTGTCTTTGGGATTTATTCTGAGCCACGCCACTATGACTGCAGATGGAGCTATTCCCAGTAAAGTGTAAGGATGGACTTTTGGAACTTTTTCAGCTATCTAGGATCTGATGCACATGAGTTGTAATCCTTAAGAGAGGGTTGGGGACTGAATTTACTTTGGAATACTTTTCATCATAATTCCTTTTCTTCAGCTGTTTTCATTCCCTCAGAAGAATAGGATAACTTACATTTCAGCACTTATTTTATTTTTTTTCCCAAATGCCAATGTCGTTTGAGAAAACAAAACAAAGCAAAAAACCCAAAAATCTTCCGTGTAAATTCTGTCCTCAGAGCAGTTAGAAGATAATATGTTGTGATATTTTAGGCATTAAGTAATTTGTTGATTTTGTCCAAGTTCCATTGATGATTTTACTTAAAATTCTTCAAGAAATTTTTTCTAAGAATCTTTGTCCTTACAGAGTCTCCAGGAGCAAAAAGTTCTTAAAAGGATGATTGTATGCAATTCCAGAGAGTGAGTTGGAGGGATTCACTCTTCAAGGTGTTATATAACTTTAAAGGATTTGTTTAAAAAATAGTTTAAGTCCTGTGCCATGAGCAAAATGGGGTCAGAATATATTATTCACTCTGCAGCTTGGATTTCAGAGAAAATGCAATTATGCATTTTTGCAATTTTCTTTTTAACAAATCTAGTATTCCTCTTGGTGCTCATTTGTTGGGGTTGGGGAAGAGAAAGCAGTGAAATAATTAAGTATAAAATTCAGTGTAAAGCACGTATGATGTGGCCATGTAAACTGGTTGGGTAATGCTTTGTACTCAGATTGCTATCCTTATTGCTCACTACTCTCCCTAAGACAGTATTGCTTTTATGGGAGAGGAAAGGGTACAGCATACAATATTTTATCATGCAGAGAAAGATACGCTATTTTTGAAGTAATTTTTACTTGTTCCTGGTCCTTGTCCACCGTGCAGGGCCAGCTTCATGAACATGCAGTTGTCTAGGGCCCCATGATAGAAAGGTTTTATGCTTGATTTCATGCTCTGCTGTTGCTAATTTGAACTTCATAATAATTTTACATTCGGATCTGTGTTTTGTAAGTGAATTCTGATGGGATGATGGTGCATGTGTGTAAGCAAATGTGTGTAAGCATCACACAATATGCATGTCTGCACTGTTCCTTCTTGCCTTATTCACATATAGCAACTGCAGTGCTCCATAAGCACACAATTCCAGTGGACCCAAATATAGTTTTGTACACTGTGTAATAATTTGCCACAAACTGAGTGGTTTAAAACAACACACATTCATTACTAACACTTTCTGTAGGACAGGAATTTGGGTACTGCTTAACTGGATCCTCTGCTTAAGGGTTCATAAGGCTGTATTCAAAGTTGGCTGGGCTGCATTCTCATTGGGAGGCTTAGAGAGGGAACGATCTGCTTTCAACCTCCCTCATGTTGTTGGTAGAATTCATTTCCTTATGTCAGTAGAGTTCATGGCAGCTTGCTTCTTCAAAGTTTTAAAACAATAGTTTGATGGTGGGAGGGAAAAAGGAGGAGTGTAGGGAGATGGAGAGAGAGTGTCTCTGCTGTTGCTTGGAGTTTCTGATCTGTAGTCTCTCTTTTAAAGGGTTCATCTGATTATATAGGGCCCACCTAGGATACTCAATCTGTTTATTAACTTCAACCAACTGAGTTGGGACCTTAATTACATTTGCAAAGTCCCTTCACCTTTGCCATATAACATAATATAATCATGGGAGTAATATCCCATCACATTCACACAGCCCACTGCATTTAAGTGAGGGAATTGGACAAGGTATGCACAACAAGGGGAAGAACACTTGGGGCCATCTAAGCATTCTATCACAGTCATTAATATGTGGAGGTTCAGTAAGACTCAAAGGAGTACACAGTAAGCATGTTACATCTACCAATGAGAAAGTGGGGATGTGAACATCCCTAAAGGCCATGCTTTCTGTTTCAAACATAATTTGCTTTGAATGTAGAAATATGTAAATGACCACTAAGAAACACAAATGACCAGAGGACCCTATCATGTCCTTTTGTACCTCCCTGCATTACCCAACCACTTACACTAAAAAATGATGACAGAGAAGGAAAAGGAAATAGTGCAACCCGTAATTCCTTTTCTTGTTAGTCCTTCTTACTCATCAATAAGGCAAAGTTAAAGACTATCAGTAGATCTTGCATACATCAAGAAGTGAAATAAAAGCAGTTGTGTTAGTTTTCTGCAGACTTTCCACTCTTCTGGTAAGACTATAATATATATTCAAATATGAGCTGCAAAAAGTGAAGCCTGAAATTTTGTTAATTCCATGCATGAGTTAAATGCTCTTATATTTGCATTTAAGACTGGTATTGAACAATATAAAGATGAATGGTAAATTTTTACTAATAATTTAAATGTACTTAGAATGACATTACATAGCAAATGAAAACACCATAACAAATTGAGACAGAGAGACTGTGGAAGGAAGGAATGGCTTTACATTTTAATACTTTTAATGTCACTTCTTTCTGTACTGTGGGACCCACATTTTCATTTTTCACTGAGTCTTTTAGATTATATAGCCTGTTCTGCACTTGGATGTTGCTTGTTGGGAGCTCTGCTAGCCTCCAGAAACATCTGTGACTTGTAGAGTTTTGGTCTATTTTTTTTTTCCTTGAGTCGTATTCTCAGTGGGATTCCCTGGCTGATTTGGCTTTCACTCTGATTATTCTGGTTCTATAGACTCTCCTGAGATTGGGCTGTTATTTTTCTCAGAGCTCAGAGATCCCTCTCCGTATTTAGTGTTATCATTTATCCAACCATTCCAACTTCTGAGTTTCTTTTTCTATCTCATTTATTTATTTATTTATGTGTTCTTGGACCAGTATTACATGGGTTCTCATCTATGGCTTTGTAGTATTTCTTAATGTATGGTAAGTTAAGTATTATTTGCATTTCACGGTTGACATTGCTATTTCTGAACTTCTTTTTCCAGCATATATTTTAGAGAATATGTAAATTTCCTTACCAAACATTCACAGAAGAATTAATACCAATTCTTCTTAAACTTTTCCAAAAATCAAAGTGGATGGCTTACTTTGAAACTTATTTTATGAGGCCAACATCACCCTGATACCAAAGCCAGAAAGATACCACAAGAAAAGATGGTCCAATTTCTCTGATGAAAATACTAGCAAACCAAGTTCAACAACACGTCAGGAAGATTGTATAGCATGATCAAGTGTAGTTTATTTCTGGGATGCAAGATTGGCTTTACCTATGCAAATTAATCACTGTGATATATCATAATAACAGAATGAAAGATAAAAATCACATAAAAAAAGCATTTGATAAAGTTCAATGTTCTTTCATGGTAAAACCTCTCCATAAAATGGGTAGAGAAGAAAATTTCCCCATCAAAATAGAGAGCATTGATGAAAAGCCCACAGCTAACATCATAATCAATGGGAAACTATTGAAAGTTTTTTCTCTAAGATCTGGCACAAGGCAAGAATGTCTGATCTCATCACTTATTCAACATCCCTGGAATTACTAGCAAGAGCAATTAGACAAGAAAAAGAAAAAAAGGCATCCAAATCAAGAATGAAGAAGTAAAATTATCTCTATTAGAAGACGACAGGATTCTACATGCAAAAGCTCTAAAGATTTCACAAAAATACTGTTAGCTATAATAAATAAATTTAGTAAAGTAGAAGAATACAAAATTAACACAGAAAAATCAGTTGCATTTCTTTACATCAATAGCAATCTATCCAAAAAAGAAATAAAGAAGATAAGCCTAGTTACAATAGCATTGAAAATAATAAGTAGAAATCAATTTAACCAGGAAAGTGAAAGATCTGTACAATAAAATTATAAAAGATTGACAAGAATAATTGAAGAAGAGAAATAAATGGAAAGATATCCTGTGTTCACAGATTGGAAAAATTAATATTGTTAAAATGTCCATACTCCCCAAAGTAGTGCACAGATTTAATGTGATTCCTATCAAAGTCCCAATAGTATTTTTTTTACAGAAATTAACTAAATCTTAAAATTTATATGAGACAATAAAAGACCCTGGGTAGCCAAATCAATCTTGAACAAGAACAGTTAGAGGCATTATACTTCCTGATTTCAAAATATATTACAAATGTATAGTACTCAAAAGAGTATGATACTGTCATAAAAATAAACATTTAAACTAATGGAACAGAATAAGGAGCCGAGAAAAAAATCCATTTTTCTACAACTAACTGTTCTTCAAATAGGGTGCCCAAAACACACAATGGTGAAAAGATAGTCTTTTTCATAAATGATACTGAGAAAACTGTATACCCACATGCAGAAGAACGAAATTGAACCCTCATCTAACATGATACACAAAAATATTAATTCAAAATGGATGAAAGACTTAAATGTAAGACATGAAACGTAAAACTTCTAGAAGAAAACAGAAAAGAAAAGCCCCATGACATTTGTCTGGGCAATGATTTTTTTGGATATGACCCGAAATGTACAGGCAGCAAAAACCAAAAGTAAACTAGTGGAATTGTATTGTACTATAAAGCCTCTGCATAGAAAATGAAATAATCTAGAGTGAAAAGACAATCTATAGAAAGGGAGAAAATATTTGGAAACGATGTATCCAATAAGGGGTTAATGTGTTAGTCTGTTCATGCTGCTAATAAAGACATACCCGAGACTTGGTAATTTATAAAGAAAAAGAGGTTTAATGGACTCATGGTTCCACATGGCTGGGGAGGCCTCACTATCATGGCGGAAGGCAAAAGGCGTATCTTACATGGCAGCAGGCAAAACAGAATGAGAACCAAGCAAAAGCAGAAACCCCTTATAAAAACGTCAGATCTTGTGAGTCTCATTCGCTATCACAAGAAATGTATTGGGGAAACTGCTCCCATGATTCAGTTATCTCCTACTGGGTCCCTTTCACCACATGTGGGAATTATGGGAGCTACAATTCAAGATGAGTTTTGGTTGGGAACACAGCCAACCCATATCAGTTAATATACAAAATACATAAGAAACTCAAGCAATTTAACAACAACAACAACAACAACAACAACAACAACAACAAAAACAAATAGGCCAGGCCCAGTGGCTCATGCCTGTAATCCCAGCGCTTTGGGAGGCCAAGGTGGGAGGATCACTTGACAGGAGTTTGAGACCAGCCTGGCCAACATGGCGAAACCCCATCTCTACTAAAAGTACAAAAATTAGCCAGGCATGGTGGTGGGTGCCTGTAATCCCAGCTACTCAGGAGGCTGAGGCAGGAGAATCACTTGAACCTGGGAGGTGGAGGTTGCAGTGAGCCGAGATTGCGCCACTGCACTCCAGTCTGGGTGACAAGAGCGAGACTCCATCTTAAAAAAAGAAAATCCAAATAACTCAATTAAAAAATGGTCAAAAGACTTCAGTAGACATTTTTCCAAAGAAGACATAGAAATGACAAATAGGTATATGAAAAGGTGCTCAACATCACTAATCATCAGGGAAATGCAAATTAAATAAAACCGTAGTGAGATACTGCCTCACACCTGTTAGAATAGCTACTATCAAAAAGACAAGAGATAAAAAGTTTTGGTGAGGGTGTGCAGTAAAGGGTACTCTTGTACACTTTTGGTGGGTGGGAATGTAAACTGGTATAGCCATTATGACAAACAGTGTGAAGGTTCCTTGAACAACTAAAAATAACACTGCCATAAGACCCAGCAATACCTCTGCTGGCTATATACCCTAAGGAAATGAAATTAGCACCTTGTAGAGATAGCTGAGTTCCCATGTTTACTGTAGCATTATTACAACAGCCAAGATATGAAAAGAACCTGTGTTCATAGATGAATGAATGCATAAAGAAATTGTGGTATATATGTACGATGGAACAATATTCAGAGTTAAAAAGGGAGATAGTGCAATTTGTGGCACATGGATGGACATGGAGGATATTATGCTAGGTGGAATAAGCTACACAGAAGAAGGCAAATACTGCATGATTTTAGTGAAATTTTAGGGAAAAAAAGTCAAATACTGTATGTAGAAACAAAGAGTATGACAGTGATTACCAGGGGCATGGAGGGGGAAGAAATGGGGAGATGTAGGTGAAGTTATATAAGATGAATAAGCCTAGAGATCTCATGTACAGCATGGGAACTGTAGTTAATAATATTATATACTAAAAATTTGCTAAAATGGTAGATTTTAGGACTTCTTACCTACCTACCCCCCACAAGTAAGGTAACTATATAAAGTGATAGATATGTTTATTTGCTTGACTGTGGTAATAATTTCACTATGTGCATATGTAGCAAAACATCATGTTGTATAACTTACATATATATAACAAAAAAGTTTCTAAAATACTCATTTAAAACCTTTACTGGAATTTTATAAAATTAACATATTAATTTGGAGTTAATTAAATCTTCAAAAGAGCATGGGATATTTTCCCATTTATTGTAATTATTTTCTCACTTGAATACTTTTCTGTGAATACTTTTCAAAGTATTGCTATTTCTATATATTAGGGTTTGGGTTTTTTGGTGAGGATGGTGAATCTAAAGACCAATGGAAAAATTTTATTCTCTTTAGTTAGTAGCCTTCATGTAAAAATTGCTCTCAATATATGAACTTTTCTAGATTGCAAAAACCTTTTGTTTACTCAAGTCATATAAGTTAAAGAGACTAAATTAGGGTTGTGTGTAAAATTACTGGTTATACCAGAATTACTATATTATTATTTAGTTGAAATGGCAGAGACAGAATAATATTCTTGACGTCTTATAATAGAATTAAGAATATATGTGATTTTATTTTTTAAATATAGATTTTATTGACATGAGTAAAATGACTCAGAATGATTATTTTTTTGAAGATAGGTATACGCATCTATTCGAGACATGATAGAACTTCTAAATATATTTTGTTAATATTTTGGGAATAAACATATTTATTCTCTGGTTTATACTGAATTTCTCAGGCTAAAACTTTATCTTTGATACAGATTTTATTGATGCAATTAACAGTTTCTGTTATATCAAGGCATTTGAAAATTGGTAGCTATTTAAGAGTAGAAACTTAAACATGAACTTTACTCATTATATGACATTTTTCTTTTTAAGAAATTAATAGACAAGGGAAGGATAAAAAACTGTAGTATCATCTTCAGAATTAAATGATTTGAAGAGCTGATTAATGTAGCTATTACACGTTCTTGTATAAGAAATATTTTTAGACTTCATCATATGTCAAAATAGGGAGATGCTGGTCTTTAATCATCTACTACACATTTTGGCTGCCATAGCGGCAAGAAATGAACTGTTATCGGTTAGTGTGATAGACCAGCGTTATCTCAAAATACATTTTTTAAATGTGAATTAGAAGTAGTAGATGGTGTAGTTTCTACTTTTGTACAGTCAAACTTCTAAAAGTGTTTTGTGAATTTTTTTGGTATGAGATCAATGTCTTTAATTTCTGTTGCCTTGAAGAAACCTTTCATTAGTGTCTGCAATTTATTTTTATTCTTCGTCCAAGACCTTGGGATGTAGTCGTCACTGGACAATAACAATGATCAAACATGAATGTCATTGTATTGCGTTAACCTAATTCTCTCTCTTTTTTCCATCTATTCACCTTACCTACGTTCCTTAAATTTTTGATTTGATTTTCAGCCACAAAATTATAGATTTGAGGTTTAAGATAAAGCAAGACATTGGGATTAAATGAAGAATTCTTCAGATTTTTCAGTTTTATAATGTGTGCTGGAGAATTATCAAGCCCACGAAGAACTGTGCACAATATTCTGTTCCAATGATCCCTCTCAAGCTATGGGTTTCTTTACCTTCATTCCATAATTGAAAGTATTTCCTGGAAGACCCTTTAGGATTGAGGCATGCTCAGGAAATTTCTGCATTAGGTCCATATTGTGTTCACAGATTTGCTATGGTGCTCATAAAATCCCACGGAATGAATGGGACTTGTCAATTCTGTATAATGGGGTGTGTCAATTCTGGATAGCTTTGTGGGTTTCAAGATGCTTTTGGAGGGTTTTTGCTTACATGGAGTTGGCCATTTTCTTAAATGGTAAATAATTTGTGGTATATGTGGTCAGATCTGTTTTTTCTCCACCTCACCTCTTTAAGTTCATATTGGGTAATTTGACCTGTAACTTAGTAATAATGCTCTACTTTTCTGTTACCCTTGAGGATTTATAATGGCATTCATGAAATAGTTTTCTGTTTCTACTTTATCATCATTCACTCAGGAAAAAATTAAAACCCTCTTTTGTTAAAATAGTTAAAGAGCAAACAAGCAAACAAACAAACAATAAACCATTCTTCATTCTATATCCAATGCACATGCATTGGATAACATATAGAATAAGAAGCACTGTGCTAGTATGAGAATGATATAAGGCACAGTTCCTGACCATTCGCAGTTTAAAAGAAACGTTAGGAAATTTTTTCTTTGATTTTTATTTAAATTTTATTATAAGTTATTTAACTTTTGTGACATAATAACATAGTCCATCATGAGAATACAACATATTTCCCAAGTATTAGGTTAAATTGGAGAACATTACAGAATTTGAAGATGTTGTTTGGACTTTGGCATGCTCATTAGTTTGAACCTAAGATAGAATGTGAGTTATGTTGTATTTCCTGGCCAGCAGTTTTAAAAATATTTTAAATTGAACATCTTTGGTTGAGGAATGCAGTCTCCGGTTTTGCAGGCTTTACCACTTCCAGCTCTCTTGTGCACTTCCTGGCTTTTAATTCCTGCCTTGTCCTGTAGCATTTGAGGTTGTTACTCCAGTTTACACTAAAAATGTCAATGAAAATTACAGAGTTATAGAATTTTCTGCTTAAAAGTTATCAATGACCTTGTCATTGTAAAGTAAATTAGTAGTGAATGGAGCAATTATATTCTTCAAGGCTAATGCAATCAGATGTATCAGTATAGCTCTACCAGCAGGTTATGCAATGCTCATTCTGATTAGACATTGCATTCATTCTGATGGTTGGTGCCCATGCTGCCTCTACAGTTGTTACATATTTTGAATATCAACACTGATTAACGTAATTCCCAGCATGGAGTTTTGTGTGTGTGTGTGTGTATGTGTGTGGTGTGGTGTGTGTTTTTCATTTTCATCTATTGCAAGCACCTTGCCCATGACGTTTTCTATGACACAGAGCCCTTCAACATCAGTAGGCTCCTTGTTTAACTTTGACTGCTTCCTGCACTAACAAATGACTTTTTGTTCAAGGATGACAAGAGATCAATTAAGGAGAAAGAAGAATGTTAATCCAACATGGAAAAGGCCCACCCTAATTGAAGAATGGTGAACAGGATTCTGGTCAATGAATTATAGCCTCATTTTAAAATTCACTCATCCATTTGATAATTAATTATAATGGCATCTTACATAATCATCAGAGGCTTTCTCTGAAAAATACATGGAGGTAAATGAACCTTTACTTCAAGCTTGACATCTATCTTTGACTCACTGTTGAAGAACACATTATAAGGAAAGCAACAGACAGGATGCCTGATCATTCAAGTTTGGTGAAGAAGCCAGAAAGATTAATAACACTGCTGTGTAATGAAATAATATCAAAACATGAAACACTGAGAAGAGCTCTTTAATCCTGTGGATTTAGAAATATTTCATTTTCATTTTTGTGATTAGACAAATATTCTCATCTGAGTATGATTTCTAACTTTAGTAAAAGTAGAGGGAATGGATTAATAGAATTTTTTGTTACCAGAATAAATTTGTTGTTCGAGTTACTGCTTCACTTGGTTAAAGTTCATGAATAAATTGTGACAATGGAGGATTTCACTCTCAGAATGTAAAGTTGACCCATAAATGGGAGTCAGGAGCTGATCCAAGGGAGTATCCAGACAAGCTTAACCATCTATAGGAATAGTTATTGCGTCCTTTGAAGTCAGTCCCCATTGCTTACAGAGCTTCATGTACTAATAGAAGCTCCCTGGGGCATACAGGACTCTTTGTGGTTACTTATCATTAGTTAGACTCAGGGAACTAAAATACTGCAGACCTCCCTAAGATGTGCTACCAAAAATTAAGTCGTAGTCCTAATAAGGAGTTTAGAGGGTGCTCCAAATATTCTAATCATGGCAGCTTCCTCTTTCAACCTCCCTAAAGAAAACTGTTTAGGCAAACTGAAGCACTCACTTTTCTCAGTATTTGAATAAGACTCTTTCTTATTGGATTATGGATGTTAATATCCAGAATTCAAAATGGGAACATCCAGTTTGCTACTTTTCCTGTAGTAATGAATCTGTTTCAAGCAGAGGCCAATGGTCTTCATCTAGGAGTCATGGGAATAGCTCTGATAGTGAGCAATTTCACTGGACTGGACCTGTCGTAGTGGGTCATGGTCCTAACATTCATTCAAATATGGGAGAGTTGTGTTGGATCTCCAGCAAGCTCCAGACCAGCAGGATGGGCCCTTTGGTGCAGTTCCTCTCCTCTCACAGGTTTTGATCTTCTTGGACTATCTTTTTTCTACTTCAGTCACCAGAAGTGGGAAATTTATTTTTTATCAGCTCATTAACTTCTGACTCCTTAGCAAGATAAAATACAGTCACACTTGAAATAAACACATTTTTATTGTCAGCAATTGTTGACAAATACAAGCTTATGCTTGTTTTCTTAAAACAATATATTCAATGCTAAAATCAACTTGACAACTGAAAACTCCCATCTCTTCTTTCCCTAAGGCAAGATATTTGCAAACAAACATTTGTTACATAAATGTACTTGACAACTAGCAACTCCCATTTCCTCTGTTCTGAAAGCAAAGCACAATAATCACAACAAAAGTTGTCAAGAAAATCCCCATACATTCATTTGAGGTCTAAGCATTGCCTTGCATGCTAGAGGCAGATTGGATCAGCAGAATAAGGGAAGAAGGAAATGGGTGCAAAGGACTGGGGTTTTTCTGTTCTTTGAAATATTAAAAAAATTCTTGACAACCCGGAATTATCCTTTGATCATTTATTTTTCTTTGTAGTTCTTTCCTTGTAACATTAATTATCTTTGCTGCTGCCTGTGTCTCTTACCTTTTTAATGTGATATCTTAATATTTAGTGTTGAGATAGGCTTTTGGAGAGATGGTTCCAAGCTTCAGCTATAAAATTATCATTCAAAGTATAGTGAATCATGTGGTTAAATCCCAAGGCATTAAATAGAAAATGGATTAATGATATAAAAGAAACCAAAAGATGAAAAACCTGACCAATGGCTTTTATTGACAATAAATATGAATGATTTCCTTTATTTTATTCTTTACTTAAAAAGATCATAATTATTTAAAATATAGACATATATATTTAAGATAGATATATTTATGAACCTAGTAATTTAAGAGAGATATACAGACTTATACTGTATAGTGAAGTACAAGTAAAAAACTCATGTAGTCCAAATCTGGGACTTCTAAAATGTGTTAAAATGTTGGTTCCTCTTTTGCAGAGTTTTGTGCTATCATCACCAGAGCCAGCAATTCAACCTAAATTCTGAGTGTAATGGAAGCCGTTAATCACTATCAAGTTCATCATTTTTTTTTCATGGCAAGTAATATTCATATCAGTGATTGCTATTCCACTAAGAAATTCTAAATGTTTCATAAAAATGAAACACCACATAATAAGAGACTAAATCATATGAAACAAAATTTTGACTTTTGAATGTATCACTCAAGGCCAATGGATGATAATTTCTCTTTATGATTCTACAGGTAGCTCATTTATTTCTTTTCTCATATATTTGACTTATTATAGGGCCCTGCAGCCCTTTCTGAGCATCATTAACTATATTTGTCGAATCATTAATCTAAAAATTAAAAGCTATTTAATACTTTTGTTTCATCTGCTTAACTAATTACACAGAAATAAACCAATTTTTCTATTACTTTTCTCGGTGCCTTCTGCATTTATACAGCCTTAATGCATTGTGCATATGTATAGGTCTTTCTCTTAACCCAAACCCCTGCTGTTGTTCTTTCTGCACACATGTTAATGACTCATGATCACTATGACCTCACTAATCTTTTACATCTTCTACTCTAATGACCTTGATCAATTCATTCACTATACAGAGCTTGTTGTCATTTGGCTTTGACTTACCAAACTTCAAAGTTTCATCCCTGACTACTCTTCTATTCTCATTTTCTTCCTCTTCTTCCTTAAGTGCATGATGACATCATTTCCTCCACCTCTCTGAATATTTTCAAGATATTTCTTTCCATCATTGCTTGCTCCTCTCTATATATTCCGAACCCAGTGGGCAGATACTCTACAGTTATGCTCATTAATCATAAAAATCACAAATATATAGTTTCAGCTTAAACATCTCTCCTGGGCCACAAACATATTTTTCCAGCATGTTTTCTCAAATACACTTCCAAATAAAAATCCTTAATACATCTTCCCCATCTTGTGTTCTTTATTCTACTTAAAGCCATTCAGAATACAAATCTTGTCATCTCTATTTCTCTCCTTTCTCATAATTTTATTCAATCATCAAGACTTGCTATCTCACTTTCTATGACTATATCAAGCTTATATCCTTATTAAAAAAACATCCTACAGCATTGCCTAGTTAAGTACCTCACAATCTCTCACCTGAAAAATTGCAACAGCTTTTTAGAATAGTCTCCTTTTTTCCCTTTTCTCCCTACTGTAGTGAATCTCTCCAGTCCGATTTTATCCTTTCTGTGTTTAAAATCCTTTATTAATTCCATACTGCATGCAGAATGTTGTCTAAACTTTGACTCTAACATTAAAGCACATTGACTATAAATCCTACTCCATTTTCCAGAGTTTTTATCTCAATTTTTCTACTCCTAAAGTTTACATTCTAGTCAAACCAAACTACTTTTCCCTTTTTCTGTCTTTCATTAAAATAAATTATCATGATAGTATAACTTTGAAAAGCTTTGGAGTTTTATTTTATCTTATTTTAGATTCAGGGAGTACATGTGCAGTTTTGTCACGTGGGTATATTGTGTGACGCTGAGGTTTGAACTTCTAATGATTCCCTTACACAAGTAGTGAACATAATATCTGATAGGTAGTTTTCCAAGCCTTGGCCCCCACCTTCTTTTCCCCTGAAATGCTTTTCACCTCTTACATAAATTCTGTGATTTTGACTGTGCTTTGTTTGCCAATTTTTTTTTTCTTATGCTGGAATATCCTTCTCCATTCATCATCACTTAACAAAAAATTCTTACCACCTTGTTAAACTCCATTGATATTCTACCTTTTCATAGTGCTTTACTCAGTGCTTCTAGGCAGAAATAAAATCTCCTTCATCTATGTCCCTGAATATTCTACTTACCCTCTGCTCCCCCCGGCCCTTTTCTTAAAAAAAAAGAACAGATGTCACATTTTACTATACTTTTTATGGATCCCAGATTAAACCCAATTGAACTGATATTTATTGTGCATATAATATATGTCAGGCACTGTTTTGGAAAGAAGACTATCAGCGAATAATACAAAAATCCCTGCCCTTCTGGGTAGGGAAGACAGACAATGAGTAATACTTATGATAAATAAGTTAATGATATAGTAAGTTAGAAGATGATAAATGTTATGGAAAAGAGGACACATGAGAGCAGGGCAAAGGGAATCAAGTTCTGGGGTGATATTCAGGTTACAGGTTGAATTTGGAATAGAATGGATGGGGTATGCCTCACTGAGGAGATAATTTGAACAAAATCATGAATAAGGTGAGGGGAATAGCCATGTGCAGATCTGGGGAATGACCTTTTAGAGATGGAGGACAAACTGTGCAAAACCCTAGTCTTGAGTACACTTTGCTTATAAAAAGGGGGATAAAACTAGGAGATGAAGCCAGAGAGTTAGCAGGGGTTATATCAGGCCTTGTAGGTCATCAGGAACTTTGGCTTTTGCTTTGAATGAAATGGAGAGCTATTGGATAGTTTTGAGCAGAGAGATGATAGTTATTATCTCACTTACTTTTTATAAGAAGTATCCTGGCTGTTGGGTTGAGAATAGACAGTAAGGGAGCAAAGAGGAAAACAGAAATCCATGCTAGGACAGATGTTGAATGGAACTAGAGTGGTAGCAGTGGATGAAGTCAGATATAGTCAGTTTCTGGTTATGTTGTGAGGGCAGAGCCAATGGATTTGCTGGTATTTTGAATGTGCGGTGTAAAGGAAAGGAAGAAATTAAAGATCATGCTAAAGATTATGACCTGAGCAACTCTAAGTATGGAATTGCCTTTATCAGAAAAAGGAAAAATAGGGGATAGAGCAAGTTTGGAGGGTAAAATTGGCCGTACAGTTTTGGACATGGTAGCTTTAGACAACCAAGTGAAGATGTTAAGAGGATTGCTGAATATACTAGCCTGGAATTCAAGAGGGAGATCTGAGATATATATACATACATACAAATACATACATACATACATACATACATATGTTTATGTGTATGCACACGCACACATAATTTACAGCCATGAAACTAAGTAAAATCACCAAGAATATGAGTGTTTATAGAGAAGAGACCTTAGGGCTCTTCTACATTAAGAGATCAGTGAGAAGAAAAAGAATTCTTACAGGAAATGGAGAAAAATGATCAGTGATGTTGGGGGAAAACCAAGAGAGAATGGTGTCTTGGATGCAAATGATGTAAGTACATTAAGAAAGAGAAGTTATTCACTCCATCAAGTGTGGCAGAGAGATGATATTTGATGAAGAGTAGCAATGAGCGCTGGATTTACTAACATGGAGGTCATAGGGAAAATGGGGTAGAGTAGCCATGAGAACAAGAATCATCTCCAAGTCCAATACTATAATGACCGTGGGAAGAAAGGAAAATCTAATGCTTGCAAGACTGGGAAGGGAAAAAGTATTTTGAGAGGATAATCAGATGTTTATTAGAGCCAAGAACTGAGGCAAACATTCAGAAATTTTCAGATAGGGAATTTTGATAATGATGGATGATGAATTTCACAGGGCATAGTGAAAGAGTTTTAGAAGTTAAGAAGGGTATTGAGGAAAGAATTAGGGGATCCGATTTGCATTGTTGGAATAAAACAATTGTGACAAGAGTGTGAATTTGGGAGATAGGGAGTGATTGAATTTTGGGATTCCCTGTTGGATGGTCAAGAGGATTTGACATAATCTTGAGATGTGGTCTCTGTCTCATTATACAGTCTTCCTCTTGACCTCGGATATAGGAGGGAGAAGGCCAACAGGAGCATGATCTCAATTCATTTTGTTGAGGAATGGAGCTTACACCACATGTGGAGGCGCCACCTTAACACTTTTGATTAGACTGGCAGCTCTGGGGAAGCTGAGCATCCCACTGTGCTGGCCGCGTTTAACTCCTGGCGACAGCTGTAAAAGGCCTCGGGGTGTGTGGTCAGAATAAACAGTGACCACCTATGCTGCATTCAGCCAAGTGTAGCCCACCGATTAGACGATGGGACAGCATGCACTGTTTGCATGCACCCTGAGGTTCCTCTTTGGAGAACACTCATGCCGAGGAAAGAAGGAGTCAGGTAAAATCAGCTAGGTGCCATAGCAAAGCAGGGTGCTGGAGGAATGGGTTATAAATAAAAATGAAAAGAACCATGTTCGCTGTGTGAGATCACAGTGCTTGTCAGAAGCTAAATAATACCAGTATCACCTGGGAGGAACAGAATAGAGCACCTGGGAGACACCATTGCAGAAATATTTGTGTGGATTCAGGGTGAGGTGGAAGGCTATGCTTCAGCAATCAGGTAAAAGTTAGGAAAATTAGAGTTATTTCTGTTAATATGAACTCTATTTATTATCACTACACTAGTGAGGGCTGGATACATTTGGATTACATAGTAATGAAGGCACATGTTTCATGTGCCTGCTGGACTGTAGACTTGAATGGAAAAGGCTATGCCAATATCCTCCACAGCATACAGTTTAACAAATTTGTTGACTTGTCTATATAAACTGGTTATAATAACTTCTACTTCTAATGCTGAGATGTGATGTTGCAGGTGCTTTGTCAGTGTTCAGACATCTCCCATAACAATTTTGAATCAGAAGGGAAGAAGAAAAG
The DNA here is from genome assembly GCF_000001405.40 of Homo sapiens. Lineage (NCBI taxonomy): Eukaryota > Metazoa > Chordata > Mammalia > Primates > Hominidae > Homo > Homo sapiens. The sequence continues at coordinate 119,982,297 of NC_000005.10, forward strand.
AAAACCAAGTTATGTTTATGGGATAAGCAGCCTTACAGGCTAATTCAATTTCTATAAAAAAGAAAGATCCTGGTTAGACAAGAAATTCAAAATAAATGGTTACAGAATATGCTTGTTTCACATCTTAAACAGCGTTTTCCAGTATAATGTGACAGTTATGAACATGAGGTAAATAATGATTGAAGAGTTTTGACTTAAATTTCCACATACCAGAGAAAAATGGTTGATTTCCTTATGAATTTCATCCGGAGAGGCTCAATACACAGTGACCATGGTCAGATGGGGCAAAGAGATTGGAGTAAATTAATAAGGAAATCAAATAAATATGAATGAGAAAGAAGAAAATGCATAAGGTTATGACACTTAAGTTAGAAATTTGAAGAAATAAAAAAGAGAGAGAATCTAAGGATAGCGAAAAATGGAGCAAGTAGAGACTTTCCCTGCAGGACTTAAATTTTACCTTCTCTAAGGGCCTCCTTTGACCATTTTATCTAAACATGTCCCCATTTTATTTTCTAGTGGCTCAGACTATAGCTTTGCACCTTATGTTTGTTTACTTGTTTGTGGTCTATCTCCTTCACTAAATGGAAAGTTTTATCAGGGCAGAAGCCACAGTGTATTTTATCATTGTGTCCTTTACACAATGCCTAGTACATAGTAGGCACAAATAATGGTTGGAATAAATAAAGAAATAAAGAAACGAAAGAAAGGATAGAAAGAATATATATTTCAATTTCATGATTTTTCATACTGGCGGTGAATCAGTAACAAAGATAATTCTCAAAGGTAATTTGCTCAAATACTGTTGTGACTCTGTGCCAGGAATAAACACCAATAGTCTTGGCATAACCTGAGAATTTCTGGTAGGCTTTTAGGGAGAAATTCACACTTATCTATAGCACCTGGGTATGGGAGATGATCTGAGACCCTGTTGGGTATATCAGACAGAGATATAACCCTGGGTTACATAAATAACCTTAATGATAGAGTCCTGGTGACACAAAAGGCTCTGTAGTGTAGGAAATAAGGTAGAAAATAAATTTTATTTAAAATAGATAATTGGTAAATTATACTAGTCTAAATTCTCCCAAGCACCCCCAAAAGTCACAACTTCTAGATAAGTGAGTTTGCAAAAATCACTCTTGTATAATGTTATTGCTTTAACATGGCATGATTGTTTTAATTATGGGATTGCATGTTTCATGGGTCAATGTCATCCTCACCATGAACTATGAAAGCCTGTATGCTACATATCTGCATCCGAGGGAGGTGAACAGTGTGTGGGAAGTAAGTTGTCAGATCAGGTCTTTTTCCTTCTTCAGTTGGCTCTAGTAGTTTAAACAGGTGAGAATGCACAGGGCTCAGCCACGAGCTCTACACATTGTACGTGTCTCCTCATGTTGTATCACCATCCTCCCCTTCCTTTGGATTTGTGTTTCTGCTCTGCAATTTAAGAGAAGTAAATATCCTAGACTCTGCATTCAGTGACCTTGATTGAAAACTCAGCTAGGGTGACTATAAGCTGCTGCTTGCTGGTTTATAACTCTTCTTTTGGCATACTTAGCAATGATTCCCTTGTTCAGTCTCAAGAGTGTTCTGCACTAGAGTATAAATTAGCACTAATAGGAAGTTGTTCCTCAAGAGACTGTTCTGGTTTCCAAAATCTGGAACAGAATCACCAACTAAATACCACCAGAATTTAATCCTGGTAGGCCCTGACAAAGTATGCAAAAAGGACCCAGGAATATCAAGGCAGGTCACCAGCAATCATTTTTGGTAAAGCTTTTTAAGCAGATTTGTAAATATTCATGACAGAGGATTGCTCTGACTGCTCTTACGTACCAGAGAGGGTGGAAGCCAAGACTTATGGGTAATGCAAGTGGACAATTACTAGGAGGAGTTAGAGGTTTCTTGACACTCTTGGAGATAACTCTTCATAATCTCCACATTTGTAAATATAATCATGCCATATATATCTCTCTAATAAAAAAAAGGGAATGTTCAAGTAGTTTTTGAAGTTTAATATTAGATTTCTGCTAGCAAAACACACCTTACAGTGTCTTAGATTTCTTCATTTTTATAATATTAACCTTTAACCTCCTTAAATATACAAGATGAAAGCAGGGCTGATGAGTGACAGGGCAGTTGCTCTGGAGCACATGGGACACATGTGAGTGTTTGAGAAGACATTTCCCTCCAACAGATATGGGGCACTGGTTCTGGGCCACACCCATCATCTTCAATTAGTTTTCTCAGATTGAAAAAAAACAATTCTGCAGAAATGTGATTATTACATTCTACTTTTCCAGTCAACTTCATATTATATGCAACACAAGTATTTCTTTTTTCTTTCTCATTACCTGTGTTAACGGTTAGTTTGCCTATGTTTGCCTCGTGAAAAGAATTTGTATAGGCACCTGGCTTTCTAAAGATTCACATTTTTTACTAAAGGCACATGTGACCTGTGTATATTTTCACATCATAAATTAGGCAGATTTTACCTTTCATCAAAATTTTCGTTCTTGATGAGTAAGTAGGGCACTGGCAGAATAATTTTATGAATCGTTTTCATTTGTTTGTTTTCAGCTGAAACAAATATAGATAGTAAGCTTCAAAGGAGCAAGAATCATGCCTATTTTGTTCTATATTTAGACTTAGCACCCATTACAATACCTTGCACATGATGGGTGCACAGTTAATATTTATTCAATGAATCAAGTGTCTGGTGGTTCTAAAAATCAGATCTAAGCCATAGTCATTTCCTGGACTGCAGCCTTTGATACTTCACATTTTTTAACTTTTATTTTTTAAATAAGAATGATATTTCCTTAAACCATTTCACAAGAGTTACTTTCTTTTCTCATTTTTAAAAATTATACTTTAAGTTCTGGGTTACACATGCAGAATGTGCAGTTTTGTTACACAGGTATACATGTGCCATGGTGGTTTGCTGCACTCACCAACCCGTCACCTACATTAGATATTTCTCCTAATGTTATCCCTTCCCTAGCCCCCTACCCCCTGCAGGCCCCGGTGTGTGATGTCCCGCTCCCTGTGTCCATGTGTTCTCATTGTTCAACTCCCACGAATGAGTGAGAACATGCAGTATTTGGTTTTCCGATCTTGTGATAGTTTGCTGAGAATGATGGTTTCCAGCTTCATCCATGTCCCTGCAAAGGATGTGAACTCATCCTTCTTTATGGCTGCATAGTATTCCATGGTGTATATGTGACACATTTTCTTAATCCAGTCTATCACTGATGGACGTTTGGGTTGGTTGCAAGTCGCTGCTGTTGTGAATAGTGCCGCAGTAAACATACGTGTGCATGTGTCTTTATCGTAGAATGATTTATAATCCTTTGGGTATTTGTCCAGTAATGGGATTGCTAGGTCAAATGATATTTCTAGTTCTAGATCCTTGAGGAATCGCCACACTGTCTTCCGCAATGGTTGAACTAATTTACACTCCCACCAACAGTGTAAAAGTGTTCCTATTTCTCCACAACCTCTCCCACATCTGTTGTTTCCTGACTTTTTAATGATCGCCATTCTAACTGGCGTGAGATGGTATCTCATTGTGGTTTTGATTTGCATTTCTCTAATGCCCAGTGATGATGAGCATTTTTTCATATGTCTGTTGGCTGCATAACTGTCTTTTGAGAAGTGTCTGTTCATATCCTTTGCTTATTTTTTGATGGGGTTGTTTGCTTTATTCTTGTAAATTTGTTTAAGTTCTTTGTAGATTCTTGATATTAGCCCTTTGTCAGATGGAGAGATTGCAAAAACTTTCCCCCATTCTGTAGGTTGCCTCTTCACTCTGATGATAGTTTCTTTTACTGTGCAAAAGTGCTTTAGTTCAATTAGATCCCATTTGTCAATTTTGGCTTTTGTTGCCATTGCTTTTGGTGTTTTAGACATGAAGCTTTTGCCCAGGCCTATGTCCTGAATGGTATTTCCCAGGTTTTCTTCTAGAATTTTTATGGTCCTAGGTCTTAAGTTTAAGTCTTTGATCCATCTTGAGTTGATTTTTGTATAAAGTGTAAGGAAGGGGTCCAGTTTCAGTTTTCTGCATATGGCTAACCAGTTTTCCCAACACCATTTATTAAATAGGGAATCTTTTCCCCATTGCTTGTGTGTGTCAGGTTTGTCAAAGATCAGATGTTGGTAGATGTGTGGTGTTATTTCTGAGGCCTCTGTTCTGTTCCCTTGGTCTATATACCTGTTTTGGTACCAGTACCATGCTGTTTTGGTTACTGTAGCCTTGTAGTATAGTCTGAAATCAGGTAGTGTGATGCCTCCAACTTTGTTCTTCTTGCCCAGTATTATCTTGGCTATGCAGGTTCTTTTTTGGTTCCATATAAAGTTTAAAGTAGTTTTTTCTAATTCTGTGAAGAAACTGAGTGGTAGCTTGATGGGGATAGCATTGAATCTATAAATTACTTTGGGCAGTAAGGCCATTTTCACGATATTGATTCTTCATATCCATGTAGTGGCGGGACCAGCCCCCAATATTTCAACGTAGGTTCTTTTCTATTTTCCCTAAGTGTTGGCTGGTCTGAGAAATAAAGAGAAAGAGTACAAAGAGAGAAATTTTACAGCTGGGTCTCTGGGGGTGACATCACATGTCGGCAGCTTCCATGATGCCCACCTGAGCCACAAAACCAGCAAGTTTTATTAGGGATTTCAAAAGGTGAGGGGTGTAAGAATAGGGAGTGGGTCACAGAGATCACATGCTTCATAGGGCAATAAAAGATCTCAACGCAAGGGGGCAGAGCAAGATCACAAGGCGAAGGTGAAATTAGAATTACAGATGAAGGTCCATGTCCTGCTGGGCACACATTGTCATTGATAAACATCTTAACAGGAAACAGGGTTCGAGAGCAGACAACCGGTCTGACTAGAATTCGCCAGGCTGGAATTTCCTAATCCTAGAAAGCCTGAGGGCGCTGCAGGAGACCAGGGCGTATTTCATCCCTTATCTTTAACTGCATAAGACAGACACTCCCAGAGCGGCCATTTTAGATACCTCCCCCTGGGAATGCATTCCTTTCCCAGGGCTATTCCTTGCTGAGAAAAGAATTCAGTGATATTTCTTCTATTTGCTTTCTGTAAGAAAAGAAATATGACTCTGTTCTGCCTGGCCCTGCAGGCAGTCAGACCTTGTGGTTATCTCCCTTGTTCCCTGAAAATCACTGTTATCCTGCTCCTTTTTTAGGATGCCCAGATTTCATATTGTTCAAACACACATGTTTTACAAACAATTTGTACAGATAACGCAATCATCACAGGGTCTTGAGGCAACATACATCCTCAGCTTATGAAGATGACAGGATTAAGGGATTAAAGACAGGCATAGGAAATTATAAAAGTATTAATTTGGGGAACTAATAAATGTCCATGAAATCTTTACAATTTATGTTCTTCTGCTGTGGCTTCAGCCAGTCCCTCTGTTTGGGCTCCCTGACTGCCCACAACACCATGAGCATGGAATGTTTTTCCATTTGTTTGTGTCCTCTCTTATTTCCTAGAGTAGTAGTTTGTAGTTCTCCTTGAAGAGGTCCTTCACATCCCTTGCAAGTTGTATTTCTAGGTGTTTTATTCTCTTAGTAGCAGTCGTGAATGGGAGTTCACTCACGATTTGGCTCTCTGTTTGTCTGTTATTAGTGTATAGGAATGCTTGTGATTTTTGCACACTGATTTTGTATCCTGCAACTTTGCTGAAGTTGCTTATCAGCTAAAGGAGATTTGGGTCTGAGACGATGGGGTTTTCTAAATATACAATCATGTCATCAGCAAACAGAGACAATTTGACTACCTTTCTTCCTATTTGAATATCCTGTATTGCTTTCTCTTGCCTGATTGCCCTAGCCAGAACTTCCAATCCTATGTTGAATAGGAGTGGTGAAAGAGGGCATCCTTGTCTTGTGCCAGTTTTCAAAGGGAATGCTTCCTGTTTTTGCCCATTCAGTATGATATTGGCTGTATGTTTGTCATAAATAGCTCTTATTATTTTGAGATACATGATACATTGCATTGATACCTAGTTTATTGAGAGTTTTTAGCATGAAGTGCTGTTGAATTTTGTTGAAGGCCTTTTCTGCATCTATTGAGATAATCATGTGGTTTTTGTCATTGGATCTCCTTATATGATGGATTACATTTATTGATTTGCATATGTTGCACCAGGCTTGCATCCCAGGGATGAAGCCGACTTGATCGTGGTGGATAAGCTTTTTGATGTGCTGCTGGATTCGGTTTGCCAGTATTTTATTGAGGATTTTCACATAGATGTTCATCAGGGATATTGGACTAAAATTCTCTTTTTTTAAATGTCTCTGCCAGGCTTTGGCATCAGGAGGATGCCGGCCTCATAAAATGAGTTAGGCAGGATTCCCTCTTTTTCTATTGATCGAAATAGTTTCAGAAGGAATGGTTCCAGCTCCTCTTTGTATCTCTGGTAGAATTCGGCTGTGAATCTGTCTGGTCCTGGACTTTTTTTGATTGGTAGGCTATTAATTATTGCCTCAATTTCAGAACTTATTATTGGACTATTCAGAGATTCAACTTCTTCCTGGTTTAGTCTTAGGAGGGTGTATGTGTCCAGGTTGTATCCATTTCTTCTAGATTTTCTAGTTTACTTGCTTATAGTATTTTCTGATGGTAGTTTGTATTTCTGTGGGATCAGTGGTGATATCCCCTTTATCATTTTTTATTGCATTAATTTGATTCTTCTCTCTTTCCTTCTTTATTAGTCTTGCTAGCAGTCTATCAATTTTGTGGATCTTTTCAAAAACCAGCTCCTGGATTCATTGATTTTTAGAAGGGTTTTTTGTGTCTCTATTTCCTTCAGTTTTGCTCTGATCTTAGTTATTTCTTGTCTTCTGCTAGCTTTTGAATTTGTTTGCTCTTGTTTCTCTAGTTCTTTTAATTGTGATGTTAGGGTGTTGATTTTAGATCTCTCCTGCTTTCTCTTGTGTGCATTTAGTGTTATAATTTCCGTCTGCACACTGCTTTAAATGAGTCACAGAGATTCTGATATGTTGTGTCTTTGTTCTCATTGGTTTCAAAGAACATCTTTATTTCTGCCTTCATTTTATTATTCACTCAGTAGTCATTTAGGAGCCTGTTGTTCAGTTTCTACGTAGTTATATGGTTTTGAGTGAGTTTCTTAATCCTGAGTTCTAATTTAATTGCACTGTGGTCTGAGAGACAGTTTGCTGTGATTCCTGTTCTTTTGTATTTGCTGAGGAGTGTTTTATTTCCAATTACGTGGTCAATTTTAGAATAAGTGCAATGTGGTGCTGAGAAGAATATATATTCTGTTGATTTGGGGTGGAGAGTTCTGTAGATGTCTATTAGGTCTACTTGGTCCAGAGCTGAGTTCAAGTCCTGGATATCCTTGTTAACCTTCTGTCTTGTTGATCTGTCTAAAATTGAGAGTGGGGTGTTAAAGTCTCCCATTATTACTGTGTGGGAGTCTAAGTCTCTTTGTAGGTCTCTAAGGACTTGCTGTATGAATCTGGGTGCTCCTGTATTGGATGCATATATATTTAGGATAGTTAGCTCTTCTTGTCGAATTGGTCCCTTTACCATTATGTAATGGCCTTCTTTGTCTCTTTTGATCTTTGTTGGTTTAAAGTCTGTTTTACCAGAGACCAGGATTGCTACCCCTGCTTTTTTTTTTTTTTGCTTTCCATTTGCTTGGTAAATCTTCCTCCATCCCTTTATTTTGAGCGTATGTCTGTCTTTGCATGTGAGATGGGTCTCCTGAATATAGCACACTGATGGGTCTTGACTCTTTATCCATTTTACCAGTCTGTGTCTTTTAATTGTGGCATTTAGCCCATTTACATTTAAGGTTAATATTGTTATGTGTGAATTTGATCTTGTTATTATGATGCTAGCTGGTTATTTCACCTGTTAATTGATGCAGTTTCTTCATAGCATTGATAGTCTTTACAATTTGGCATGTTTTTGCAGTGGCTAGTACCAGTTGTTCCTTTCCATGTTTAGTACGTCCTTCAGGAGCCCTTGTATGGCAGGCCTGGTGGTGACAAAATCTCTCCGCATTTTCTTGTCTGTAAAGGATTTTATTACTCCTTCCCTTATGAAGCTAGTTTGGCAGGATATGATATTCTGGGTTGAAAATTGTTTTCTTTAAGAATGTTGAATATTGGCCCCCCTCTCTTCTGGATTTCGGGTTTCTCCTGAGACATCTGCCGTCAGTCTGTTGGGCATCGCTTTGTGGGTAACCCAACCTTTCTCTCTGGCTGCCCTTAACATTTTTTCCTTCATTTCAACCTTGGCGAATCTGACAATTATATGTCTTGGGGTTGCTCTCCTTGAGGAGTATCTTTGTGGTGGTCTCTGTATTTTCTGAAGTCGAATTTTGGCCTGCCTTGCTAAGTTGGAGAAGTTCTCCTGTATAATATCCTGAACAGTGTTTACTAACTTGGTTCCATTCTCCCCATCACTTTCAGGTACACCAATCAAACATAGATTTGGTCTTTTCACATTGGAGGCTTTGTTTGTTTCTTTTCACTCTTTTTTTCTATAATCTTGTCTTCTCACTTTATTTCATTAATTTGATCTTCAATCACTGATATCCTTTCTTCTGCTTGATCGAATTGGCTATTGAAGCTTGTATGTGCTTCACAAAGTTCTTGTACTGTGTTTTTCAGCTTCATCAGGTCATTTAAGCTCTTCTCTACGCTGGTTATTCTAGTTAGCCATTCATCTAAACTTTTATCAAGGTTTTTAGCTTCCTCGCTGTGGATTAGAACATGCTCCTTTAGCTCAGAGAAGTTTGTTATTACCGACCTTCTGTAGCCTACTTCTGTCAACTTGTCAAACTCATTCACCATCCAGTTTTGTTCCCTTGCTGGTGAAGAGTTGTATTCCTTTGGAGGAGAAGAGGCATTCTGGTTTTTGGCATTTTCAGCCTTTCTGCTCTGGTTTCTCCCCGTCTTTATGGTTTTATCTACCTTTGGTCTTTGATGTTGGTGACCTATGGATGGTGTTTTTGTGTGGATGTCCTTTTTGTTGATGTTGATGCTATTCCTTTCTGTTTGTTAGTTTTCTTTCTAACAGGCCTTTCAGCTGCAGGTCTGTTGGAGTTTGCTGGAGGTCCACTCCAGACCCTGTTTGCCTGAGTATCACCAGTGGAGGCTGCAGAACAGCAAATATTGCTGCCTGATCCTTCATCTGGAAGCTCAGTCCCAGAGGGGCACCTGCCTGTATGAGGTGTCTATTGGCCCCTACTGGGAGGTGTCTCCCAGTCAGGCTGCATGGGGGTCAGGGACCCACTTTGAGGAGGCAGTCTATCCGTTATCAGAGCTTGAATGCCATGCTGGGAGAACCACTGCTCTCTTCAGAGCTGTCAGGTGGGGACGTTTAAGTCTGGAGAAGCTGTCTGCTGCCTTTTGTTCAGATATGCCCTGCCCCAAGAGGTGGAAACTAGACAGGCAGTAGGCCTTGCTGAGCTGTGGTGGGCCCCACCCAGTTTGAGCTTCCCTGCCCCTCTGTTTATGCTGTGAGTATAGAACTGCCTACTCAAGCCTGAGCAATGGTGTATGCCCCTCCCCCCACCACACTCCAGCATCCCAGGTCGATCTCAGACTGCTGCTTTAGCAGCAAGCAAGGCTCCATGGGCATGGGACCTGCTTAGCCAGGCACGAGAGGGGTTCTCCTGGTCTGCCAGTTGCTAGGACTGTGGGAAAAGCTCAGTATTTGGGCAGAGTGTACAGTTTCTCCAGGTACAGTCACTCACGGCTTCCCTTGGCTAGGAAAGGGAAATCCCGTGACCTCTTGCACTTCCCAGGTGAGGCAATGCCCTGCCCTTCTTTGGCTCTCCCTCCGTGGGCTGCACCCACTGTCCAACCAGTCCCAATGAGATGAACCAGTTACCTCAGCTGGAAATGCAGAAATCACCAGTCTTCTCCATTGATCTTGCTGGGAGCTGTACACCAGAGCTGTTCCTATTTGGCTATCTTGGAAGTGACCTCTGACTATCTCACAAGAATTACTTTCTATTCCACCTATGGGTAAAGAAAAATCAAGATCACATGTGGATAAGGATATAGAATAATTTGTTCTCTCATTTGTTAGCTAATGTGATTCAAATTCTCGATTCAGCAAATCGTTACATTCCATAAACCTTCACAGTCATTCAGTAGTGAGAATTACTTTCAGGTTCATGAAACTTATGATGTAGCTATTTACTATGAATACTGGCAGAATGCTTCATTAGTGGTTTTTTGGCAGGAGTAGGAGAGTAACAGAAACAAACTGATGCTAATGTTACATGACAAAATTTAACTTTTGACAATTGCACCGAGATGCAATAGATGCTACACATAAAAGGTGCTATATTGAAATTTTTAAAAAAGTAAAATTAGTTTTTAGACACTTGGACCACACTCAGGGACCATGACCCATATCAATTGTATAAAAGGCTTAAGAGAAGAAAAAAGAAAAGAATTTTTAAACTGTTGTCCTGATTCCTGCTTCTCCTTGAGAAAGAGAAGATAAGGGTGGTGCTACCTCGATAGGACAACTCAGAAAACATGAGATGTATCTGCTGGACTAGGTGAGAGGCTGTTGCTATCAGCAGGTGGCAGTGGGGCAGAGAAAAATCACAGGACTGTTCTAGATGTACCCTCATACTTAGGGACAGTTGTGAAAAAAAACATGCTTCTGTGCACCAAGGGTGGGCCTCACAGAGAAAACAGACCTGGCAGGGCCATTTATAATTCTGTCCAAGAGAACCCCTTGGAGAACTTGAGTATTCCAAGGAGGAGTTTTATGAGGCATGGTTTATCATATTATAGAAATTGTAGCCAGAGGGACTTAGCATGAGGTGGAAGGGATTTCTCTGGAAAGTTCACAAAGTTTCTGATGAAGCATCTGAACATCTGTCACTTAGAGGGGCCCATTGAAGATGAAACCTGTATCAACCATGTGAGACTGCCCTTGACCCTAAGCCCTGCTCCTTTCCTGGATTCAACCCTGGGGAGGTCAGAAGCTGCAGTTAGCAGAGGGGGAGACATGCTAAGAAGAGAAAGAAAGTTGACGAAGCCCTTTTGTTTCTCCCCCTTTGCATTTGTGAGCAACAAACCTTCAGTAGTAGCCTGAGAGAGGAAATTTGCATTTGGACTATTATCTTGGGCTGGACAATTTTAATTAGATACAAGATGGCCTTTAGATTTTGGTGACTGGAGGTTATTTTAGACTTTAAATGAGAACAGAAAGCTTACAGGGCTTACTAGAGAAAGAATTTTATCTGAGGGCAAGAGACAAAATTTTCCTTTACTGAATACATTTTAGAAGCATAATAGGAGGCAAAAAAAATATGTTTTGATTATATCCCACAGGCCATGGTAGGTCAATTTTTCTGTTATTATAGTTTAGATTAAAAGGGGAATATACAAATGGTTTCTTATTGGAACTCAATGTCAGGAAACGTAGATGTGTCTTACACAGGAAGATTACCAAAAATTGGAAAGCTATTAATACATCATTTACTTTCTCTCAAATCATTTTTTATCTCTCTGCATCTCTGTTTTACCCTCCTTTCTCTGCAGATCAGCTTTCTCTGCTGTTCCATGTGATCACTACAGATAGATATATAGGTCATTTCAGTTCAGGTACCAAAGAAATTGATGAGTGTCTCCAAGTCCCATTCTAAATTTCTGTTAGGAGAGAATCTTCTGGGTCCATCTGGACTTATATGTCTACACCTTGTGGGTACAAGGGTGTGTGATTCCAACATGACTGTAGGCATCTACTATTGTGAGTGAGCAACAGGTTCTCTGAAAATGGGGCAGTTGCTGGTCAGAAATTCCACCTTTGTTTACTGCAAAAACATAATAATAAAAAGTCCACAGGAAGAATTCTGAGAGTTCAGATGTTGGCACTTTATTGGGATGTGAGTGTATTGGGTTTTGCAGATTAAAATATCTTAAGCAATATCAGTGGTTGATATACATATGATATTTTGCTTATGTATTATATATTATTTTCTGCTAATTAAACATCTTAATAAAATTTCCTGGGAAGTGTGCATATTTCAGATATGTCTTGGATTTCTGGGAAAGGAGAACACACCAACCAGTAATTATCTGAGAAAATTCACACGTATGTGCTTGAATTGATGCATACCCTTTTTTTTGTTGTTGTTTGTTATAATGACATGGTCTTGCTCTGTCACATGGACTGAGTGTAGTACTGTGACCATAGCTCACTATAGCCATAAATTCCTGGGCTTAAGACATCCTCCTGCCTCAGCATATTTTAAACAAATTTTGGTAGAGATAGGGTCTTGGGATGTTGCTGAGGCTGGTCTTGAACTCCTGGGCTTAAGCAATCCTGCTGCCTTGGCTCCCAAAGCTCTGTGATTACAAGTGTGAGCCACCACACTTGCTGTTGAGAATAATCTTGGTCAATTTGACCATCTTACTACATTTTGTGAATGTAATCTTCTGCTCCTAGTTGTAAATATTTTAAGCTGAGGAGAGTTAGATTTGAGATTTCAGGAGGGCCAACATGGCTAGGGTTCTCATGGAAAAGTACTGAAAGGAGAGAGCTACAGAGAGATAGAGAGAGAGCTACCAAGAGAGAAAGAGAGAGACAGAGAGAGAGAGAGAGAAGAGGGGAGAGAGAGAGAGAAAGACAGAGAGAGAGAGATCGATCTAGACATCTGACAGAGTTCCCAGAGTTGGCTGACTACTCAAGGTTGGGAAAAGAATCACCCAAAAAGAGCAATCAGAACAATTTCCTGAGCACACACAGGGAAAGATGTTGTTGATATTCTCACCAGACAGATGGGGGTGGGGTAGGGTGCTCAGAAGGGTATTTGTTGCCTCATTAGTAAGGCAAAATTTGCTCTAGATGAAGACTGCTTTGGTTTCTCCTAACAAAGCTTAGAAAAAAATCCTTACAAAGATCAAACTATTTCAAAGTAACATAATTGTTTCTCAGAATAGAGATTAGGATTATTTTTAAATGCAAGAATAGCCAGTTCCCAATAAATTAAAATCCACAACTCCATTTTGCCACTCATTGTGTTGCATCCCCCTTGCTTCTAAAGTATTGCATTCTAACCTTTATTATTTCAGGATTGCAAAATCTCTACTGCTAGACCAAACTGTACAGCATCTCCAACAATTATCTATGTCTTAGAAAAAACAGCCACCAATACATTTCTCACTGTTTCTGGCACTTCTTTCACAAACACATTCCTCATTGCTTCAGTAAACACAGAGTTGTCTCATAAGCCCATCTCTGAAAAACAGTAGAGTAGTGGTTTTTGTTTGTTTGTTTGTTTTAAATTTTGCCTTATCTTACAATGTTGGCCCTAGCACTTTAACTTTTTTGACCATCTTGCTGTTTCCTTTCCTTTTGTATTGAGATGGAGTCTTGCTCTGTCGCCCAGGTTGGAGTGCAGTGGCGTGGTCTCAGCTCACTGCAACCTCTGCCTACCAGGTTCAAGCAATTCTCCTGCCTCAGACTCCCGAATAGCTAGGACTATAGGAGCATGCCACAACGCCTGGCTAACTTTTGTATTTTTAGTAAAGTCAGGTTCATATTGGTCAGGCTGGTCTGGAACCCCTGACCTCAGGTGATCCACCTGCCTCGGCCTCCCACAGTGGCGTGAGCCACTACGTTCAGCCGTGCCTTTCTACTGTCTCAGCTTTTCTGACATTTCTGGTTTTCTTAGTGTAGATAATTTCTTTTTCCGGGCTTCCAAAAGCCATGCTAGCAGTGTGTTAGCACCCATCTTCCAGGGTTCTTGCCAAATTATTAATTCCTGTGTCACTGGACAGTGCCCCCTTATTGATAAAAGCTCCCTTACCCAAGTTTATGTGCTATACTCCTGATCTAGTGCCCTAGGGATCTTGTCCTGCACACGCTCCTCTGGTTCTTGCTGAATCTTGGTCCCTGGGCCCTGCAGCTCCTCCTGTGTTTCTCTTCTCTTAGCAAGCCCAGTGCATCCTTGGCTGGGTTATGCTGTAATTTGACCCTATTTATTAGTCTTGTGGCCAGAAATGGAGGTGGGGTAGAATCTGAGAAGGGCATGTGTTCTTTTTCAAGGCCTTGCAGCATCTTCAAGTAAGGGCAGAATACCAAGCTTTATGGGAGGAGAGTGAACCACTTGTGCAGAGCTACAGCGTTGAGTAGGATCTGAGGGTTCAAGACTCTTGAGTATCTCAACCCACATGTCCCCATTCTGAGTCTTGGGGTCTCACTTTGGTGGCATAACAGCTGGGGTAGAGAATTCAACTTCTTTTCTCTGGACCTCTGGTTTTCTTATACATTTAGAGTGGAGTCTGATCTTAAGCTACTTCTGCTATCTGGCTGTAGTAGATGAGAATCTCTTTATATGCCTCCAAGGAGGCCCTTGGTCTTTTATACTTTGCCTTAAATTTGAGATTAATACCCCTCAGTGCCATTAAATTCCTGCAATGCATCAGTGGTAGCCAGCAACAGCTATCTGATTCTATAGTTCTTATAACTACTTTTTCCCCTAAGCCTTTCAAATATCTAAGATACTGAACCTCCTAGTGTTTTCTGACACACTGAAGTCTTCTCTCAATTTACCACAGGTAAAAGTTTTATTAATTTCACCACTATCGCATGCCAGGAATGATCAGTCTTACAGTTATCACCAGCAAAGGGATGCTTATTATCAGCTCTCCAAAATTCCATTCTATAATTTGCTGCCTGGGACCATATGTAGTACCAGCTATCTGAAGTTGGATTCCCCGGGAAATTACCTGAGTTGGAGATGGGAGGATATTGGGCAACACTTTTGGATGCAACAGTTAGAATGGAGGCAGGGAAGCAGAATTGGGCTGAGGGAGGAGTTGACCTCTATTACAGTTGCAGCAAACTTCAGTGGAATCCTTAGGATACTTTGCAACTAGGATGGTCTTTCAGCATTGTTCAAAATTGAGGCAAGAGGGCCCAGCCTCTGTATCTCTAAAGTGATCAGCAGATGGAGGCTGTTTCTTGGAAATAAGTTGCCAGTCAGATTTCTGCAGGTAATTCATTGAGAGGGACTCAGCTGTGAGCCATTCAGAACACCAGCTGTGAGAATAAAGACTTCGGTCTTATCTGATCAGGGCAATACAGGAACCCCTATAAAATGATACATACTAATGCAGTTTATGGTCAATTGTACCCCCTATTAGTTTCATTTCCCATAAAGAACAAATCAAATGTGGAATTACTGAGTAATATGCCTTGAAAGAAACTTAACATCACATCAAGTTCAATACTCTTGGTTTTTAGGTAAAAACCCAGAGGTGCCATTAAGTTCTTTGCTCAGGGGCACAGTGTATGCTGATGTTGGGTCTGGAAGTCAGGTTTTCTGCCTGCAGCCTGGTGCTCTTTCACTTTTAGATTCTTTTTTTTATTATTATTATACTTTAAGTTTTAGGGTACATGTGCACATTGTGCAGGTTAGTTACATATGTATACATGTGCCATGCTGGTGGGCTGCACCCACTAACTCGTCATCTAGCATTAGGTATATCTCCCGATGCTATCCCTCCCCCCTCCCCCGCCCACAACAGTCCCCAGAGTGTGATATTCCCCTTCCTGTGTCCATGTGATCTCATTGTTCAATTCCCACCTATGAGTGAGAATATGCGGTGTTTGGTTTTTTGTTCTTGCGATAGTTTACTGAGAATGATGATTTCCAATTTCATCCATGTCCCTACAAAGGACATGAACTCATCATTTTTTATGGCTGCATAGTATTCCATGGTGTATATGTGCCACATTTTCTTAATCCAGTCTCTCATTGTTGGACACAACAGGTGCTGGAGAGGATGTGGAGAAATAGGAACACTTTTACGCTGTTGGTGGGACTGTAAACTA
Organism: Homo sapiens; assembly: GCF_000001405.40. Lineage (NCBI taxonomy): Eukaryota > Metazoa > Chordata > Mammalia > Primates > Hominidae > Homo > Homo sapiens. Next base: position 119,998,179 of record NC_000005.10, read on the forward strand.
GTTCAACCATTGTGGAAGTCAGTGTGGCGATTCCTCAGGGATCTAGAACTGGAAATACCATTTGACCCAGCCATCCCATTACTGGGTATATACCCAAAGGACTATAAATCATGCTGCTATAAAGACACTTTTGGATTCTTTTAAGTGCTAGAGAACTATAATATAAACTGCTTTACACGTTTGAAACTATTAAAATGTAGTCCCCACTGTAACATGCTATGGTGTCAACCTCTTCTCTATAGTTTACCCCCAAGGACTATTTATTCTTTCTCCCTCATTTTCTAGAGTCATTTTACTTTTTGTAGGACCAAGATATTAAATATTAAATAGATTGAGGTTTTAAGCTCCAGCAGGAGATTGATGTTTATATATATTGTACTTTTTTGCTGAAAATTTTTGGCGCAAAGTTGCTTTTTTATTGCCTGAATTTAAAAACAAAAAGTAACTAGATAAAAGTGAAGGATCAACAGCAAATTGCACAGGTTCTCTTCCTTTGACGGTGATTCTTTCTGGGACTGTCACAAGGTTGGACATTAGGCAAATTCCAGTTAAAGCATGCTCCTCCCAGAGAGTACACTTGTTTCACCTAAGAGGCTGTTTTAAATCTACCTGCTATCAACAGAGGGGATTTTTTTCATGAGCTGGGAAAGGCTTCAGATCCTTGACCTCACTGCCTGTTATTTCTCTTATTAGTTTAGTCTTTCCTGAAAGAAAGAACTCCCTCTGAAATGCAATTTCTGGTTTTTGGCTGAAATGGTTCCAATTTAACAGTTTTCAATTTGACAGTTCAGTTCAGTAATCCTTTACTAAGCATTTATAATGTATGAGGTATTGGACTACATCTAGCCAAAGATTTAAAGAAATAATTACACTATCAAGTAATGTGTGTTACAAAGGTGTGCACAGGAGCTGTAGGTTCACAGAGGAAGTTCAGGAATAACTTTTCTGTAACTGAGGCATTAGACAAAAAGCCGTACTATTGCCCTCAGAAGGCTGCAGTTAACACATGCATGGAGTGGTCATCTAGTTCCCCTAATTAGCATACTAAGCAGGAATGATTTACAAGGCTAGCTAGCAAATACTTTGGACCATGAAGTAGAGGAATAGAGAAGGTGAATTTCTGTGCAATGCTGTGGGAATCAGGGAGCAGAGGGTTGAGTAAAGCAGGTACATGGCAGAGATAAGCTTTTGTTGGTGAGGAGAAACAAATTGAATAAATAAATACGACCATCTGCTTTAGATGGCAATCCATCTGAGCTGCGGGAATAGTCTAAAAGTGAGGAGAGAGTCCTGGAATGAAGGATAAACTTGCCCATGTTGCTTTTTTTTTATCTGAGGCAAGCCCTGCTTAGTTTAATTTGACAATTTCCTGGCACGTATGTTATGTAACATTACCTAAATCACCTTTGGAGTTTGGAGAAAATGTTAATGTCTTGTTAAAATTATAATTATTGTGTGTTTAGCATGCCTTTCTATAGAGACTGCTTTTAATTAGGATGGTGTTCCAGTTTGTCAAACAGACATTTAAAATATCCTGCTATTACAATATTTACATTTCTGTTTGAAATGGTATCAAATGTCAACTTCATTTCCCAGGAAATCAGAAAATTTAAAATTTTTATTTTAAAATGGAATAGTATTTTAGAACACGTTATCCATCGTAAACTGTAGATGGAGTTCTGTTTGCTTTTGTCAGAGTAGGTAATTTCCTTTCTTTGGGGGAATGTAGGGGTGAGGAAAAGGGAGAAAGAGAGAGAGGCAGGAGATAGCTCTGTGTCTCTCACAATGTAATTTCCTTTCTTTGGGGGAATGTGGGGGTGAGAAAAAGGGAGAAGGAGATAGAGGAAGGAAATAGCTCTGAGTCTCTCACCATGTATCTGCTCCTTGCTTTCCACACTCAGCTTCATTATTTTTTACCTTTTCCTCATTTTTTTTAAATTTTGAAAAATTCTAAAGAGCACCTGAATACCTTCTCCTAGACTTTCAAATTCTTGACATTTTGAATGTTTGCTTTATGCACATGCACAGCTTCTGTGCTCTCTCTCTTTCTTGCTCTCTCTCTGTCTTAGTTTTCTTTGAGTATCATTATGGACTCACAGATTTTAAAAAATATTCAGTGTGTTATCCATTACTATCATAGCAAGTTTTTATGCTTCAAAGAATTACAAACAATATGCATGTATACACTTACATAAACACACAGGTACATTTTTCTAGATCATTTGGATATTGAACATATCATGATACTTCACTTACTTCAGGCAACTCCTAAATATCAGGGCATTCTCTTATCTAACTGCGATATAACTGTAATATCATGATTACAAGTATAAAAATTAGTGTGAATTAAATATTTAATACCTAGTCCATATTTAAATTAACCCAATTGCTCCCCCAAATGCTTTTTATTTGTGTGTGTGTGGGGAGGTCGGGGAGACACAAAGGCCCAGGATTAAATTGAAGTTCACAGATGGCATTTGTCTATATTGTCTTTTTAGTTTTATCTTTCATCAATCCCCTTGACTTTTTTTCTCCCATCAGACATTTTTTAAGAACCTAGGGGAGTTTCCTTACAGAAAGTTTCATAGTTTGGATTTGTCTGGTTGTTACCTCATGAATAGGTTTAGATTAAACATTTTTCAAGGGCCAGGCGTGGTGGCTCACACCTATAATCCCAGCACTTTGGGAGGCCAACGTGGGCGGATCACGAGGTCAGGAGATTGAGACCATCCTGGCTAACATGGTGAAACCCTGTCTCTACTAAAAAAAAAACAAAACAAGCAAAAAAAAAAAAATTTAGCCAGACGTGGTGGCACGCATCTGTAGTCCCAGCTACTTGGGAGGCTGAGTCAGGAGAATCGCTTGAACCCAGGAAGTGGAGGTTGCAGTAAGCCAAGATCGTGCCACTGGACTCCAGCCTGAGTGACAGATTGAGGCTCCATCTCAAAAAAAAAAAAAAAAAAACAAATCATTTTTGGCAAATATGCTTCATAGCAGTATAAATGCTATACATATATATACCTATATATAATCTCAAAATATATATAGGTATATATAGCATTATATATATTTTGCTACTTCATACCAGAAGCACCTAATCTCAGGCTGTACTAAATGATAAATAATACTAAATCTATTGCTTAGTTAAGGTGGTGACCAACATATTTGCTAATTTGAAACTAAATTATCTCTGAGCTGATACTCTATCACTGTATGAATTTCCTGCTCCTCCAAACCATTTTACTTAATAATTTTAGCATTCATTAGTCATTCTTCCATGGATCTATTATTAGACTGGGATTTTCAAAATGCTTTCTGTCATTCCTACAGTTGTTTATAGAAGAATTTCAGTTAATAATAGCTTTTCTCCTTTCTTTGTCCTTCTGTTTCTTTCAGTATAATCAAAGACTCAGATTTTTAAAAAAGTAAATGTTTTATCCATTACTGTCATAGTTATTTTTGGTGCTTCAAAAAGTTACAAATTTGGCCATTAGGGTCCTTGTTAAACTGACTCTTATGTCATTTTGTTGTTATCCCACTTGTCTTTGAAAATATTCTTGAGTCTGGTACAAGATGTTTTAGAATATTCTTACACTTTTTCTGCTTAGACCTGGAGTCAGGCATTTCTTTAGGAATTCCTCATTTCTGTTGGGGAATATATATAGAACACGAAGTCTGGGTACTAGGTCTGCTTATTGCTATAAAGCTATTATTATTTCTAGGCCTTTCCAGTGTATAGAGCAAAAAAAAAAAACATATCTATGCTTTCAAGTCAAATCCAACTCCACCAGGTTAGAAAAGATTTATTATGATGCTAATGGGATCTGTTCAAGGTTTTATACCTAATTTTATATTTCTAATGTTCCTTTAAGAGAGCCTCCAAAATTGCATAGGCTTCAAATCCCATAAAAATGTATTTATCCAGTACTCCTGCGTTCCAGCATAGGATCTTCCTCATATTCTACAATTTCATGTTAGTAATCTGCCTTTTTTTTAAAGAGAAAACTCTGATTCCCAAAAAGAACAATATGGTAACTCACTTGCTTTATCCTATATACAGAATAGTTTCAGAACTATAATACTAATAGCAATACCTACAACAAAACAGCTGAGTAAACTTTAAGATTTTATTGCCATTCTACCCTTCAAATGTTTTCCCCAAAGAGTATGTTTAATTACTTGAATTAAATTTTACTTTGTGTGGTTGTGTTATCAATTTGATAACATATTAGATTCATTTGTATGTGTTTATATTTAATTTTATAGTGTTTTTTATTCTCTTAACTTAATTATTCTGATTATGTAAAGTATTGACATGACCCCAAACTCAAAATGTTAAAAATGGGAATATCTCACACATCTCCTTATTCCCTCCAATCTGTTCCCACCCATCTTTAGGCCACTGCTCAATGTCACATTATCCCTGACTACTCCTAAGGGGAAGAGCAACCGTATTGCCTTGTTTCTCTTTGTCATACTCAAATAACTTGCTTTCTTTTCCTTAATACTACTTCTCACTCCATGTTGTAATTATGTATATTTTATTATCTGTCTTCTTCACCTAGAATAGGAATTCCATGACAGTACTTTGTTTCATTCACTGCTCTATCCCAAGCACTTAGAATAGTTCCTTGCCTGCTAGGCACTCAAAACATGTTTGTTGTGTGAATTGCATGGATAACATTTTTATTTATACAGATGGGAACCACCCTATACAGACTGTTGCAAAGCTTACCTTTTTTACACAATACCTCCTGGTGATCATTCCATGTATGTTGCTCCTTAATTTTTAAATGGCTGTATAATATTCCATGGTAGGGCCATACATTATTTAACCTGTCCTCTATTGAATGGTATCTAGGTTATTTTCAGTCTTTTGCTACTACAGACAATGCTATAATCAATGTCCTTTTACATATAGTTATGTTCATTTTTATATTTAATATATTTCAAATATTAATATTCAACAAAAATTGGTGTTTAATGAAGAAGAAAAAATTAGATCTATTTTAAAGAATAAACATGATTTCAAAGGCATTGCCTATGTATGAGAACTTTTTTTAGATTAAGCCATTTAGTTATAAAAGTACATATGGGTTTCATGCATTTTAAATCATAGTGCATATGGGTGCAAATGCTTGTGAAGAATAGAATTAAATGATTTCTATGGTCCTATATTAGTCAAATAATTTTATAGTACTCTATGTTCTTTTGGCTGTTAGAGAATACACTCGGCTTGTTTCAATATTCTTTTCACTTGTCTTTTAAACTATTAATGTAGAAAATGATAGAAGTTGTTTGAAATGGAGCATTTATATCTACATTTAGTATTATGTATTTTTAATTTACCCAGATGTGTATGGCAACATTAAAATATTATTATAAATTTTACTTTTGGAAACAGTGGAATAGAAAATATTCAATTGTCAATTCTCTATTGAAGGCAACATTCTTCACTCAATTAATTTAATTTAGATATGAAAATACCTTTCTGTGAATAATTAAAAAGGACTAAATTATGGTATTAATGGAGTTAAAAGTTTTTGGATTCTGAATATTTTGAAAGACATCTGTGGAAACTTTTGCTCCTGGAATATTTGTATAGTATTGTTGGAAATTTTGCTAAATGATTCCTAAGATTTCACCAAGTCCTATACATTTAGGATTGTCATTTTAGATTTATTTTACAGGTTACCATAATTTGGAGGCTATATTGTTTTTTAAAAACGGCCTTTTTGTGGTATAATTTATGTCATAAAAGCCATCAATTTAAATATACTTTGGAGGTTATGTAGTTTTAAAACCTTATCTTACAGTTTTCAGGTAAAAAAGTATTTGATTACACTATTATACTAATTTCTGGTTTCATTGTTACATACTTGTAAAATATTGTATCAATATATAACTATAGCCAATATGTATTTTCATAAACTACTAATGGACATAACTTTATCAAGAAAAAGAATGCCTATTTTGTAATGCATCTGTTTCCTCTTGTGAAATCTGAATTCTAGTCAGCAATATGGCAATGTCTCCAGAATTAATGTTTTCAGCAGTTTTCCCTCCCTCCCCCTAGAATTTGAGATGATGTTTATTTTTAACACTTATTTTTTCTTGTTTAGTTTAATGAAATTTCCTTTGTTTTTAATATTATTCTACCTCAAACAATTTATAATTGCATATTCCTTTTCTCTTTAATTCATAACAGTTGACACTTCATGTTTGCAATACAAAAAGATTGAATAAATAAATACATTTTTAACGTTTGTTACTATGGAATTTTGTAAATGTACCTACACATGTTGTATTGCTTTAAAACATATTCTCTTTCTGTTGTAAAATTTAGACTGCTTTCTTATATTCTAACTGGAATTTAACCAAATCTACAGCTGCTGTGTTTGTTTCAGAAAACACTTTATATATTGGGAAAGAAACTCTATTCTGTGAGTTTCAATTGACTGTAAATTTTGTCTTTAAGCTTTTTTAAAAACACCATTTTTAAGTATTTGAATACTCAGGATGATTCGTGTCTCCTTTGTATATATTGACTACTCAGAAATTATTTTTTTCTTTCATCTCCAAAGAAGAATTCACCAAGTTAATGAGGTGATGAAAGATCACTGTAGACATTAGATATAACACAGACAATGGCATGAAAATTGGTTGCAGTGTTCAGGAAACCACAGCTACTGTATTTGGGGAGGCTCAAGTGCAGGGGTGTGTGTGGTGGGGTGTAAATAGGCAGAAGAAGAGAATTTTTTGATAATAGATGGGACACTGTTGATAATTTTAATCAGGGAAGACATAATAATGGGTAAGTGATTTGGAAGAGAATGAGGTCAAAGTAAGGATCTCAACAGAACAACTGTTGGTTTTATTTTAAGTAAATATTAATAAGAAATGAAAGGACTGGCCTAAGATAGTGATCATTGATACTGATTGGTACAAGAAACATTGGTTCAAGGGATAATGGGTATAAGAGATAGCAATGAGAAAGTGACAGATAAATGTCTCTAAACTTCCCCAGAAGCATTCTGAAAAATATAAATAACTTAGGACAACATCCAGCAATATAATAAACTAAGAGATATGCATAGGAAACTTTCCTGCTACAAACACGTGAAAACAGTGGATATAATACAGCAATTGAAAATATGTAACTGAGCTTCAAGAAAAGAAGGAAGACATTAAAAAGACATTATGGGAGACCATTGTTTTAGACAGATCTCCTGTACTAGGCCCCAACAGACCAGACCTAACCAAAATGAAGTCACTCATGCTAAATATCACATATCAAACTGAAACTTTAAGGAAGCAGATGGATCCCCAAACAGACCTGTTTTCCTGAAAACAGGAGGTTGCAGTCTACTTGAATCAGCAAAATAAGGATGTATATGCTTTAATTGTTACAAAAAAGTAAGCTGAAGTAACTTGAGGTTAACCAAATGGCTTTTTTCCTATTCTGTTTCCTTGTTCCCACCTTGCAAAACCCACTACTTTGCTATTGCCTAGAAAAAAGTTCTCATTCTATTTTATAGAATGGAGGCTTCTCTGATTTCTCAATCACAAATAAAAGCCAGTTAGATCTATAACCAACTTTGTTGTAATTTTGTCTTCTGACACCTGTGAGTGGTTGCTGTGTTACTCAAAGAAAGGTGGGCCCTTAAACTTTTTGTTCAACTTCACAATATATATTCATATTCTTTAATGCTAGTATGAAGCCATTGTCCCTAGGCAATATTCAACTTATGTCAAGGGGACATCACTTATGTCAAGGGGACATGTGTCAAGGAGAACTGAAGGCCTGATGATCAACGTGGCTTGGTCAAATTGGGGAGAGTTGAAAAATTCTCATGAAAGAAATGCTACAGAGATGGACTAAGACTGAAGTGCATAACAAAGGGTACAGACAGCTGGTTGCCTGTGTTTCACTGCAGAACTTACCTTGGTTTTCAGAGAATTCATAAATTGGTGAAATTGTGTGTGTGTGTGTGTATGTGAATATCCTCTTTGGTGCTCTGCAGGCTACTGTTTACCTAAGCAAAAGAAACAAACTTTACTGTTTACAAATCATCTAGTTTGTCTGTTCACAAACTGTCTTTTTTACTTCTCTCCATTTTTGTCTTTGATGAATGGATTTATTCTATTTAGTGGTTTTACTTCTAAATAGCCTGCTAATAATTAATAATAGGTCTTAAAATTATTCTTTGACATTTTCTAAATTTGTTTTAAATTCATGATACTCTATTATGTCTGAAAGCCAGTTGTGCTAGGGAAAATAGGCTTGAAAGAAAAACCAAAGATGCTGCAATAACAATAATCACCTTCCTTCCTTTAAGGACCTTTTTTGAGAATTAATGACTAGCTGGGTTAATGACCTTAAAATTTTAGGACCATCAGTTTTCCCATTTATGCATTAATCCTTCCAAAATGCCGAAGACTAAAATAATTAGTGTTCAAATAAAAGCAGAAATAGTGGGATCCAATAGGATGTTGGCAAGATGTCAGAGATAGTGTTTAGAGTGAAAATTATGAGAAAATGCTGAATGTATGTGATAAATTGGTTGGCATATAAAAAGAACTGAAAGCAAGTAATTACTGGAGTAAAAAGAGGAGGGGAACAGAAAATAGCAGAGATTATCCAAAGAAATAATGAATGGGTGGTTCAGTGTCATTCAGAGTGGGTAAAAAAAATGCTCACTTAAAATAATATTGGGAAATAGCATAAATTTATTCCTGGTGGAAATTTCAGCAAAGTTTCAATACTGCAAAGCTTTTTAACACCATTTGGAATTCAATGCAGGGCTTCGAAATACAATGTTACCCCTGATTAAATGGACCTATAAATTAGAGAGCAATAAAGGATAAAATTCTGGAGAATTCTGTAACTGTGAATCTTGACTGCTATTAGAGCCTCATTTGCAATTGCATGATGGTAAATTAACATGAACAGTTTTTGTATGTATGATAGACCCAAAGGAAAGTTGATACATATACTGTTGAAAATTCAGACAATTTAGAGGAAATACAGAATAAACTATCCTCTCATTCCCTCAAATCCAATCCATTACAACACATCAAACTGAAAGAAACATGCATGCAACTTCTTCTCAGGAAAACATACTGCATAATGTAGAGTAAAACTGCATTAGCCAGGAGTCAACAATTTGTGAAATTTGAAAAAAAGTCTTTAGTTGATTTACTTATGCTGGACTTGTCATTAGGAATATGAAAATAATCTAGTAATCTGTAGAAATTGTCATATTTTGAAGAAGACTATTGGAAAACTGCCTAGACCTCTATTTGATTTGGTGTATAAGAAAATTGGGCATACAGTATAAAGGGAGCCTGGAGTGCAATTACGTGTATAGATTGAATATTGTCACAGAATTGTACTGAATCACTCCTTAGCACTCAAGCAAATGATTACCAGCAGACAACGATGCATTTGAAATTCACTCCATGTTATTCTGGAACACAGTTCTGAGGGAGGCCATAAATCTTGTGTGTATGTCTAATATAAGAATGGGTCTTTCATTTTTATTTTTTGGCATCACCTTAGTCATTCTTAAGTTACCAAATCATAAAATCAGAGTTGGAAGGACATCTACGGAAGTCAACTAAATCACTTCTCTGCATCAAGTTACCTACGTTTTGTGTAAACATTTCCAGGAACAAAACATTTTATGACTCCCCTAAGGAGATTGTTAAATCATTCCAATGTTTATAAGCCCTAACAGCCAGGAGTTCTGTTTCCATATAGGCATCGTATTTGCCCTCATTGTTCTCTTCCTTGCTTTCTTCTCTCCCACTCCATCCAGATTCTTATTTTTTGCATCTATATTTCTTTATTCAAGTAAATATGTTTTCTTTCTTTCTCCACCCCTATTGAATGTTTTTTCCTAATGTCTCAGTCTTGCATTTGTTTTTCTTGTGTTTCTTCTCAGTGTTCCCAGATCTTTGATATTTAGTCCTGAATCCTCAATAAGTTTATTTTATTTTGGATTGAAAGCAAAGAAACCAAAATGTTATAAATCAAGTGGAGAGAAAAATGAGGTATTGGGAAGTGTGACTATCTAAAGGGCTGTTTTCACCAACTGCAAGATTTTAAGACATTCTAGGAGGCTTAGGAGAACCTCAGTGGGGATGGCTGCCTCTTTTAGGTTTACTAACCTAGGCAAAATTGTTGGAGATACTTGCTGGCCAACATCTTATTAGCATATATAAAGCTCTCTGTTGGAATTTTTACAGAATCAGTTAGAGTTTAGAATACTTTTTTTAAAACATGGTTGAGGGATTCGTTTAATGAATTGAATTTTAGGGTGTTTTTGTTCTTGTAGGGATTGCCTGTAAAATAATAGCAGGTGGCATGTTAAGTCCATGGGAGACTTTGCACTTAAAGAGACATTCATTTAGGTAGATGTTTTCTATATAGAAGGTTACCACATCAGTTTGGAGGTTGTAGCACACCTCAAATCCTAATTTTATAAGTTCCATAGAATTTTCTGAAGAATAATCTTTATTCAAAAAATCTAGAATCACTGTTTAAGTCAATTTAGAAACAAATCCAGTGATTCTTCTTTTGTGCCCTAAATTCTTGATTTTATTTATGTTGATGATACTTCAGAGTCCTGCTGAGATTTCACCATCAAGGCAGTCCCTTGATTTGCTTAGCATAAGTGGATATTTTGGTGCTAAGTGAGGAACACAATTATTCTCAAAGTCTCAGCTCCTGATAGCTATAGGATTATATTCTAAAAAGGGATTATACGTATTCATCAATTTTGTGGATAAAAATAAAAGCAGTATTTTTAATTTAGCATAGTTTTTGTTAATATAACTTACATAGACTATTTGTGCTTATGGAATTATTCATTGCAGGATGCATTCAGGAAAATATCAGTGTCTGTCAGACAAGAATTTTATGATAGAACCACTGCAGAAAGACAGATTACTGTTTTAGATGACCCAAGAGTGAGAGGATTGAAAGTTTGAAATCAGAATTCAATCACACTGGACAAAGGTTTTAGGAAGTATGCAAATAAGAGGCTAATTAAAAAATTCTTTATAGCTAAAGAAATAAATGTACTATTTAATTGGAGTGTGATGAGGTTAGCTATGATGGATATCAGAATAAAAGCCACCCCCTTTTTTTCTAAAAGTGTGCAATGGGTGTGTGTATATGTGCATGCTCTATCCTACAAAATGAGGAGTTATGATGAATATGAAATAAGATAATGAGTGCTATAGTTACACACATGCTTAAAAGAACAATCTTTTTTATGCTGTCAACCCATAAAGTCTAAGTTGAAAATGAAAGCTGTAACCTATTGTTCCCGCCTTGGTCCTTACAAGTCTACCTTCTACATTAGGAGTTGGAATTTTTTTTCTGTAAAGATCCAGACAGTAAATATTTTAGGCCTTGTGGGCCATGTGGTCTCCATTGTAACTACTCCTCTGCTGTTACAGTACAAAAACAGCTACAGACAACACAGAAATGACTGCTACAATGTTCCAACAAGATTTTATTTTCGAAAACAAGTGGCAGGTGGGATTTTGCCCAGGGACAGTAGTTTTCTGACCCCTGTCCTAGGTTTTTGATTTCTGTTCTTTAGATAGCTCTGTCTTTTTTACAGACACCTAGATTATTTCAAATTCTGCTTTAAGGATATTTTTAGAGGAAATTTTCAGTCCTTTTCAATCTATGTCCAGCCCAGAAGAGCCTTATTGCAGTAAGTTTTCCTTCAATGCCAGATAGTATCTCACTGGGAGAATGAGGTACTACTTTTTTTCCTTAAGTGCTAGAATTACTCCCAGAGAAGGCATGCCAAGAGTGGCAGAAAGAGGAGTGGCAAAAGATTCAGGAAACTTGAGAACCACAGGCCTTGGTTTCCTCCATGGTAAAGGAAGATATTGGGACTAGACGTTCTCCAAATTCTCTAACAGCTCTAGGATTTTATAATGTTAAATTAAGATTTGCTGCAAAGCTGATTCTGTACGCAGTCTTGGATCACTGTGTTTCACTTTTGAGCCACTTTCCTCAGACTGAACAAACAGTAGACATTGGTAACTTTTGAAGTGGAACACATTTCTTGTTTCTACCTCAGGAATTGATAAGAATGATCACATTTGTTGGCAGGTTTTAACACAATTTTTGAGTTCATCATATATGTTTTACTTACCTGCATGAGACTGACATCTCCCTTGAGGATACCTGTAGGTGGACTCAGAAGTGTTTTTCTTTTATTTATTTATTTTATTATTATTATTATTATTACTATTATTATTTTTTTTTTGAGACCGCATCTTGCTCTGTCACCTAGGCTGGAGTGCAGTGGCACCATCTCGGCTTACTGCAACCTCTGCCTCCTGGGTTCCAGTGATTCTCCTGCCTCAGCCTCCCAGGTAGCTGGAATTACAGGTGCTGGCCACCATGCCCAGCTAATATTTGTATTTTTCAGTAGAGACGGGGATTTGCCATGTTGGCCAGGCTGGTCTTGAATTCCTGACCTCAGGTGATCTGCCCGTCTTGGCCTCCCAAAGTGCTGGGATTACAGGCATGAGCCACCATGCCCAGTCTGCATTTTTCTTTTTAAAATGTGTAGCTATAATGCATATTTTTAAAAAGTTGGCTTACACTTTATAATGCGATATATTTTATCATTTCTAAGGAGCACATTTATTTTTACATTTTAACATGTGAAAAATCAGAGTGTGTCATACAATTGCTGTGATTTAGGTAGATATTGTGACGTAGTTCTTATTGCCTATACATAGACATAGAAACTGTGTGTGTGTATTTATAAATTTTCTGCAGCTTGTAAGAGAATCCAAGAGACAATAGTGAAGCACAATTCTTACAAATGCCATTTCACTAAGGCTCTTGATAGCTCAGAGAATAATTTTATATAGAGAATTATGGATCTCAGTTACTCCGATTTATCAGTAATTTGGATTCTGAACATGAGAAAATTTTAGAAATACTCAACCAATTTATTTTGTTCTTATTTCTTTTTACATACATGCTTGTGAGTGATGTATGAAAAAATATATGTTTAAATAATTTCAAATGAGCTTTTATAGTAATATAAAGTTAAACTGCAAGTGATACAAAGTATTATGACATAACTTAATTGGCATTATTTTGTCACTCAGTCATACATAAAATAATAGTGTGTTTTTATAATTGTTGGCATGTTAGATTTATAAACACAATGTTATTGAGTATAGTGGGAAATGTTTGACAAGAATTAGCAAAAGAAATACAAATTAAAAAAAGAAATAAGTAAATTACAGCAGAAAACATATTTTATTTTTTACTTCAGCACTGAGAGAGGTAAAAGATGATAAAAATAAATTGAAATCTTTATGTATGTCTGAGTTGCAAAAAATTATAACAACTCTGGAAAAATGAATTTTCCTCTGCTCTCACACCATAGCAATCAACAGAGAAAACTTCTGTGACCATATATATGAGGCTTTTTCTGACCAACAAGAAAGAAATCAATTCTGTAGCAGATACTAGGTGGGTATTCTCTAATTCAATTCAATTCTGAAACTTCTACCTGAAGATAGTGTGTGATCCCCAAAGTTAAGCATTCATCCCCAAGACTGCCCCCTCAGTTCAGATGCCAATTAGAAGGTCCAGGTTGTTTTGCCTGTGCTTCTAACCAGCTGGCTATAAACTCAATTTTCAATGACCGGGTGTGACTAATTTGTTAGAGCAGCTCCCAGAACTCAGGGAAATGCTTTTGTTTACTGGTTTACTATAAAGGATATTACTAAAGATACAAATGAAGAGATGTGTAAAAGTAAGTAAATCAACATTAAAGCTGTTGGAACTTTAAATTATTTTGAGTCTTAAAAGAATGTGATCAGGGGAACTCAGTCACATGACAGGCAGCTATGACCTACACAGCTGTATCTTTTTTTTTTGAGATGGAGTCTCGCTCTGTTGCCCAGGCTGGTGTGCAGAGGTATGATCTCTGCTTACTGCAACCTCTGCCTCCCAGGTTCAAGCCTCCTACCTACCTGCCTCCCTACCTGAGCCTCCTGAGTAGCTGGGATTACAGGCACCCGACACCATGCCTGGTGGCTAATTTTTGTATTTTTTTAGAAGAGATGGGGTTTTGCCATGTTGGCCAGGTTGGTCTTGAACTCCTGACCTCAGGTGATCCACCTGCCTCGGCCTCCCAAAGTGCTGGGATTACAGATGTGAGCCACTGCGGCCAGCAGCAGCTGTAACTTTTGTCCCCCTGAGTATAGATTAGCCTTTTCTTTACCTACATTGTTTTGTAAAATGTGGTAAAAGACTAAAAAACCCCAGACAATATCCTTTTTCTCTTCAGTGTTGATCCTTATTATAGATTAACTTCCCTCTTCCCTTACAAAAAGACCTTATGACTTTCACATTGTTTAAGATGGAATGTTAAATATACTCTTTTAAATTGGAAAAGGAAAACAGCTGTAACTAATCAAATTGCTGTAACTATAAATCACGCTTGTATGAAAAATGTAGTATAGTAATCTGGATAAATTTCTTTGTTTTCTGCCTATATAAGCAAGATCTTAACTTTGCAACTTTGGAGCACTGACCCCATTCCTTTGGAGTATTTGCTACCTGAATGGCTATTCTCAGATTTGCACTTGAATAAATTCTTCTAAGCTGGATTCTGATCCTTTTAATTATTTCAGGTTGACAGATGCATAGGGTGAGGGACAGGAAGTGGCATAGAGCTTCCATGCTCTTCCCAGGGGTGCTACTCTTCAGGAAACTTCATGTGTTTGGCTATCCAGAAGCTCTCCCAACCCTGTCTTCTTTGGGTTTTTATGAAGGATTTATCACAAAGGCATGACTGATCAAACCACTGACCATTGGTGATCAATTTAACCCTCAGTCTCTCGCTTCAACCTAGATTTTGTGGGGTGGGGCTAAAAGTTCCAACCCACTAATTATACCTTGGATTTTTTCAGGGACAAGCCTCTATCCTGAAGCTACCTAGAGGCTGCCGGCCACCATTTACACACATTAACATACATAAAAATATCACTGGAGATTCTAAGAATTTTAGGAATTGTATGTCAGAAAAATGGGGTCAAAGACCAAATATGTATTCTACAATATCACAGAATGCCTCTATCAATGAGAGACAAATAAACTAAGATTGCCAGAATTATGCAATGAAGCCTCCTGAAGAACATGCACCTTGCCTGTGTTTGCATCAATGTCCTGAGTGTACAGACCAATGCCTGGCACAGAGCTGGCTGCCCATTATTTTTTCTTGAATGTGAATGAGGATAAGAGGACCTCTTGAGCAAAATTGGTACACAGGAGATGATAAATCTATGCAGCCCTTCATGATGATATGAAGAGTTGGGGAAAGAGCCCTGGTCACAAATTAAGTCTTCTTTTGGCTCTGAAGGATTAAGAAGGTTTATAAAAAAGTTACTCTTACCCTTGAGCTCTGAATTCACATTTGACAAAGAAACATGAGTCAACAGCACTGATATTCAGAATTGTATGCGTTGGTACTGAAACTGTGGCCTTGATAAAAGAAGTTATCTAACTTGAATTAAATGAGAACCAAATATGAGTTAGCATTGAACTTTTAAAAATAATTCATCAATTCAAATCTGAGCAAAACACTTTCTAATGGTATTCTATGATTAAGCAATCCTTTACACAGTCGCCTTAGAGAAGAATTAAAAAGCTTCGGGATATCAGTTTCGATATCAATTTTGATAGAAGCAGACGCTAACTGACAGCATTCTTATAGAACTTTTTCCATATGGTCTCCAGTATGTTTTGTTCCTGCAATTTTTAGAGTCTGGAGTACTTTGGGAAGCTTAGGTGTCATCACCACCCAAGCAAAACGAAATTCTTACAAAATTCACAAAAGAATATATATATATATATAATATATATAATATAAAGAATATATATAATATAAAGAATATATATATAATATAAAGAAAATATATATATTTTGCTAGAGCAATAAATTTACTTTAAAAAAGATGTTAAGGTGTTGAGATAAAAGTCTTGCTGGGGTATTCAGAAGTTTAGTATGTACATACAGGTCTTAGCTTCCTCCAATATAAAATTATCTAATTCTAAATTTTTATTAAGCTTCTCTTTTGACATTGTACACTCTAGGAATAAATACATAAAAACACAAAAATACGTACTTAGGGTTTAGTTGAGAAGATGATGGTAATATGCATTAAGAAATTAGAATATTGTTCTATATATAAGGATTAACAGTTTGTGGGAGAAATTTTAAGTGAGATAGAAATGCTAAGGCATGAAAGATTAGTGAGGGCAAGCGTTTTCACTGAAGTCTTGGAGGAGGTGAATCTTCATCATAATTTTGGTAGACCAAGATAGAAGGGTTGACTATTTTATCAAGGGGGCTGAGTGAAATATCACAGATGGAGATAGTTTACATTGATGTAAATGGCCTGAACGCAGTGGAGGAGAAGAATCTGGGAGTAGGAACAAATATTTAGGTGAGTAAAATAAAACCGTTGATAGAATAACATTCCACAAATAGCAATGACATGCATACCAGCCTCCCCAGTGCTGGTGAGTCAATGGTGGACAAGATAGATGTGATCCCTTTCCTCATGCAGCTTATATTCTAGTTGGGTTCAGCAAACAAAACAAAACAAAAACCCAGTAAGCAAAGAACCAACGGAAGCAAGTTTGTGGTAAGTCATTGTAACAATATCAACAACAACTAGATGCTGCAGCAGTCAGCATTGGAGGTGAAGGACATTTTAGGTAGGGTGGGGAAAGCACCTCCAAGGAGTTGACTTTGAACCAAGACCTAAAGAAAGAAAAAGAGCCAGATAAGGAAAGCAGTGGGTAGGGACAAGGTATCAAAGAATTTGATGGGTTCTACAAACTAACAGAAGTTGAGAGCCTGGAGTAAAGTAAGAAGGGGACACATGGTTCAAGGTGAACTAAAAAGGCATTCAGGAACTAGATCATGTAGGATATTGAGAAGCAGAGGAGAGAATTTAAAATTTGTTTTAAGTGAAATGAATGGGAATTTTTGGAGACCAAATATGACCACACATAATTTATGTTTTTAAAAGTTTCCTTTGTTTTTATGTGTAGGAAATTAGGAGATAATGTTTTTCATAACCACCACCCCCACCATCATCATCATCAAGCTACCTACCATACCATACATGACAGCACTTACCATGTATCACATAATATTCTATGTACTCAGAAAGTGCTGACCCATTAATCCTTATAACAGTCCCATGAAGTAGGTACCATTATTGTCCTCTCAATTTAGAGAGAAAAATAGAAGGGCACTAGGAGGTTAATTATTTTGTCCAGATTTACACAATTAATAAATGAAAAGTCTAAGCTTTGAACTGAGGCAGTTTGTGCTCCTAATCACTGTGGTGTTCTATAAGCAAAAACCAGGAAATAATATAGGCTTGCTGTAGTCTATGAGAAATACATTAGTTTCTTGAACTTGGCAGTTGAACGGACAGGACTTGGTGATAGATTAGACGTTAAATTTCTAGGCAGGGGTGGCAATAATAAGACAGAAGTCCAGAATGATGCCTAAATTTCACAAGCTGGATTACAGGAAACCCTAAAAGTGAGACAGAGGTTTGTGTTGATGAATAGGAATATGGTGAAACATAATAATTTTGAGAAGTGTAGTGACAGAATACGCTTGTTTAAGAAGGATGCATTTGACATGGGGTATAATGAATCAGAATTTTAAAGGAGTGAAGGATATGCCATCTCAATGCATGATAATTGGTAAATTGATTATTTTGAGTTGAAAACCTTGGAAAAATTGTAGTTACAGAAACAAGTAGATGACCTATCTTTTCTTCCACACAGCAAGCCATAAAGATTCCTCTGGGAGGTGTACCCTCACAGAACCAGGGCAAGAAAATAGCCCTTATCATAAGAGACTGGGAACTGGGGGGCTACAATGGACCTGGATAAATATACTTTCCAAAGTACCCCTTATCTTCCAGGAGTTTTATACCCTTCTGTGTATCTCCTTGTGACTACCCTAGAAATTTACCGCTTCTAGTTAGATACCATTTATCCTGTCATTTCTTCTCAAATTTATCATTCTTTGTCTAAGAAGTATAAAAGCATCTTGCTTTGGCTACTCCAGACTTCACTCTCTTGTGAAGATGCCCATGTACATGTAAAACTAATAAACTTTGTATGTTTTTCTCTTATTAATCTGCCTGGTGTTAATTTGGTTTCTAGATTCAGACAAAGAGCCTAGATAAGAGCTAAAGGAGAGATTGGAGGTGATCTCTCTCTCACTCCCCTACCATTACAAAATCTGAGAGTCAAGACGTTTTGGAAGGAGACTGCTGCAAATAACTCTTCTGTTAGAAGTTGGGGGGCTTGCATCATGTAATTTATATTACATATACAATTTCCACAAATATCCCTTAAACATCAAGCCAACAAAGTAAAATATCCAGGGCCTCCATCTTAAGAGGGGGCCAGGTTTAGGATAATTTTTCTAACAGTCTCTTGAGATTTATTCCTGTTTGCATTTTGAGCAAAATGATTTCAAAACATGACATTAAAAAGCACCAAATAGCAACAAAAATTAAAATGTTTGCTTTCCTTTATTTAACACATATTGAGTGTTAATTTTCTGTGTTCTACAAAGTACAGATAATTATGCTTTGTCACTGCCCTGCAGGAGTTTACTCTCTGCAGCAGATAACATTAACATGCCATTTCAATTTCACACAGGACTAGGTCACATAAAGTCAGAAGCTGAGAAAAGGTGCTTTTTTGAGGGGGACTTTAAATGTTTAAATAAAGCAGAAGCAGAAGAAGCTGGAGGCAGCTTGAGGGGGGTGGGCGTGAAATGAAATGCATATGTTTCCATATCAGATAGCTCATGAAACCTCAGGGTGGGGGCCGGGTAGGACCAGAGAAGGGGAAGACTGTAAATGAGCCAATAATAAACTAAGTAGGAGTGGTCAGACCTGAGTGGGGTGGCACAAGACACATACAATTCAGAATCTTTTTAATGGGACTCTTGGGAAAAAGAGGCTGAACATTTTGGCTATGATCCTAAGAGCTGGGAGCTCTCAGAGAAGAGTGTGACATGGTGAGAGTGCTAAATGGAGAAGAAAGCTATGCTCCCTGAGACTATTGCTGTCAGGTAAAGAGAAATTGTACCTGCCTAGGTGAGAAGTGGTCAAGTTTTAGGCGAAGACAGTGGCAGACAAAGGAAAGGAAAGGAGGGTATGCAGTTATCCAACTACAGCATTTTAGAGCTGGATGATGCCTTAATCGTAATCTTCTGGATGAGAAATTGTGATTATATCATTTACTATTTGAGTGACATTGAGCCAGTTTCCTAATATCACTGACAGCCAGTTTTACTAATTTGTAAAATAGTGTCCTGGGAATGTTGTGAGGCTCCACTGAGATGATGTATGTGTGTTGTAAACCACAATAGATAGTAGATAGGAAAGATATAATTATAGGAGTCATTTTGAAAAAAAAGAAGTGATAGATTTTGGCAATAGATTCCATGTGTGGAGTGAAAGAGATGAGTCAGAGTTTAGTCATTAACACATTCTGTTCTATTTTGGCCATATGTATTTATGAGACTATAAATGAAGATTAGCATTCACTAAGAGGCTTATTGGTAAAACAGTTTTCTATGTTGGCCTTTTGTACTATAACTCTCAAACATTTCATAGCTGGAAAATCAGTCATTTTAATTGTGTTTGATTACTGAGTTCTATCAGTTTATCACAAACTGATATACCTAGGGTTTGAATAAGGTATTTGATTTTGTATGAAGACCTTGGCCTTGCTCTTCAGTGTCATCCTTGGATACTCTTGTCACCTTCAGCAGCTATGGTTTACTAGTGATTGCCTTGCGTAAGGAGTTTATTTATTTATTTATTTATTTAATTTATTTTTGAGACAAAGTCTTCCTCTGTTGCCCAGGCTGGAGTGCAGTGGCTTGATCTTGGCTCATTGCAACCTCCGCCTCCTGGGTTCAAGCAACTCTCCTGCCTCAGCCTTCTGAGTAGCTGGGACTACAGGTGTGCGCCACCATGCCTGGCTAATTTTTGTATTTTTGGTAGAGACGGGGTTTCACCATGCTGGCCAGGCTGGTCTCAAACTCCTGACATCAGGTGATCCTCCTGCTTTGGCCTCCCAAAGTGCTTGGATTACAGTTGTGAGCCACCATGCCTGGCCAGGAATTAATTTATTTTAGCAGAGTATTTTATAGAATCATTATGTAGCTCTTGTTTCAGATCCACCATTACAAAAAGAGTCCAAATACTGCATTACAGTTTGCTCAAAGAAACTGTGAAACCGAATCTCTCCCACAGATAGGAACCAGAAGACAAAATTACCTATTTAGGTACACGCACTGGTGCCAATGTAGCAAAAGGATGTTTTATTTCCAAAAGAATACAAAAAGAAATTCCAGTTTATTGGCTGATACGCCTGTTCACAGTTTACTTTCACTTTTGCTAAATATATATTTAAGTTTCATCAATTCTGAAATCTTCTGTATTCATCCTCACAAACCCCTACTACCTACGTATCATATTCTTACAATCTTATGGCATCATTCCTCTTGAATAGGCAAAAGAGAAATAGAAGAGTCTTGTGACAACTATTGGTACCCAGGTGAATATCCTTTTAAGGACTAACTGGAAAGGACAGATTGTAAGAGGCAGATATACTCAAACAAAGCTGTATGTGCCCACTTCTTAGATTTAGAAGCAAGGTTAACAGGTTCACATGCACCACCCTGCAAATCTCACACAGCATCCTGCCTCTGTGGCATTTTAATGAACCTGAGTATTTGACTCTCCCAGTTGGATATATGTATTTTTTTCTGACTTATTGTAAATTTATGGAGGCAGAAGTATTATTAGGAAAAATAATTTTGTTAAGTAACAGTAGCAGTGGAGCTCCCTGGTGCTCTCTCCAAATCTACAAAGGAAGAGCACACCTAGTTTGGGGACTATTTAACAACACCTCTTAAATATTAAATAAAAGAGCAAATCATTCTGGCTCCTATAGAAACCTCAGATTGATGGAAGACCTTAAAGTTGAGCTCAAAAAAGGGCAAACTTCTTTATCTTAGCTACATCTAAGAAACTGATTTGCCTGCCTGACACAGTACTGTCTATCAGGATCCTGTCACTTAACAAAATTATTTTTCCTGACAACACTTCTGCCTCCATAAATTTAATACATTCATAAAACACTTCTTATACCCTCCCTGCCTGTGATTATTCTACTTAATTTCATCATACAGGTATGCTCGTTTGTTCTGTCAGCAGTCTCTCTATCATCTAAGAGATTTTTTTTAGTTATTCATTCAACAAACATATGCGTGTTCCCTCTGTGAGATTCTCTGTTAGACTCCGTGTTTAAATTATAATTGGCTCATGATGCTAGATAGTAAAATAGGAACCATCTGCCATAGAAGCAGAGAAAAAAATCGAACTGTACAGTTGTGAATTTGTAATTTGGAAAAGATGGGATCCATTCATGAAATGGAAAGGGGTCCAATACAAGTACATTGTAGTTATCAAGTGACCAGGGATGAGTTTTCTGATTTCCGTGCCAGACCATGTGGGTCTTCTGTGCCATGTAAAGCAAATTCTCATCTTCCATCGGCCTCTCTGAGTTCGCCTGCAGGTGCAGAATGAGATAGTTTCTGTAACATTGACATCTTTCCACCTTAGAAATATCTGCTTCTCTCTTCTCTGCCTGAAATCTTTCTCTAGTACCTTGGGAAATGATTATGTTTCAAGTAACACAAATTGGAAGTGGTGTTAATATGACTAAGAGCACTCTCAACAAATGGAGTTGGGAGTCAATGCTCCAGCCACAATGCAATTGTAAGGTGTGTTTCAGACACAAGGGCCTATAGTGTATTTAGCTGCAGTTGCCTGTCGTATTAAGCTACTTACTAAGGCAGGATTTATAGACTTTTCTACCTTCCCTGTCAAACCTTTTTCATGCCATCATTTGTACTTCCGGGATCACCCTCAAAGAACCAACCTGCACCCAGATCATTGTTTCAAACTATGACATTATGATAGAGTATGGGCCTAATCCTTAGGCTATTAGGAGGCAGTTATGAATTTTAAAGCAGAGAAAGATATGAACTGATTTCCATTTAGAAACAGAAAGTTCATGGTCTGAAGTGTGGAGAATCTATTGCAGCTAGACAGGACTGGAGGCAAGAACAGTACAAAGTTGAGTAAATCTGGGCAAGAAATGAATAACTGCGAGAAGAAGACAAAGAAGATAATTCTTTTTTTCTCCCAGCTTCATTAAGGTATACTTGCCAAATAAAAATTGTATATATTTAAGGTATACTATGTCATATTTTGATATCCTTACACATTGTGAAATGATTACCACAATCAAGCCAAAGGACATATATGTTACCTCAAATAGTTATTTTTTTGTGGTAAGAACACTGAAGATCTACTCTTAGCAAATTTCAAATATAGGATTCAGTATTATTAACTGTAGTCATGCTGTACATTAGATCTCTAGAACATATTGATCCTGCATAACTGACTCTTTGTATCCTTTCACCAACATCTTCACATTTCCCCCACCTGGCAGCTTCGGCCAACTAACATTTTCCTCTTTGCTTTTATGAGTTCAAGTTTTTTAGATTCTACATATAAGTGAGGTCATGCAGTATTTGTCTTTCTGTGTCTGGCTTATTTCAATTACCATAATGTCCTTCAGGTTCATCCATATTGCCAAAAATGGCAGGCTTTTGTCCTTTTTTGAGGCTGAATAATATTCCATTTCTTTGTGAATGTGTATACATCACATTTTCTTTATCCATTCATCCATTGACACGTTGTTTCCATATCTTGGCTATTGTGAATAATGCTACAATGAACATGGGAATGCAGATATCTCTTTGACATATGGATTTCATTTCCACTGGATATATACCCACAACAGGGATTGCAGGATCATACAGTAGTTCTGTTTTTGTTTTTTTGAAGAATCTCCATACCATGTGCAATAATGGCTGTACCAATTTACATTCTCACCATCAGTGTGCAAGGGTTCTCTTTTCTCCACATTCTCACCAACACGTGTTACTCTTGTCTTTTTGATAATAGCCATCCTAATAGGTGCAAAATAATATCTCATTGTGATTTTCATTTGCATATCCCGGATGACTAGTGATATTCAACATCTTTTTTTTTTTTTTTTTTTTTTTTTTTTTTTTTTTTTTTTTTGAGGCGGAGTCTCACTCTTTCGCCCAAGCTGGACTGCAGTGGCGCTATCCCGGCTCACTGCAAGCTCCGCCTCTTGGGTTCATGCCATTCTCCTGCCTCAGCCTCCCGAGTAGCTGGGATTACAGGCGCCCACCACCACGCCCGGCTAATTTTTTGTATTTTTAGTAGAGACGGGGTTTCACCGTGTTAGCCAGGATGGTCTCGATCTCCTGACCTCGTGATCCGCCCGCCTCGGCCTCCCAAAGTGCTGGGATTACAGGCGTGAGCCACCGCGCCCGGCCTCAACATCTTTTTATATACCTGTTGGCCATTTTTGTTTCTTCTTTGGAAAAATGTCTCTTCAGGTCCTTTGCCTATTTTTAAATTGGGCTATATTTAAATTGGGTTAAATTTGCTATTGAGTTGCTTGAGTTCCTTATATATTTTGGATATTAACACCTTATTAGATATATGGTTTGCAAATATTTCCTCCCATTCTATAGGCTGTCTTTTTAACTGGATTGTTTCCTTTGAGATGTAGAAGTTTTTAATGTAATACAATCTCTTCTTTTGACACCCGTGCTTCTGATGTCATATCAAAAAACTAGTTGCTCATACCAATGACAGGAAGGTTTACCCTATTTTTTCTTACAAAAGTTTTATGATTTCAGGTCTTATATTTAAGCATTTAATCAATTTTGAGTTTAATTTTGTATATGATGTGAGATAAGGGTCCAATTTTATTCTTCTGCATGTGAATATCCAGTTTTCCCAGTAACACTTCAATATGGTTTGTGTCTCCACCAAAAGCTTATCTTAAATTGTAGCTTCCAAAAACCCCATATGTCATGGGAGGGATCTTGTGGGAGGTAATTGAATTATGGGGGCAGGTTTTTCCCATGCTGTTCTCATGATAGTGAATAAGTCTTATGAGATCTGGTGGTTTTATAAAGGGCAGTTCCCCTGCACATGCTCTCTTGATTGCCGCCATGTAAGATATGCCTTTACTCCTCCTTCACCTTCCACCATGATTGTGAGGCCTCCCCAGCCATGTGGAACTGCGAGTCCATTAAACCTCTTTCCTTTATAAATTACTCAGTTTTGTGTATGTCCTTATAGCAACATGAGAATGGATTAATATAGTAAATTGGTTTCAGTAGAGTAGGGTGCTGCTGTAAAGATATCTGAATATGTGGAGATGACTTTGGAACTGGGTAACAGGGAGAGGTTGGAACAGTTTGGAGGGCTCAGAAGAAGATAGGAAAATGTGGGGAAGTTTGGAACTTCCTAGAGACTTGGAGAGCTCAGAAGACAGAAAGGTGTGGGAAAGTTTGGAACTTAGAGACTTAGAGACTTGTTGAATGGCTTGAATGAACTTGGAGACTCAGAGACTTGTTGAATAGCTTTGACCAAAATGCTGATAGGGATATAACAATAAAGTCCAGGCTGATGTGGTCTCAGATGGAGATGAGGAACTTGTTGGGAACTGGAGTAAAGGTCACTCTTGCTATGCAAAAAGACTGGTGGCATTTTGCCCCTGCCCTAGAGATCTATAAAACTTTGAACTTGAGAGAGATAATTTAGGGTACCTGGTAGAAGAAATTTCTAAGCAGAAAGTGTTCAAGAGGAAGCAGAGCATAAAAGTTTGAAAACTTTGCAGCCTGACAATGCAGTAGAAAAGAAAAGAAAAGAAAAAAAAACAATTTTCAGGGGTGAAATTTAAGCCAGCGTTAGAAACTTGCATAAGTAATGAGCAGCCAAATGCTAATCACCCCAACAATGAGGAAACTGTTTCCAGGGCATGTCAGAGACCTTGGTGGCAGCCCCTCCCATCACAGGCCCACAGGCCCAGGAAGGAAAATTGGCTTCCTGGGCTGGGTCCAGGGCACATCGGCTGTGTGCAGTCTCAGGACTTGGCGCCCTGCATCCCAGTGGTTCCAGCTGTGGCTAAAAGAGGCCAAGGTACAGCTCAGGCCATGGCTTCACAGGGTGCAAGCCCCAAGCCTTGGCAACTTCCATGTGGTGTTGTGTCTGCAGGTGCACAGAAATCAAGAATTGAGGTTTGGGAACCTCCGCCTAGATTTCAGAGGATGTATGGAAATGCCTGAATGTCCAGGCAGAGGTGTGCTGTAGGGGTGGAACCCTCATGGAAAACTTCTTCGAAAGCACTGCAGAAGGGAAATGTGGGGTTGAAGCCCCCCACACAGGGTCCCCACTGGGGGACTGCCTAGTAGAGCTGTGAGAAGAGGGCCACCATCCTCCAGACCCCAGAATAATAGATCCACTGACAGCTTGCACTGTGCGACTGGAAAAGCCGCAGACACTCAATGCCAGCTTGTGAAAGCAGTCGGGAAGGGGCCTGTACCTTGCAAAGACACAGAGGCAGAGCTGCCAAGGACCATGAACCCACCTCTTGCATCAGCGTCACCTGGATGTGAGACATGGAGTAAAAGGAGATCATTTTGGAGCTTTACAATTTGACTGCCCCGCTGGATTTCAGACTTGCATGGGGCCAGCGGCCCCTTCATTTTGGTCAGTTTCTCCCATTTGGAATAGGTGTATTTACCCAATGCCTCTACCTCTATTGTATCTATTAGAATGGAAGAAATTAACTTGCTTTTGATTTTACAGGCTCACAGGCAGAAGGGACTTACCTTGTCTCAGATGAGACTTTGGACTGTGGGCTTTTGAATTAATGCTGAAATGAGTTAAGACTTTGGGGGACTATTGAGAAGGCGTGATTGGTTTTGAAATGGGAGGACATGAGATTTGGGAGGGGCCATGGGCAGAATGATATAATTTGGCTGTGTTCCCACATAAAACTTATCTTGAATTGAAGCTCCCCAAATCCCCACGTGTCATGGGAGGGAGCTGGTGGGATGTAATTGAATCATGGGGGCGGGTTTACCCATGCTGTTCTCATGATAGTGAATAAGTCTCATGAGATCTGATGGTTTTACAAAGGGCAGTTCCCCTGCACACAATCTTTTGCCTGCCACCATGTAAGATATGCCTTTACTCCTCCTTCACCTTCCACCATGATTGTGAGGCCTCCCCAGCCATGTGGAACTGTGAGTTCATTAAACCTCTTTCCTTTATAAATTACCCAGGTTTGGGTATGTCCTTACAGCAGCCTGAGAATGGACTAATAGACACCTATTGAAGAGACGATTCTTTCCTCACTGTGTGTCTTGACACTCTGGTCAAAAGTTAGTTGAGCACAGATTGATTTATTCCTAGGCTCTCTGTAATGTTCCATTGGTCTATATATTTTATATCAATACCATAATCTTTGATTGCAGTAGCTTTGTAATATATTTAGAAATCAGGAAGTGTGATGCCTACTTCTTTGTTCTTCCTCAATATTATTTTGGGTGTTTGGTGTCTTTTGTGGTTCCACGTAAATTTTTGATTTTTAAAATTTCTATTAACAATGCCATTTGTGTTTTAATAGAGATTGTCTGATCAGTTTGGAAAATATGGACATTTTAATAATTGTAATTATTTCAGTCGATGAACATGAAATATATTTTCATATATCTGTGCCTTTAATTTCCTTCATCAATGTTTTATAATTTCCACTGTAGAAGTCTTTCACCACTTTGGTTAAGTTTATTCCTAGGTCTTGTATTTTTTGTGCTATTATGAATGGAGTTGCTTTCTTAATTTCCTTTTGGAGAGATTGTTTTTGTGTATAGGAATGCTACTGAGTGTGTATGTTGATTTTATATCCTGCAACTTTACTTCATTCATTCATTAGTTCTTGTTTTTTTTTTTTTTTTGGTTGAGTCTTTAAGATTTTCTACATATATGATGATATCATCTGTGAACAGAAGTATTTTTACTTTTTTCCAATTTGAATTTTTTCTTTCTTTCTCTTTCTTTCTTTCTTTCTTTCTTTCTTTCTTTCTTTCTTTCTTTCTTTTTCTTTCTTCCTTTCTTCTTTCTTTCTTTTTTTCTTTCACTAATTGCACTGGGTAGGACTTTGAGTACTATGTGGAATAGAATTGGTAAGAATGAGCATCCTTGCGTTTTACCGGATCTTAGAGGAAAAATGTTTAGATTTTTCTTATTGATTATGAAGATTGCTGTTATCTTTTCATATATGGCTTATATTGTGCTAAATTCCTCTTTGCCTATTATTCTTTTTTACCTATTTTGTTGGGAGTTTTAATTATGAATCAATTTAAATTTTGTCAAATGCTTTCTCTGTGTCTCCTGAGATGATCATGTGGTTTAAAATTTTTTTAATCTCATGTATCACATTTGTTTGCATATATAGAATTAATGTTGCATCCCAGGGAAAATCTCACTTGGTCATGATGTACAATTATTTTAAGGTGGTGTTGAATTCTAGCTGTTAGCATTATATTGAGAATTTTTGCATCTATGGTAATCAAGGGTATTGGCCCACGATTTTCTCTTTTTCATGGTGTCTTTGTTTTGCTTTTGTATCAGGGTGATAGCAGCCTCATAAAATGAGTTTGAAAGTACTCCCTCTTTTTCTATTTTTTGGAAGAGGTTAAAAAGGATTGATATTAATTCCTCTTTGAATGTTTGGTAGAATTTACCCATGAAGTCAGCTAATTTTGAATTTTTCCAGAAGGTTTTTGGTGACTAATTCAATCTTCTTGCATTGGTCTATTCAAGCTTACTATTTCTCTTTGATTCAGGTTTGGAAAGTTGTATGTGTCTAAAAACTAATCATTTCCTCTAGATTATCCAAGTTGTTGGCATATAATTGTTCATAAAGGCAGTGTATGGTCCTTTTTATTTCTGAGGCATCTATTGTATTGTAATGCATCCCCTCATTTCTGATTTTATTTCATTTTAATTTGTTAACAGCTTTATTGAGATATAAGTCACATAATATTTTCCTATTTAAAGTGTACATTTCAATGATTTTTAATGTAGTCAAAGTCATACCATCACTACAATATAATTTTGGAACATTTTCATCATCCCTCACCCAAAGAAAACCCATATCCATTAGCTATCATTTTATATTCATCCCACCCCAGTCCCTAGCAAGCACTACCTTACTTTATGTCTGGAGTAGGATTTGCCTACTCTAGACATTTCATATAAATGAAATACTACATGTGGCCTTTTGTATTTGGCTTCTTTCTACTCACCATGTTTTCAAGGTGTATTCATGTTATATTCGTACTTCATCCCTTTTTCTGGCTAAATAATATTTCATTGTATGGTTATACCACTTTTTTTTCGTTAACTTTTGTTTTAGGTTCAGGGGTACATGTTCAGGTTTGCTATATAGGTAAATTGCATGTCGCAAGGGTTTGGCATACAAATTATTTCATCACCCGGGTAATAAGCATAGTACCTAATAGGTAGCTTTCAGCCCTCATCCTCCTCTCACCCTCCACCCTCAAGTCAGCCCTGGTGTCTGTTTTTCCCTTCTTTGTGTCCATATGTACTCAATGTTTAGCTTCTACTTATAAGAGAATATGTGGTATTTGGTTTTCTGTTCCTGCATTAGTTTGCTCAAGATAATGGCCTCTAGCTCTATCTATGTTACTACAAAGGGCCTGATCTCATTATCTTTATGGTTACAGAGTATTTTATGACATATATGTACCAGATTTTTCAATCTAGTCTATCATGGATGGGCATGTAGGTTGATTCCATGTCTTTGCTATTGTGAGTAGTGCTGCAATGAACATATGCATGATTTTATTTATTTTTTTGAGTCCTTTCCTTTTTCCTACTCTAGCTAAAGATTTTACAATTTTGTTTAAATTCTGAAAAAAAAACCTAGCAGAGGCACAATGAAAAAAGAAAACTTGAGGCCAATGTCTTTGATGAAAATAGACACAGAAATTCTCAACAAAATACTAGCAAACCAAATCCAGCAGCACATCAAAAAGCTAATCCACAATTATAAAGTAGGTTTTATTCCTGGGATGCAAGATTAGTTCAACATATACAAATCAATACATGGGATTCATCACGTAGACAGAAGTAAAAACAAAACCATATGATCATCTCAACAGATGCAGAAAAGGCTTTCAATAAAAATCAACATCCCTTCATGTTAAAAGCCCTTGACAAACTATGCATTAAAGGAACATACCTCAAAATAATAAGAGCCACATATGATAAACCCACAGCCAATATCATACTGAATGGGCAAAAGCTGAAAGCATTCCTCTTGAGAACTGGAACAAGACAAGGATGCCCACTTTTACCACATGTATTCAACACAGTACTGGAAGTCTTAGAGAAAGCAACCAGGCAAGAGAAAGAAATAAAAGGCAAGAGAAAGAATAGAAAGAGAGAAAGTCAATCTACTTCTCTTCACAAATAATATTATTTCATGCCTAGAAAATCTCAGAGGCTCATCCCAAAGGTTTCAAGAACTGGAAAAACAAACACAAACAAAACTTCAGTAAAGTTTCAGAATACAAAATCAATGTACAAAAGTTGTGGCTGGGTGTGGTGGCTCATACCTGTAATCCCAGCACTTTGGGAGGCTGAGGCAGGTGGATCTGAGGTCAGGAGTTTGCCACCAGCCTGGCCAACATACTGAAACTCTGTCTTTACCAAAAATACAAAAATTAGCTAGGCTTGGTGGTGTGTGTCTGAGTTAATTTTTGTATAAGGTGTAAGGAAGGGGTCCAGTTTCAGTTTTCTGCATATGGCTAGCATGGTTTTCCCTACACCATTTATTAAATAGGGAATCCTTTCCCCATTGCTTGTTTTTGTCTGGTTTTTAAAAGATCCAATGGTTGTAGATGTGTGGCATTATTTCTGAGGCCTCTGTTCTGTTATATTTGTCTATATATCTGTTTTCGTACCAGTACCATGCTGTTTCAGTTACTGTAGCTTCGTAGTGTAGTTTGAAGTCAGGTAGCATGATACCTCCAAGACTAAAACAGGAAGAAGTCGAATCCCTGAATAGTCCAATAACAAGTTCTGAAACTGAGGCAGTAATTAATAGCCTACCAACCAAAAAAAGTCCAGGACCAGATGGATTCACAGCCGAATTCTACAAAGATACCAAGAGTAGTTGGTACCATTCCTTCTGAAACTATTCCAAACAACAGAAAAAGAGGGAATCCTCGCTAACTCATTGCATGAGGCCAGCATCATCCTGATACCAAAGCCTGGCAGAGACACAACAGAAAAATAAAATTTCAGGCCAATATCCCTGATGAACATTGATGCAAAAATCCTCAACAAAATACTGGCAAATCGAATCCAGCAACACATCAAAAAGCTTATCCACCACAATCAAGTCAGCTTCATCCCTGGGATGCAAGGCTGGTTCAACATACGCAAATCAATAAATGTAATCCATCACATAAACACATCCAATGATGAAAACCACATGATTATGTCAATAGTTGCACAAAAGGCCTTCAATAAAATTCAACATCCCTTCATGCTAAAAAACTCTCAATAAACTAGGCATTGATGGAACATATCTCAAAATAATAAGAGCTATTTATGACAAACCCACAGCCAATATCATACTGAATGGGCAAAAGCTGGAAGCATTGCCTTTGAAAACCGGCACAAAACAAGGATGCCCTCTCTCACCACACCTATTCAACACAATATTGGAAGTTCTGGCCAGGGCAATCAGGCAAGAGAAAGAAATAAAGTGCATTCAAATAGAAAGAGAGGAAGTCAAATTGTCTCTGTATGCAGATGACATGATTGTATATTTAGAAAACCCCATCGTCTAAGTCCAAAATCTCCTTAAGCTGATAAGCAACTTCAGCAAAGTCTCAGGATACAAAATCAATGTGCAAAAATCACAAGCATTCCTATACAACAATAGCAGACAAACAGAGAGCCAAATCATGAGTGAACTCCCATTCACAATTGCTACAAAAAGAATAAAATACCTAGAAATCCAACTTACAAGGGATGTGAAGGACCTCTTCAAGGAGAACTACAAGCCACTGCTCAAGGAAATAAGAGAGGACACAAACAAATGGAAAAACATTCCGTGCTCATGGATAGGAAGAATCAATATCGTGAAAAGGCCATACTGCCCTAAGTAATTTATAGATTCAATGCTATCCCCATCAAGCTACCATTGACTTTCTTCACAGAATTAGAAAAAACTACTTTAAATTTCATATGGAACCAAAAAAGAGCCCATATAGCTGAGATGATCACTTTTTCGTCTTTTTAACTTTTGATAATTTAGTTATAAAGTGTCTATCCTCAATATAATACCAGCAGCCAGAATTTAACCTCACCTTAAAAGGATTATACATCATGAGTAGTTAGGATTGATCTCTGGTAAGACTAAATCTAGGATATGATCAAGTAGAGCTGGAGCTGAGGCACAGGGCTGCTTCAGCATCTGTAGTGAGGTAAAGGTCCCCAGGCTTATTACTGGGGACATGAAGAGGTGTGTTTCCCACCAGTTTCCTGGGTTGGCAGGACTGACTCTGGACTATGGTAGTGAGGACCTGCTTCAGAATCCTGGATTGTGTCTGAGGTTGGAGGGCCTGTTATTAGGGGACATGAATTGCAATGGTGGAAGGAGCTCATTTAGAAACTACAGCCAAGTAGGGTTGAAGCTGAGTCCAGAGGGAGGTGGGACTACTTTTGCTCTGCAGCCAGAACTGTGCTCAGCAAGCCTGCCACTCGTGTATGGGTCTGCCTTCTCCATATGGCTGTCCTCAGTACTGGGCTTCAGGAGGGTTTCACAATCTACCTGGATTCAAAAGCTCCCACACAGGCACTTTTGCCTCTGATGGCTGTAGTTTGTCATTCGTGTGGGGAGAACATGAGCTGGGAATCTTCCATTATCTTGCTAAAGTCACTCTGAGAATATATTCTTTAATCCTTAACACATTAGCACCACTGACCAGTTTTGGGCACAGTCTTTGTCATGGGTGTGAATAATCCAGCTTTGTTCCTTGGTTAAGTCTCAACTCCTTTACTCTCATTTACCATCATTCTATTGCTTACTCATTCTCAAAATTTTTATATGATTTGTATTTGTGTCTAAACAGAATGGTCAGTGCTTCAGCAGAGTCCTAACATGCTTGCAGTCCCACATAGAGCAGAAAGAATGGTTTGGCACACCTTTTCCAAGAGGTTGCAACCTGGTTATTAGAAGATCATGGCTCCCTTACTAGGATTTATTCTCGGGAGGTACTCATTATGCTTGCAAATTATGTAACCCCCCCTAGATTACTAGTGCCATTTGCTGTCATTTTCTGTATTTACATTACAAAATTATGCTCCAGAGGCTGTTTATTTACTTGGAGGACCATGGTCTGCAATTTAGGTAAATTGCCACCCTAAAATTTGGGTAAGTTGGTGGTGTTCAGGCTATGACTACTGGTTTTAAACAGCTGTACTTATTACCAGGTAGGAAGGAGACCACAGCTGTGATGGGAACATGTTGACTCTGTCTCAGGATGGAGTCTATCCAGTGTCCCAAATTACTTGGTAGGTGGGTTCCAGAGGTGTGGAATGTCTGCAGTTAATGTGTTTTCCAACACAGGTATATGTTTTCTCTTTGAAACACGAGCTCTATTTAAATAGCCAAATATAAAAATAGCTAGCATTTAAAAGATACATTTTAAGGGATACTATATGTCCTAGAGTAAACTTTTCAACTGTTTTAAATCACTGCTTAATGTAATCATGACTTTCTCATGGTTTAAGTAAATTCATTTATCTTGAAGTTTTCTTGACACTTTGTTAGAGTTTCTTGGATATTACAAAGATGAAGTATCTAGCATATTCTTTTCTTCTTTGATTTCTCTTTGGAGTTGCCCATAGCGTTTGGATATTAAGCAACTTTGCTTCTGTTGTTTTTTCTTTTATGCTGATGAAGAGAAAATAATATGTGAATCTCATAGTTCACAAAGGCTTTCTCCTGCATCAGAAAATAATAAGTAACTTGCATTTTTCTGGCCTAACTCTTCTGTGACCAAGATCATGCTGAGTTTACATAAGCTTCCTCAATATGCCTGTGAAAAGTCTTGTAGTATATAACAAACAAATAAACCCTGTACTGCCCCCTTTCTACATATTTTGCTCACTTATTTATTGTTTCAGGTGGGAGGATAAATACAGTTTCTGTTACTTCATCTTGTCCATACCTGGAAGTTCACGTTCTCTTTTTATTTAATCTAAATCAGGCTTTTGTCTCTACCAGTCCACTGTAACTATTTCAAAGATTCAATGAGCTTCACTTTGCCAAATCCAGTGATTAGCTCTCAGTCCTCATTTAATTTGATCCATGAGCAAACCTGACCCATGACAAGTTTTTGTCTAGCTTGTCTAACTTGACCCATGACAAGTTTGATTATTCTCTCTGCTTTAAAAATGTTCTCTGCTTGGTTTTTAGGATATCATATTTTCCTGTTTTTCTCCATAGCCCAGTGGCCACTTCTTTTTAAACTTCTTTACTGGTTCCACTTCATCTTCTTGACCTCTAATGTTGAATTGCCTCTGAGCTTTGTCCTCACTTCTTTTCTCATTTCTCTTCTTGCTCTGTAGGTCTATTGTGTTAGGCCCAATGCCCCTTCGTATAGTCAATATTTTGTGACTCTCTCTTTAACATTCTGAAATTAAGGTCATGGATAATTTGATCTATCTATATAGGTACTTTCAAAAGAAGCTCTGATTCTTAAATGAAGTTGAGAAAAAACCAAAATATATAATAAAATTATATGATTCAATTGTAAATTCTCAAGGACAATTATATTAGAGGACATAATAAAATATTCAGATGCTTGTACCCATTCTAATAAATGCAAGCTAATAAAGTCTGTTGTGCTGTTAGCTCAAAACCATGTGTTACCTGCTATTGGTGACATGGTTTTCCAAAATTGGGATCAATGGTAATTTGCTGAATAAAATAAAATTTAATCTTCTGTTGATATTCATAGTAGTTGCATTTATGGAAGAAAATAAATATGCAGTAAACCTGTACAAAAATTTTTCGTGTATATAAGTGTATTAGTCTGTTCTCACACTGCTCATAAAGACATATCTGAGACTGGGTAATTTATAAAAAAAGAGGTTTAATTGACTCATAGTTCCATATGGCTGGGGAGGCCTCACCATCATGGTGGAAGGCAAAAGAGGAGCAAAGTCACATCTTACATGGCAGCAGGCCAGAGAGCATGTGCAGGGGATCTCCGCTTTATAAAACCATCAGGTCTTGTGAGACTTATTTACTATCATGAGAACAGCACAGGAATCACCCACCCCACGATTCAATTACCTCACACTGGGTCCTTCTCATGACGTGGGAATTATGGGAGCTACCATTCAAGATGAGATTTGGATGGGAACACAGCCAAACTATATCAATATCTAATTATGATTTGGATCTAGGAGCAAATAATTACAAACAAGCTTTCTGCTTATATGGCATTTCAAAGTCGAGTAATCCTTGTCATCCACTAAATTTCAGGAGCACTCTTTAAATAGTTTAAGATCCTAAAACTTCTCCACAAATTTCCAACATCCACTAAGGATGCAAATACTCCAATTATAAAACATAGCCCCCTATATGCTGATGACTTCAAAATGTGTATTTCCAGCTCTCAACTGTTTGTTGAATTCCAGATTAGAATATCCACCTGATCACTGAAAATCTCCAATTGATCTTTAATTGACATCTCAAGATTAATAAATTGGAAATCGATCTTTTGATTTCATTCCCTAAATATGCTTTTCCTATAGATTTCCCCAACTCTGAAACAGCATCACCATATATCCAGTTGCTCAAGGCAAAAACCATGGAATCATCTTTAATTCATCTCTTTCTCTCACATCTCACCTCATCAACAGCCTATTTTTTTCCACACTCAAAATATGAATTGGCTCTACCTCAGAGCCATTATGTTTTGTGTGCACTATTGCATTTTTCTCCTACTTGCACTCTGTAATTCCATTATTGCCCTAATGAAGCCTATTTTTTTCATTGTACAGCCAGAGTGATGTTTTTTTAAATGTATAGCATTTTGTTTCTTCCTTTCAGCTCTTCATTTCCTGCTTCCAAATACACTTGGAATAAAATTTCCTACTAGGCCCTATCTGATCTCTCTTTTTTGTCCATTTCTATGAATGCCCTTTACACCACTTTCCCCATTCTTCACTGAGCTTCCACCATATTGGATTCATTGATGTTGTACAAACATGCCAAGTCCACTCCCTTCTTAGGGTCCTTGCCTTTTCTGTTCACACTCACTGAAATAGCATTCTAAGGAAAAGTCACATGGCCTTCTCTAATGGTCACATCCAGAGAGCCTCTCCTAACCATCCCATCTAAAATAATACTTCATTATTCTATATTCCTTTATCCTACTTTTAATTTTTTATAGTTTTCCTATGAGATTACTCATTTATTGATTTGCTTACTTTGTTTTCTAACACTAGCTCCAAGAGAGAAGTCTTTGTTTTGTTTACTGATTTGTCCCAAGACTTAGAGCCATATGTGGTTCATTGTAGGTACTTAATATTTGTTGAATCAATGAATGGATGATGCCTGTGTTAGGGCAACAATAACAACCTCAATAAACAAACATGTGTGTATATATATATATATATATGTAGGCTTAAAGAAAAAATTACTTCTTGCTCATAAATTTGAAAATGTATACAACTATCAGTGGTTCCTCTCTAAGTGGTGATTTGTGGACCCTCTAATTTGTAGCTCTACTGGCTTCCACAAAAGGCATTCACGGCCATCTGCTCATCTATAGACAGAGCATGAAAGAACATACTTTTTATTTGTGAGCCAGGCCTGGAAGTGACAAACAACTTCCTCTCATATTCCACTGGCTAGATACTAGAACTCAGTCACTTGGACACGTTTGACTGCAAGGAAAATTTGAAAACATAGTCCCTTGCTGAGCAGCTGCTCTCCAGTAACAATTCTACATTAAAGAATGGAATGCAACATATACTTTTTGGACAGTGAGTTGCCTCTCTGAAAGTGAATAAATAAAATGACTTAATGAAAATAATTCCAAGAATATTTTATGTTTTATATTTAAAAGACACTATGTTGCTATTTTTGGAAGTTTTGTTTTCCTATGCCTTATTATTTTATTTAATTATTTGATAACATAATTATCCTTTGGGTAATTATACCCATTAATTATATTCATGCATAATTATACTAATAATCTTTTGTCTTCTATAACTTATCTGAGATGTAATTGGAAGCAAACTGATGGGATTTATGTGGTATTCTGAGAGATTATGTGACTGAAAATTGGCAATATAGATTCCTTACCTTGCTTTGTGGTTAACTCTTCCTGTATTAGTTCCCTTCCCTCCCCTCCCCTCCCTTCTCCTTTTCTTTCCTTTCCTTTTTGGAGAGGGTCTCACTCTGTCATGCAGGCTGGGGTGTAGTGGTGCCATCACAGCTCACTGTAGTCTCGACCTCCTGGGCTCAAGCAATCCTCCTGTTTCAGCCACCCAAGTAGCTGGGACTACAGGTGTGCACCACCAAACCTGGCTAATTTTTTTTTTCTTTTTTAGTAGAGACGAGGTCTCACTATGTTGCTTGGGCTGTAGTTTTCTTACATTTTCCAGATTCTGGAGTTATGTTCCTTGGCTCATGGCCTCTCCTTCACTCTTCAAATCCAGCAGCAGAGCATCTTCAGATCTCTCTGTTTTCCTTACATTGCCTTCCTCTCTGTAGTCAAATATCCCTTTGCCTCTCTCTTACAGACTCTCATGATTGCATTTATGCCCATCCAGATAATCCAGGACACTTTCCCCCAAACAAGATCATATCAACATAACAAGATCATATCCCCCATCTCTCTGTTTCCACATAAATGTGCAATTACAGGTTCTAGGAATTAGGATCTAGATATCTTTGGGAGTCATTATTCAACCTACTACAATCCCTTTTCTCATGTAATTCCTCCAGGCTACAGTTTTTCTTAATCTCAAATTTTGATGAATCAACTAAATCTTCTGTCAGTTTTTAAAATTTGCTGAATTATGTGTTATGTGGATGAATAAGATAAATTATTTACAGTTACAATAACTTTTTGCTGTGTTTTCAAATAATGGCACAAACACTGTCTAGTTTCATATGGTGAAAAGAGCTCAAAATTTTGGTTGTAAGTTAGAAATGAATTTAAATCCTCCTTCATCTTTTTTTTTAGCCATGTAAACTTGGACAAGTTACTAGGTTAATC
Organism: Homo sapiens; assembly: GCF_000001405.40. Classification (NCBI taxonomy): domain Eukaryota; kingdom Metazoa; phylum Chordata; class Mammalia; order Primates; family Hominidae; genus Homo; species Homo sapiens. The sequence goes on from NC_000005.10 coordinate 120,035,609, forward strand.
TGAACTTATTTCCCATATCAACAAAATGTTAATAATACCTCACAGGGTTGCAGCAGTAATTAATCAAGCCAATAATACATGTAAAATACTTTAAAATAATGTGTTAGATAAACGTGTTCTGCACTATTTATTGCAGATGTAAAATTAAAGGTATTTTATCTATAATATTTTAGTTCCTTTGTGAAAGTAGGTAGCTAGTCAGGTATAAGCAGGGCAGATGAAGGCCCCCTTCCACACACCGGGAGTGCTGGGTGATCATCAGGTGGTGGTCAGGTGGTTGTTAACTGTTTCTCTAAAGTAATAATTGGCCACAGCCGGTGCTAGGAAAAAACATAGTCTCATAATAGATAGAAAACACCTGAAACCAATCTGCGGCTTCCCAGTAAGATCTCAGGAGTGGGGAGAAGTAATGCAAGATCCCGGAAGTCGGCCAATGTATGAGGCTGCAAGTCAAGAGGTCAAGCTGCGCACTTGGTTTTTCACGTCACCCGCTTAGCCGTCTTCCAAGTTGTACTTTCCTTCTTTTCTTTCCTTTTCTTCCTGTTCTGAAGCTTTTTAATAAGCTTTCACTCCCGCTCTGAAGTTTGCCACGATCTCTCCTCTGCCTTATGCCCCTCAGTTGAATTCTTTCTTCTGAGAAGGCGAGAGTTGAAGTTGCTTGAGACCTGTATGGATTTGCCGCTGAGGTAAATCAGATCTCTGCCACCGCTAACACCTTTATGCACAGAACTTCTGAGGAGAAAGATGATTCGAAGAAGAAATGGCCCTGAAAATCTGATGAGTCCCCAGTAGGTGTGGCTGTTTAAAACTGCTTCATAGGCACTGCTGACAACAAAGGTAAGTTTGAGAGCACACCTCTAGCTTGCTCTTTTTATTTACAATACTTGCGGCTGCTCAGAGAGCAGGGGTTTTTTTTCCCCTGGTTTGTAAGCTTGAGTTCTTAAAGTATTTGAAATTGTGTGCAATGTGGTGGGTCTAAATTGTTTTTGTCTTAAAGTTCTCCTTTTTTACTAACATTTATGCCATTAGACCTTAGTGAATGGGTAGTCAGAATATATACCAATACAGGCATAAAAAAAATGTGGGCATTGTTCCACCATCCTGCTTGCTGGGCCATTCCAGTGTTAGGATTGGTGTATTTGAGATGAGCAGAGGGACCTGTTGAATAAAGACTGTGTATTCTTTCAGGAGAAAAATACTGGGAGTTTGAATTTGGATTTGAGTCACTTCATTGGGCAGGAGGAGCAGAGAATCAGTCATTAAAATGTATTACTTATGTATTTGCTTTAAAGTTTCATAAAAATTCCTCCACTAGATGTAAAATCCATGAGAGCAGGGGCCTTGGCTCTGTGGTTTATAGTTCCTTATAAGCTACCTGGCTCAATACCTAGCTCATAAATATATTGATGAACAAATCATTAAATATTTGTTTAATGAATAAATAGATGGAAGAATTCAGGTCTTAGTGGCCCTCTGTTTCATGGAAATAGAGGTGCAGATGCTGGATCATTATTCCTCTACGAGGAATGTTATATGTAACAGCATCTTCTGCAATCTCTACGGAAGTGTGAACAGTCAGGACTTGTGGCTTCATTATGATTCTCTCAAAATTGTCTGTGGTATAGGATATTGCTCAGTTTTAAATTTCTTTTTTAACTTTAAGCTTACACACTACACTATGCTTTTATATTTCTATTGTTCAGTTACATTGTTTTATAATATAATAGTATATTTTTTGAAAATGACAAGTATAAATCTGTATCGGTAAACATTGATCATAACATAATACACTCATCAGGCCACAGTTGCACTCTCTGTATTGCACAATTGTAGAATATTTATGGAAATATAAAAACATCGTTACATATAGGCTATTTGCTTAGTTTGCTTAAAACAGAAAGGAAATAAGTGACTTCTCCAGGGTTGATCTCTTGTGGTACAGGTACCCGTGATCAGGTGAAAGAAACTCCCTCAGAAAATAGGCTGTGTGTTCGTGATGAATGTGAAGTAAAACAGAATGAAATGAAATAAATTTCCCAACTGCAAAATACAGAACTTCCTCTATTTCAGGTTCCTTTTGCTATTTGGTCAAAGAATGACAGTCATCTGTCATTATTTGCTTTCTCTTCCTCTGAGAAATTTAAATCTATTCATTAATTACTATTTCTTTCCAAAGTGCCATAGATTGAGATTTATTCTTCTCTATAAAAACACACACATACACCCTTAAACATATCATATTCAAACGTTTAAAATAAAAAATAGTGAATATTTTGACGACAGCCATAAAGAAAAGATACTTTACATACTGAGACAAAACATAACAATAATCGCTGACTTTTAATCACAAACTGGAAAAACTAGAAAAAAATGGAGTGATACCTTTAACTGGTTAAAAGTCAATGATACATCTGTAATCCTAGGACTTTGGGAGGCTGAGGCAGGCGGATCACAAGGTCAGGAGTTCGAGACTAGCCTGGCCAATATGGTGAAACCCCGTCTCTACTAAAAATACAAAAATTAGCCAGGCGTGGTGGTGGGCGCCTGTAGTCCTAGCTACTCAGGAAGCTGAGGCAGGAGAACTGCTTGAACCTGAGAAGTGGAGGTTGCAGTGAGCCGAGATCACACCACTGCACTCCAGCCTGGGCGACAGATGAAGACTCCATCTCAAAAAAAAAAGAAAAAAAATTGTATCCAGGAAAAAGACCATTCAAAAACAAAAGAGAAATCCATGAACCTACATAATTTATACAATTGTATAGAAGTTAATATACACACATAGTCATACACACAGATATACAAATGAGTATGGTGATGGTAAGATGATTATTAAATTGAACTAATTTGATGGAATCTGAAGCCTAGAGCCTGAGGTGAACAAGAAAATAAACTTCGAAATGCATGGTTTTAGTTTGGTTTTAAGAAGTATAGTGATATCAGCTGACATCTGGCTTAAATGAGGATAATAATAATAATAGAAAACTATATGAAAAAAGTAGATTCAATTATTTTACATTTTTATATAACCTGCAACATCAACAAAATTAAAAGATAAATGACAGATCTGCTGTATTTGGCAGAATAATTCTCATAGATTATTGTTGACAATAATAAAAACCTGAACATTGCAAGTGAACAAATGGGCATGGAATATGAAGAGGCAATTAATAAAAGGAAAATTACAAATGTATAACGAATATTTTGGAAAATTTTCAGTTTGAATAAAAAAATGCAAATTAAGATGATAATGGATACCATTGTCACTTACTTGACCAAGGTTAAAATAAGGATAATACACAATTTTAGACTGAATAGACAATTTTTACAATGTTGGAGGAGTGTGAATTGATATGCTTAAATTTGTTAATGTGAATATCAGCCTTTAGCTGGAATTTATACTTGAATCACCTGGGGAACTTTTAAATGCAAGGGAAATTGGGTCCTACCTGAGATTGATCAAACTAAAACTTTAATAGTGCACACGCAGGTAACATTTTTTAAAAGCTTCCGAAATAATTATGTGAAGCTAGGATTGAAAAACGTCAATATATATGCCAAGCTTTAAAGTATCTATTTACTCATTATTTCTAATTTTCCAATATTATAAATATAAAATTAGTACACAAAGCTTGATGTGTAATAGTGTTCATTAATGTTATAATTGTGCAAATTAATTAAATTAATTAAAATTAAATCGATTAATTAAATTAATATTTAAATTACAATTTAAATTAAATAAATTTAAAAAATATTGTGCCCAATAATTATTATACTATACACTAATGAAAATCATATTAAGAAACTATCATATGCAAATCTTCATTATTCATTGACAGTGAGTACAAAACTGTATATACAGCATGATTCAAAATCTGTGAACCATTACATACACATTCTATTCTTTACTAGAAAAAGTATTGAATGACTTACTTTACATACTTAATATAATTTATCTCTGGGTAAACTGCAAAAAAACTTTACAGTGTTATAATATTAAAAGTATGTAATTAACAGATGGGTTTAAAATCTTGCATTGGGATTCATTGTACAAGGGGTGTTCAACCTATGATAAAGCCAGACAGGAGAAATGGAAAAACATTTTTTTGTGTGTGCTAAACACTTTCAGTGGATCAGTAGTCCAAATACTCTTATCAGCTCTTTCCTCTTTTCATTTATCCAGCCTAAGTGTTCATTTCAGTCCTGACCTCTAGATTCTGTTCAGATAGATGACTTCTTTAGCCTAAAAAATGAGAGCCAGGTTGCTGAGCAAGAAATTGTAATATGCCCCAGTTTTTGAGTAAATTAGGGAAGTGGAAGAAGCAGGAAGTATTTCTGGTTGTCCAGGATGAAATTTTTAATATACTTCCTAAAGAGAAACATGCTTACACATGATGGATAGTTTGTGGAGTGGTCTTCCTAACAGATTTCTGTACATTGTGATTCAAATAGGCTTGTAGTGACTGGACTGGCAACCCAATCATTACCGTAATGTTTATTTGATGGAAAAATACATTTGCCGATAACACATGTGACATACAGTATGTTTGAAAATTGAGAATTGTTTTTAATGCCTGGGTAAAGAGAAGTGATGCAGGGTTGCATTGTTAGATATCACAGAACCTTGTTCCAGAAATTGCATCTTTAGGAGACTCTTTTCCTGAGGATGCCATTTTTCATTATGAGACCATGGTGATAAGTAAGTTTTACCAGATGTTTTCTTCACTAGAAATTTATCACCAGAAGATGTACTAGGCAGGAGCAGTTTTTCAAAACAAGATTATACATGTGATATCAAAGAATGCTTGCTGACTTTGCTGTTTACATCTCTCCAAAGTGACTAATAGATTGATAGGGGAAATAATATTTTAAAAGCTATTGAATTAGTTCCATACTTCTAAGGGAAATTTGTCAATTTAACACGTGTTCTTTACACATTAGGTGATTCAAGATTGGTTTGATCAGGTCTTAGAATTAAATATGTTCTTGTTTCCATAGTATGCCTAGATGTATTCATCACTGTAACAAAAGTGCCTAGCCCAGCCTTGAGCCTACCCAATTATGTTGCCAGATAACTGTATTTAAAATGGACAGCAAGCTATGAGCATGAGATCATTCATTTTTAATAGTTAACTTGCCAGCCTAGGCAACATGGCAAAACCTTATCTCTACAAAAAATACAAAAATTAGACAGGCATGGTGGCATGAGTCTGTAGTCCCAGCAACTCAGCAGGCTGAGGTGGGAGGATGGCTTGAGCACCGGAGGTTGAGGGTGTAGTAAGCCATGATCGCATCACTACACTCCAGGTTTGGTGACAGAGAGAGACCCTGTTTGAAGAAAAAAGAAAGAAAAAAAATAGTTAATTTGGCTTTCATATACAAATATAAAAAAGCAAGAATAGTTCAATCTTTATAAGACCTAAGGACAGAAATGCCATTCAGCCAAGCAATCCCATTGCTGGGTATATAACCAAAGGAATAAATCGTTCTACTATAAATGCAACTGTATGTACATTGCATACAGATTTTTTTCTATTCATTTGCTATCTATTATCATTTGCTATTCATAATAGTAAAGACATGCAGTCAACCTAAATGCTCTTCAATAATAGACTGGATAAAGTCAATGTGTTACATATACACTATGGAATACTATGCAGCCAAAAAAATGAGATCATGTCATTTGCAGTGACATGGAGAGAGCTGGAGGCCATTATCCTTTAGGAAAATAACACAAGAACAGAAAACAAAGTATCTTATATTCTCACCTGTAAGTGGGAGCTAAATGATGAGACCACATGGACACATAGAGGGGAGCAACACACTGGAGCCTATCAGAGAGTGGAGGGTGGGAGGAGAGAGAAAATTAGGAAAGGTAACTAGTGGGTACTAGGCTTAATACCTGGGTGATGAAATAATCTATACAACAAACCCCCATGACACACATTTAGCTATGTAACAAGCCTGAACATATACCCTGAACTTAAATTTTTTAAAGGCAAGAATGTTAGAAATTAATGACATTTGCATTTGCTTTCCAATCTGACTACTTGAAAATTAGATGTAAAATGCTGTAGAGAATGCCTTCATATAGAGTGGGTACAGCTGTTTCCATGTGAGACTTGGGGTTACATGATTCCCTAATCTCAAATTACTAGCACTATAAGGATAGAATGAGTAGTCCAATTCTCTCTGTGTGTGTGTGTGTTTGCCAAAATATAGAATCGCTTGTCCTAGGGTAATTCATCTGAGGAGAAAAAATTAAAACTAAGTAAACTAGATACAAAAATGTGTTTATATCAGAAGAAAACAAGGTTAGAGACAGACTGATTTAATAGAAAAAAACACTGAAATCTGAGAGCTAAATTATCTTGGCCTGAGATGAGAGCAAAAAGCAACTGGGAAGAAACGTAGGGGAAAACTGACAAGATTGCTGATGGTATCAGTTGGAAAGCAAGTGTTGAGTTAGGTTTCCTCAGGTGAATCAGAGTCTCAATAGGTGCATATTTGGGGCTGAATTGGACAAGGACGGATACAGATGGAAACCTTTAGGAGAAAAGGGTAATGTCAATGTCAATATGTAAGGAGAGACAGTATTACGCATTAGGACTTGTTGATGCATTAATATTTCATTAGATTTTTTTCTGATGGAAGATGTTTCCTTTAGATAACTTCAAAAATGATATTTTAAGAATAACACAAAAATAACTTATTGCACTAGCCTAAACTAGCTGCTATGTGTGTTTTGGTATGTGTCCTTCCAGAAATTTTGTAATTTATAAATAACTAACACATGTATATTATATAGATTGATTTGTATTTCAATGTATACTATCTTATTTTTAGAACAAATTTAAAATATACTATTTGTAAAGTTTTCATCGCCTTTTAATAAACGTTTTAGCAAGTAATTAAATATTACCCGATGAAACATAATTTTAATTACAAAAATTGTTTCAACATAGGGAAATTCATATTTTTATGGATTATTTTAGTTTTTAATTATAAAATAAACTATTTGGAGTTTGTATCTGTCATTTTTAATATGAATTTCTAAAAATAGGCACATATGCACAGTTTTAAGGTCCTTAATATTTTTTACAAATTGTCTTCCAGAGAGTTAGTTCCATGTTATAGTTCTACCATCAGTTTTTTATGAAATATTTCAAATATAGAAAATATATTTTATTATTTAATCTTGGGTATATTTTCGAAGAAGGTCAAGAACTATTCCTCAACTAACTCAATTGATGTTTAAGAAACTGTTTCATAGAAGCTATAATGCATTTTCCAAGTTTACCTTGTTGAGTTCACAAGGTGATTTGGGACTTTATTTAGCCTTGCATGTTAAAGTTGAGTGAAATAGGACAATCAGACTGTAAAAACTTCCATGTCAAACAGTCTGATGGGAATAATCTCAATATGTTACTTTCATAATAACAAACGATAGATTAAGAAACATTGACAGGATCTTTTGAATACTAGGAATATATTAGAGACATCTATTTCAGTGTAGAGTCTGATTTACTATCTATATTTTGATTCTTTTAAAAGACTTATGATACCTATTCAACTTTTTTTTTTTCAAAAAAAAAAAAAAAAACAGACTTTCAGAAGCCTTCATGAGTATGGCTTTAATTAATCTTGGTCAAAATTTAAATGAATTAAAAATGATAAAAATGGATACTGATGTTCATAATTGACCAATGTATTTACAATGTTGTTGGGTAAATGCGTTCTGCTTTATAATTCTGCTCAGCTTTCTTTGAGCTATACTTCCAGTTTTCTTACAATTTAACTTATTATAATTCAACTTTAACATAATTCAGCTTTTTAATAATTGCTTTGTAGAGGATAGAGCAATTTCTAATATTTATATTGCAAAATATGTATGAACTTTGATAGTTTTAGAGTGAGCAAGATATGGAAAGAATATTAACATTACTTAAATACAAGTGTTGCTACTTACATTTTACATATTCCTTAAAGAGAAGTTCATTATTCCTGAAAAGGGGAAATGAAACACACAAATGAAATATCAGTAGGAAAGCAATATGAGCAATGGTAGGTTGCTGTAATTAGCTGGAATACCAGTTTTATTGCTTCCCTCTTCATTCCTACATCTGAGGATCTCTAGATTCCTTTGGCTCTGATCTTAGAGGTATAAACTCAAAAAAGATTTACTGAGAATTGTTCTACAGAGTAATTTGATATTAAAAATCTTGTGTTGAATAGGGAGGAATTTGTTTTAGCTGCACAAAAGGAAACAATAGAATTCTAAGAAAAAACTCAGGACTTTGAATTATAGAGGTTTTAACAATGTCTAATATCTGGTAATTATTTTCTTTCTGTACATAGAGAAAAACAGGATATTCTCCCTGAAGAATACTACTGCATTTTCTACATCATTAAAATAGTAATAGTATGTACATTAGGAAATGGAAGAATGTTATGTAATTGGATAGTCTCACAGATGAAAAGAAATAAAAACTTACAAGAACAAATTAGGGCAGGGATATGCAAATTTTCCCAATTCAGGGAACAAAGGAAAGACAAAGAGGAGAGACTAAAATATATAAATATAATATTTACAGATGGATCAATAAAAATATTCCATACTTTATGAATATTTTAAAAATAGTTATTATATGTTGTAGTTACTTTGGCTGAAGTCATAGCTGAAATAATGGCTTTATCTTGTTTTATTAGCAAGACATAGGAAAATGCTGTACTTTTAAGCAGAACTAGTTATGTAAAGTGGGCTTTTTTGAAATCCCTTTTGAAATCCTTTTGAAACTTTTGCTGCTGCTTTTATTCACACCATTATGAAACACAAACTAGATTATTACATTTTATAATGTTCTGCCATTATTATCTGTGTAGGTTTTTGGCTCTTTAAAATGTTCATTTATCTCATCTGAAAAATAGAATTAAAATTCCTATCTAATAGGGTTTGGGTAAGGATTAATTGAATTAATACATTTCAAAGCACTCATACTAAAATTTTCAATAAATATGAGGTATTGTTATAGGTGTCAGCTTCTAAGATGGCTCCAATGATCCCACCTTCTGGTATTCATACTCTTGTGTGGTCTCCCCCAGCATCATACACCAGGGACGGTTTGTGTGACCAATAACATTCTGCAAAAGTGATAATATTTTACCTCTGAGATTATGTATACAAGATCCTATGGCTCTGATTTGATGATTCTCTGACTCTCTTGGATTACTCACTTGGGGAAAAAGAAACCATCATATTGTGAACATCTTTAAGGAATCTTCTACATGGCAGGGAACTGAAGCCTCAGGTCAGGGTCCAGCCAGAAATGGAGGCATGACAACCATGCGAGTGAGCTTGGAAGCAGATTCTCCAACTCCAGCCAACCTATTTGACTATAGTCCTGGTCCACAGCTTGATTGCAACCTTCTGAGAGATTGTGAGATAATAAATGTTTCTTGTCTTTAAGATGCTAAATATTTGGATAATGTTTTATGACCAATTTGCCTACTGTTTCAGATACAAAGCAGGCATATTTTTCTAAATTATTCCATATAGTCTCCCTTTCCCAAAAAACCCTATCAAGGTTTAAATTATTAAGCCAATATTATGGGCGAAGAAATGGAAATATCTCAAGAATACTCAATTATTTGGGTATATAAGTCATACTTCCTTTCGTCCTCATGTCATAGTATAAAGCCTAAATAACCTCAACATGTTGCTCTTGCCCCCTTAATATAGTAATACTTTGCAGAGCCTTTAGTAGTAGAGCAAAGGTGTGGCTCAACAGCTATTGCTTAGAAGCTTAGAAGAAAATGCAGGGGAAATATACAGTTTTTCTCTGTGTAGAGAAAGGAAATAATTACCAGATGTAAGGTGAAGAGAGTATTTTCCTAGGATGAAGAGAGATGGATTTACATGGAATTCTGCACTTGGGAGAATAATCAAAGTCAAGTGACATCAGTTTTTTGTTTTCTTCAATATCTCCATTCAGAGAGGTTTGTCAGGTAGTAAGGTGTACAGCTGCAGAAAAGCTTCAGGGTTTCAAGCATTGTAAATAATTTTATATAATTATTGTTTAGGCTTGATCTTTGTACACTAAAAAGTATGGAAAGTGAGATCCCTTTGTAAAATGGTATCTTTCTTTATTAATAAAAGGAAAACCTTGGAGATGCCCTTATAGCTCTTAAATGTGACCCAATTCTAATTACCTCCCAGTAAAATCAACAGCCCTTTGTTTTATTTGAAGAGAAACAGGGAAGATAATGTATGTTGCCACTGAAAGAAGTAGGAGGGCATAAATAAGGCAAGATGATTTATTCTAGTTTTTCTATAATGGAAAATCTGTCATGAAGCAGAAAGAACATGAAGGTGAATAATTTTTAGTTTCTCTCTATAAACTTTTGTTATTTCTATCAGAGGAATGACAATTCAATTACATTATTTCAAATAAAAAATTATTGTTCAAATTACATACAGCAGGATTGTATAACCCACTTGCCCTTGACTTTAGAAGTGAACATACTAGAAGTCAAAAACAATTCGCTTGAATATTTAACTATCGTTAATCATGTGAGTTTTATAAACTAATCATTTTTTAAAATTTTATACACCAACATACTCAGATGTGAAAATAAAACAGGAAAAAAAGTAAAACAAAACTTAAGTAGCTAATGCTTTTTTGAGTACTTTCTATCTGCTAGAAACTGTAAAAAGTGGCAGACTGCTCAGTAGTTCAGTAAAATAAATACAGATTTGAGAGTTGCCTCAAATGTGATAGCCTAATTTTGACAAGGAGAAAAGGTATTTGGTTTTCAAATACTACATAAGAACAATTTCCAATATTAGAACAAGTGTTCACTGACTCTAGGGCAAGTGTACTTAAAATTACTTATCTGTCTATTCCCTCACTATAAATTTTGTTGAAGAATTACATAGGTCATGAAAAGTGCATATGTCATTTGTTTAAAAGTTAATGAAATGTATAAAGTGAGCACAGTCATGTAAATGGCACTAAGATTAGGACTATAGAAGTTACCACTATCCCAAATTCTAACTCTATAGTATTGCAAATCTTTTAAATTAATGAAATATACAGTATGCAATGTTCTGTTTCTTTTTTCCTTTCAACATTAAATTTGAGAGATTTATCTTTTTCTTTTGCATATGAGAATAGACATTAGTTTGCTTTATATATACCACTTAGGAGTAGAATATCTGGATGATAGAACATGCATATTGTTATAGTAGAGATTTCTAAGCAGTTTTTCAAATGGATTGTACTTATACTCCAACCAGCTATGTATGAAAATTATAGTTTCCCTAAATGCTAGCCAACACTTGATTGTATCTAGCTTTTGTTTTAGATATTCCAGTAGTTGTGTAGGGTACCTCATTGTGATTTTAGTTTATATTTTCTTGTTATTTACCTGGATTGAGTTGCATTTCTTATGTGTATGTGCCACTTGGATATTTTCTTTTGTGAAGTGCCTATTCAAATATTTTGTACCTTTTATACTAGTTTGATTGTCTTTTTTTCCCTATTGGTTAGTAGGAAATCTTCACATATTTTGAATCTTTATATATTTTTGAGTTCTTTGTCAGGTACATATGCATACACACACATAGTTAAAATCTTCAACTCTATGTGTTGCAATTTCACTCTTTTACTGGTATCTTTTGATAACTTGAACATTTTAATTATAATCTTATCTAATTTACTATATTTTTCTTTATAACTATCACTTTTTGTCTTATATAAATCAAGAAAGCTTTGTTTATCCCAATGACGTAAAGATGTTCTTTTTCTCTAAAAGCCTTATTGTTTTATCTTTCACTTTGAAATCTATAATCTTTTTCTTTTTATTGTATTCTTTATTTTTTCCATAAGTTACAGGGGTACAGGTGGTATTTGGCTACATGAATAAGGTCTTTAGTGGTGATTTGTGAGATTTTGGTGTGCCTATCACCTGAGCAGTATACACCGCACAATATTTATAGTCTTTTATCCCTCGCCCCCCTCCCACTCTTCCCCCCAAGTCCCCAAAGTCCATTGTGTCATTCTTATGCCTTCGCATCCTCAAAGCTTAGCCTCCACATATCAGTGAGAAGATACGATGTTTGATTTTTCCATTCCTGAGTTACCTCACCTAGAATAATAGTCTCCAATCTGATCAGGTCACTGCAAATGCTGTTAATTCATTCCTTTTTATGGCTGTGTAGTATTTCATTTTATATATATATCCTATATATATGTATCCTATATGTATCCTATATATATCCTATATATGTATCCTATATGTATCCTATATATGTCCTATATATATGTATCCTATATATATCCTATATATGTATCCTATATATATCCTATATATGTATCCTATATATATCCTATATATGTATCCTATATATATCCTATATATGTATCCTATATATATCCTATATATGTATCCTATATATATCCTATATATATGTATCCTATATATATCCTATATATGTATCCTATATATATCCTATATATGTATCCTATATGTATCCTATATATGTATCCTATATATGTATCCTATATATGTATCCTATATATGTATCCTATATGTATCCTATATATATGTATCCTATATATATGTATCCTATATGTATCATATATGTATCCTATATGTATCCTATATGTATCCTATATATGTATCCTATATGTATCCTATATATGTATCCTGTATGTATCCTATATATGTATTCTTTATGTATCCTATATATATCCTATATATGTATCCTATATATATCCTGTATATGTATCCTATATATATCCTATATATATGTATCCTATATATATCCTATATATGTATCCTATATATATCCTATATATGTATCCTATATGTATCCTATATATGTATCCTATATGTATCCTATATATGTATCCTACATATATATATCCTGTATATATGTATCCTACATATACGTATCCTACATATGTATCCTACATACATATCCTACATACGTATCCTACATATACGTATCCTACATATACGTATCCTACATATACGTATCCTACATACGTATCCTACATATACGTATCCTACATACGTATCCTACATATACGTATCCTACATATACGTATCCTATATATACGTATCCTATATACGTATCCTATATATGTATCCTATACGTATCCTATATATACGCATCCTATACGTATCCTATATATACGGATCCTATACGTATCCTATATATATGGATCCTATATGTATCCTATATATACGTATCCTATATATGTATCCTATATATACGTATCCTATATATCCTATGTACGTATCCTATATATATCCTATGTACGTATCCTATATATATCCTATGTATGTATCCTATATATATCCTATGTATGTATCCTATATATAGCCTACATATATGTATCCTATATATAGCCTACATATATGTATCCTATATGTATCCTATATATGTATCCTATATATCCTATGTGTGTATCCTATATATACTATATATGTATCCTATATATCCTACACATATGTATCATATACGTATCCTATATATGTATCATATATGTATCCTATATATATGTATCATATATATATCCTATATATATATCTCATCTCTCTCTCTCTCTCTCTGTTTCTTTATCCACTCGTTGGTTGATGGGCATTTGGGTTGGTTCCACGATTTTGCAATTGTGAATTGTGCTGCTATCAACATCCATGTGCAAGTGTCTTTTTCAAATAATGACTTACTTTCCTCTGGGTAGATACCCAGTAGTGGGATTGCTGGATCAAATGGTAGTTCTACTTTTAGTTCTTTAAGGAGTCTCCACACTGTTTTCCATAGTGGCTGTGCTAGTTTACATTCCCACAAACTGTGTAGAAGTGTTCCCTGTTCACTGCATCCACGCCAACATCTACTGTTTTTTTATATGATCTTTGACACACCTGACCAAAACAAGCAATGCAGAAAGAATTCCCTATTCAATAAATGGTTCTGGGATAACTGGCTAGTCATCTACAGAAGATTGAAACTGGACCCATTCCTTCCACAATATACAAAAATTAACTCAAGATGGATTAAATACTTAAATGTAAAGCTAAAAACTACAAAAACCTTAGAAGAAAACCTAGGCTATACCCTTCAAGACATAGGCATGGGCAAAGATTTCATAATGAAGACGCCAAAGGAAATTGCAACAAAAGCAAAAATTGACAAATGGGACCTAATTAAATTAAAGCACTTCTGCACAGCCAAACTATCAACAGAGTAAACAGACCACTTATAGAATGGGAGAAAATTTTTGCTATTTATGCATCCTACAAAGGTTTAATATCCAGCATCTGTAAGCAACTTAAACAAATTTACAAGAAAAAACGAAACAGCCCCAAAAGCAAAGGACATGAACGGAAACTTTTGAAAAGAAGACATACATGTAGCCAACAATCGCATAAAAACAGCACAACATCACTGATCGTTAGATGCAAATCAAAACCACAATGAGACGCCATCTAACACCAGTCAGAATGGCTACTATTAAAAAATCAAAAAAACAACAGATGCTGGAGAGGTTGTGGAGAAAAAGGAATGCTTATATACTGTTGGTGGAAGTGTAAATTTGTTCAGCTATTGTGGAAGACAGTGCAGCAGTTCCTCAAAGATCTAAAGACAAAATACCGTTTGACCCAGCAATCTCATTACTGGGTATATACCCAGAGGAATATAAATCATTCTATTATAAAGACACATGCATGTACATGTTCATTGCAGCACTACTTGCAATAGCAAAGACATGGAATCAACCTAAATGTCTACTAATGATAGACTAGAAAAAGGAAATGTGCTACATATACACTATGGAATACTATGCAGCCATAAAAAGAGATTGTGTCCTTTGCAGGTGCATGAATTGAGCTGGAGGCCATTATCTTTTGCAAACTAAAAGAGGAATAGAAAACCAAATAATGCATGTTCTCAAGTTTTTATATTATTTTTAATCAATTTTTGAGATATTTTCATGTCTTCCATTATGACTGCATATTTGTATATTTATCCTTATAGTTCTGTTAATTTTTGCTTTAACCATTTTAAAACTTTGCTAATTATTCCATACAGACTTAGAATTGTGATACATTCCTCATAGATTAAGCCTTTATCATTATAGAATGTCTTCTTTACCTTACAAAATGCTTTTTGCCCTAAAATCTGTAATATATTGATTTAACTATACCACCATTCTTTTGGTTAGTGTTTTAAAATACATATTTTCTATTCCTTTCAATTTCTCTAGTCTTTAAGGTGTATCTTTTGTATTCAGTATATTATTGAGACTTTTATATAGTATGAAAATCTTAATTTTTTAATTGAAATACCATTTTTTATGATTCATATATTTTAGTCTATATTTATGTAATTGTAAATCATGCTTTCCATTTTACGCACCTGGGTCTTTCCTTTTTTCTCTTTTTTGTCATCTTGGGATAATCTGTGATTAAAAATTTATCAATTTTCTTAATTTTATTTACAGTACTTTTTACTTCTAATGTTTCTACTGAACTTAGTGCACAGCTTTTTACATGGCCAAGTTTTTTTTAAATAGTCTAAAAATAAATCTTTTCTACTGTCCTCAAAATAGTTAACATGATAAAAGTTTCCATACAACAAATGTTATAGTTTTCCAAAGCATTTTGTATAATTATATGTACAAAACTAGAACAGAGAAAATGAGGAAGATTTCAACTCCAAATTCTGCCTGTGATCCATGATACCCTGGATAGAATATGTTTTAGAAATCAGAAATACACATAGGTAGCAATATATAGTAGGAATCAGGACTATATATATGTGTGTCTATATGTGCACATATGTGTTACATATAATCTGTACTCAAAAGGAAAATACTCATATGTGTGCACACAGACAGATTGAGAGAATGGAAGAAAAAAATAAAAAATACCTAATTGGAGAAAAAAGACATTGTGAATAGAGATAATTTAGACTTATAACACGTGTCATGTTAAACTGTGTGCATAGTACAGTACACAAACTTAATACAAAGCTAAATTTATCATCTTTCTTGAGTAAAAGCCGCAGAGACACAACTGGCATAACACTGTTATTCTTTACTATAAAAAAAAAAGATTTTCATTCTTTTATATAACTGCTGCCACAATAAATTTTTATAACTGCTGTCATATAATTTTTATAAATATAGACATCTAAAATTGATTATTTTAATTTCATATTAATATTATATAAATTTAATATGAAATAAATTTCATGTACCTGATGCTTTTTTATAAATTTATTTTCAAACTCTTTGATTTCAATGTCATTTCAGAAGTCTTTTAATTTCATGCTATAATATTAATAAGAATGTCAGTTTCTTTCAGAAGTTGTCACCTAAGCCATATAAAAATCTTGGTTTCTGAAGCAGGAGAGCTTAAATTAATAGTAGTTTTGTTTGTTCAACCAGTCAATGAACATCTTTATAATCTCAGTGAAATATATCATCAGCCCCTCTTTCCTTAAGAGAACAAACCTGTTAGTAAAATACATTTGTAAAGGCATTATTTGTAGCATTACATCTTAATCTGACCCAAGGGTTAT
The DNA here is from genome assembly GCF_000001405.40 of Homo sapiens. Classification (NCBI taxonomy): domain Eukaryota; kingdom Metazoa; phylum Chordata; class Mammalia; order Primates; family Hominidae; genus Homo; species Homo sapiens. The sequence continues at coordinate 120,052,200 of NC_000005.10, forward strand.
GTTAACAGCCTATTACATGTCATTTCCGTTCTTCATCTTTGCCAGTTCATTCTTACTAAATAATTTCTTTAAGTGGAAACTTCCTATGAAAGATTGTCATTTTGAGGTTATGGGAATTTGGAAATTCTCTATAACTGAACATCAAGTAGTCAGTTTGTCAAAACTTCCTATCTCTTATCTATCAATCATATGCTTTTGAATCAGTTTGAGATAAAGCTTTTTCTGGCTGTGATGACTTTCTGATTTATTAGAATCTGCATTGTATATCTTTTGTTAGTAACCATGTGACTTGATACGGGAACAGACTCGTTTTCAAAAACGTTGAAAAGATCTATTCTGGAGAATTGCATCTTATTTTTCACAGTGACAACCCTGAGATTGTGGGATTTGCCTTTGGTATACAAATAAAAATTTAACTTTAGGCACCCAATCCAACATGGCAGAAATACAAACATCTTCAGGGCTATGCTGACTGCTGCTACTCATCTTAAACTCATAGAATGAATTGAAGCCAACCATTATGTGAATGGCACTCAAGAGCTGTGGGGACTTGTGATAGAGCCCAGGTGATATTTTTTGTCTCTCTACGTAAAAATTAATAGAAATATTCCACTTATGATTCCTTTAATCAACAATGAATATTCTTTCCCCCTGTGCTATAAGAAAATGATTAAAATTTGAGGGAGCATGCCATTTAGAATCCTTTGTAGGGCAGAAATGAGACTCTCTTTCTTGGCACCATGAGATTACCTAAGCATCCCATACCCTCTTTAGAAATGACAAGGAAAAGAAAAGACAGTTTAAACCATTGGGGCTTTACATAAAAGAGTCTGGAAGAAACAGTTTTAACTGGAGAGGACTGCAAAATCTTGTTAAGCAAACTTCAATTCCATCCACCCATCCCGGGGGAAGAAGATTAGGTCAGTTACAAAAAATAAAGAGGCTACATTATTCCATCTTTCCTTCACATTTTCATAAATACATGTTCTTTTATCCTGTTAACACATTACAGAACATACAAACCCTTTCATTAGAGATATAGTTAGTTACCCACCAGGTGCAGGAAAACATTTTTGGGGGTTTTCTGCCAATGTCTATGAAGTGTTGGACACAAACAGTGTCCTGATCTCCAAAGTCTTGGAGTACATGGTGTACTTCAAACTGTAGGGTGCTGAATGTTCCGCTGCACATGTCTTTGTCCAAGATTTTATTTGCCATGTTCCTGGAACTTTCACATTTCTGTCAGACACTAGTTATTCATTTGTTTACTTTTTTGGCTGTCTTGAGAAACTAAATTATATTTATATTGACTATCTTCTTTACTTTTTTCTCCCTCCCTTCCTCCATGTCTCTCCCTTCCTTCTTTTTTTTCAACTTAAGTGTTGTCACTGTTTCTATCTTTCCACTGAAGAGAGCTATAAATATGCCTGGCTTTTTCAAAGAGCAAAATGCAGACTTACGTCTTCAGTGTAGTACAAACTTACCAGAGCAAATTTTAATCTAGATAGGGGTGTAAAGACATGAGAATGTTCAATTCTGTAAGAACGTTCAATGTTAGTAAAACAGTAGGTTCCCTAAAATACTTGAGATTTTTCAGATACAAGATGTTTGGCAAAATTTATAAAAGCTGATATTTCAAATTCTACAGAACTGAATTTCATCGTTATTTATTTGAAAGCAATATTATTCAAATTAAGACTATTATACATTTCCTATTCTATTTTATTTATAGATTTCAATCAGTAGGTCTTCGTACTGCCAAAATTAATCTCAGAGTAATATGAGAAAAATGAACATGTTCTTAGTCCAAGAATAATAAGGGTATTTTAAGCAACCGGAAGGCCATTTGGGACAAATGAAATATGAGCTTCTGTTCCTGGGTATTTTGTCAAAGGAATTAGGCTGAATACGGCAATAACCAGTTTCTCTTATCTTTGCTTAAAATCAGTACAAAATAACCTTCTGGTGAAGGATAACAACAAAGCAAGTTTTAGTTTTCCAAAACTTCCTTTATCTGCTTAGAACAAATTCTGTCATAATTTTAGCTTAAGTTCATATGGGCAACTAAACGTGTTAAAAAAATAACATTAAAATATTTATAAAATTTATCCACAGATTGTTAGTAATTAAATATTATAAGTATTAAAATACATTTGCAAGGGTGTTATTAGTTTTATGTATAATTTAGTATATTCCAGAAATACGTGTGACTGTTGAGCATTTGTTAATTTCAGAGACATCTATACGGTGCTAGTAGTTCTAGTTCTAGCAGTTCAGCCATTAGCTGATGTACAGTAGTGTCACTTATTATTTTATTCATCGTAGGACTAAAAGCAAATTTCCTAGCCATAGTTAGACAGATGAGGTTTTAAAATATCCTGATTCGTCTGGGCACAGTGACACATGCCTGTAATCCCAGCACTTTGGGAGGCCGAGGCGGGTGGATCATGTGAGGTCAGGAGAGTGAGACCAGCTTGGCCAACATGGTGAAACCCTGTCTCTACTAAAAATACAAAAATTAGCCAGGTGTCGTGGTGCACAACTGTAATTCCAGCTACTCGGGAGACTAAGGCAGGAGAATCATTTGAACCCGGGAGCAAAGGTTGCAGTGAGCGAAGATCGCACTACGGCACCCTAGCCGGGTGATAGAGTGCGACTTCCGTCTCAAAAAACAAACAAACAAACAAAAAATAGTAATAAAATAAAAGTAAAATAAAATATTCTGATTCCCAGGCTGCGTTCCAGACCAAAGAGATCAAACTGCTGAGTAGTACCCACCAGTAGGATAATGCCGTTTTATCAACTTAATCTAACTTTCAGAATTGTTGATTTGAATCTTCAGTTATAAATAGAACATTCTGATTAATACATAGAATTCCTTAATCACATAGAAATTTCTCATCACTTCTTCCTCTATAACCCACAAAATTAGTAAAATATACCTTATTGCCATTACTGGAAACTGTAAAATTATGTGTAAATTATTTAAAAACTGTATAGAACTGTGTAAGAACTGTGTAGAGAGTGTTAAAGGTTATGTCTTAGGCATAGTTCATTTTCATAAGCTTTCAATGCTGTGATACTACTTTTGGCATTTAGTAATTTCCAAAGATTATGAGAAATATCTGAGCCCAATGTTTGTGATCAAGATAATTTTCTTTAATAAACCAAGAAGTTTGAACCAAGAAAATTCTGTTAGTTTTAATGACTAAGACATTTAATTTTCTCAGACCTCTGTAAAATTTATCACATATAGTAAAAGAAGACTAATATCATCCAATACAATTACATGCATATCCACTATGGTATACTGGAAAATCAAACTGCCTGAAATTGGATAATAATCTGTTAGCAGATTAATACGTTATTTTTTGGTACAGAAAAATTGATAGCATTGATAGAAGAGAGGAGAGTATTTTCATTTTTCATGGTTCTTCAGGGACAACTGGTAACGGCTTAGTAGTTTCTTCAGCCATATTAGCTCAAACAGATAGTAACCACTAAAAGCCTCAGAATTTATATCAGCGTTATTTTTATAAAAACACAAATGTATATATACCCAGATATTTGCATTGTGTCCAGGCCTGGCTACATAATTTATGGGACCAGTACAAAATAAAAATGTGCATTACTTAGTTCAAATATTACTAAGCATTTCTTGATGGCAGAGTCAGAGCTTTAAACTAAGCATAAGGCCCATCTGCGCAGGTTCTTGTGAGACTGTACTGGTTACAAGCCCATGACGTGAACTGAGATCTTGGTTGTACCTTCTACTGTGCAAAGATCTGAGATGGCAAAATAAAAAGTAGAAGGATATGGGCTTCAAGTGCTTGCACATTAGTAAAGCTACCATGGCATCACTAGGGAGCAGTGTGCAGTCATATATACCTCTGAGATAAGCTCTACAGTACTATCTAAAATGACAGTAGAAATTTGGAGTTTGGAGAAATGAGTATGAGAAGTCACACACATCCTGAGAAATGACATTGGTTCTTTGCAAGAGGGTGAACTGTGGGGTCTTGTGCAAGTAACTTATCATGGACTATCCTTATTTATAAATCTTTGTAATTATTTTTGAGGCTGCTTAGGGCCTGCTGGCCATTAATTATATTCTCCAATACTGAGAAGTGAAAGTTCTGCCATGAAGCTCTGTATGATAGATATATACATTCAATTATAGTTGATATATTTATATTTCTGCATATTCTCATCAAATAGTATGGTTTGAATTATATAATATTTTGGTTTTAGGCTAAATTACAATAATACAGTAATATAAGAAACAGAAAATATTTTATCCTGTTAGTGGAGGTGATGGAAAAGTCTTATATCATATTTGAAAATTATACTGTGTTCCAAATTTCTGAATCAAATCCAGGGTATTTTTGAGCTGGCAATGTCAGTTAAATGGCTTGTTGAAAAATGATGACAGCTTAAGGTGTAGTTTGAGTTCTTTGTTGGCACCAGATACAGAAATTGCAGTTACTTTTTTGACAATTGTTAGTGCCACTTATTCTATTATTCTGTGTCCTGGTACCGTTGGTAGAAGGGAATGAAAACAATAAACAATTACCTTTAGAAACTGTGTGCACTGATTTTGCAGGGGTAGAGAATGTAGTTGTCGTATTTTCTGGAGGACAAAATCTCAAGGGCCTCTTCTGATGTTTTCCACAATTTTATAGGATAGTTTTAGTACTTTGCAGTCACTATCACAGTTTCATACTTAACTAGGAGGAAAAAAAATCTGCCATTAAGTAGTCTTGGATACAGAAATGATTTTCCAAATGTTGAATTTCTCTGGATGTAAGTGTCCAAAAACATTCTTCATAACAGAGTAAGAAGTAGTTCGGTGAAATTCTAATTTCCTTTATTTTTTAAAAAAGAGTTTTAAATAGAAAAATTAACATCTGCTTATCATTAAAGAATTAAGCAGAATAAAAGTGTTTATGATTAAATATAAGTATCATTCACCCCACTCTCCACTCCCCAAAGCATTTTATTTTCTATACACATATGCATGCATGGGCACACATACACACATTTTGATGTTGAATTGTTTTTCCTACGTTTTTTGAATTTTTAATAAAGATTTTAAACTGAAAATGAAGTATTTAGCTTCTAAAGACATATGCCACAATATTATCTCTGCTGGTTTATGAAAATTAGCACAACTAGTCCATCAAATATCAAACGCAGACTCTTACCTTCAGGGTATGTAAGAGGAGACTTGACTTTGACAGATGATGGGAGATAGTCTATATGATACAGAGTAGAGAGATTTAGGCCTAGTAAAGAATGATGCATCTTTTCTTTGTCCTCCTCCTGTGAGGAGGGAAAAAGCCTCTCTACCCAAGCCTACTCGTGTTATTTTGAGAAGACCTCTCACACTTACTGGGGGGAGTCTGCAAGAAGGGGAGATCAGTATCTCACTCCCCTGCTGGATGTTTCCTAGATAGGACCTGGTTCTGCCATGGGACCAGGCTTAAGTTTGATAAGAAAGTTTATATGGCAAATCACCATTTATCCCCTGAAGACAGGAAGGACACACACACGGACCCAAAAGCTTGATTCCTGCCTGGAGCATCCCAAAGGCAGATTAAGGAGAGAGAGAAGCTGTAAAACAAGGCCACACTACTGCCACTTGGTGTGGGAAGATATGTGACACTACAGGGGACCCTATAGAAGGTAACTTGGCTTGAAGTGTATCAGTGAACTTTTCCCCCAAAATCAGCTGGGCATGGTGATAAGAGGATTCTAGTAATGGGATGTTTGGGGACACATCAGTGGGGCAGCAAGTGAGAGTGTTTCACAAGAGGCAACTGGAGGAAGCAAGGCTCACGTCAGGGGTGATGTAATGGGAAGGTTTACTTAGAAGAACCGCAATTCATCCCAGTTTACTTCTAGCACTTGGCTACCTGCTATACTGACAGTTGGTATGGATAGATTGCATCAACTACATGAGATTTTAGCCTCTTTTCTTCCAATCCCACCTCTGACAGTGGAGGAGACCCTAAAGCAGCAGGGTGAGAGTGGAAGAGGAGGAGATCTGATAGAGCAAAGTAGAAGCAGAAAAGAGACTTACTCTTCTAAGCCCCATTGTATGTCTCTAAGCCATCACCCACACCTGGGGTGGGGGATGGGGAAATGTTGCAGTAGATGTGATTTGGAGGAGTTAGAATGGGATTGATTTTTTTTTAGTATCTGAAAATGAAAAGAGACTCACCCTTCCATCACCATTGCATGTCTCCCAAGCCATCACCCACGCCTGGGCTGGGGGATGGGGAAATGTTGCCGTAGACATAACTTGGAGGATTTAGAATGGGATTGATTTTTTTTAGTATCTGAAAATGAATCATAATTATTAAAAGAAAAGACTGTTCTCATGAGTTGAAAGTGACCCAAAAGCCATGGGCTCGTTCCTGTGATGGGAAAGTGCAGTGTAAAGTCAGGAACATAGAGCCAAAGCCAATTTTATCCAATGTTAAACTCTCAATAAGTAATTTATACGTAAGAAAATTGTGTATACTTTGTGAGCAAATGTGAACAAACTACTTGTGATGCTCTATAATTTTACCCCTTAATATATGGAATATATTGAATATAATTGGATATATAATATATATCATATATATAATTCCATATATATTGAATATATGGAATATAATATATGGAAGGAATGTGTTGGATATTCCTTAAAGGAGTATACTATATTAGTTAGGGTAATGCTAGCTGCTGCAACAGATAAACCTCAAAATCACAGGGGCTTAGCTGATTAAACGCTTATTCTTTGCTCATATGATCAGCAGCAGGCTTTTCTGCAAGTGGATATTCAAGGCTCTGGGCCTGGGCTTTTTCTTTTAGAAGCTTTACATCTTGAACATAACAGCATCCAAGCTAGCTATGTTTCTTTTCATTAAACAGGGGGAAAGAACACAGAAGTGGAATTTGAGAAGTTTTTGTGGGGTAGGCTCAGATGGCCACACACTATTTCTGTCCACATTCCACTGGCCTCTATACATCACCATACCTGCCTGCCAGGGCAACTTGGAAAATAGTCTACTTCTGTCACTACTATGAAAAATACAGTGCTTTTTTTTAACTACCTAAAACCTAATAAGCTAGTATATCTACATTGATCTTCATAATAGCTACAGAATATTCTCTTTTATGGCTACTCCATAATTTATGTGAGCTGATCTCTATTGATAGGCATATACATGTTTCTAGCATTTGTTTCTGACTTCAAACAATGATGCCAATAAAATCCTAATTTGGGCACATATATGTCATTCTTATGTAAGATTCATTCTTAGAAGTGAAATTGCTAGTTAAAAGGTTTATTAGTTCATTTTTACACTGCTGATAAAGACATTCCCAAGACTGGGCAGTTTACAAAAGAAAGAGGTTTATTGGACTTGTAGTTCCAGTGGCTGGGGAGGCCTCACAATATGGTAGAAGGCAAGGAGAGGAACAAGTCACATCTTTCATGGATGGCGACAGGCAAAGAGAGCTTGTGAAGGGAAACTCTCATTTTTAACACCATTAGATCTTGTGAGACTCATTCACTATCATGAGAACAGTGCAGGAAAGACCCGCCCCCATAATTCAATCACCCTCAACTGGTTTTCTCCCACAACACATGGGAATTGTGGGAGCTACAATTCAAGATGAGATTTGGGTAGGGATGCAGCCAAACCATATCAAAAGGATATAAGCAATTTTAATTATTTTTTAATAAATAAATTATTAATTTTTTTGCCTTCCAAAAAGATATCAGACATCTAACAATAATAGCTAATGTTGTTGTTTGCTTCCCCTACAACCTTGCCAACACTGTATGCATATTATTGATGATACTTGTCAGCCTTATTGAGGAACTAGTGTTTCACTAGTGATTTGCATTTCTTCCTTTTAATAAATGAATCTTTTATTTATTTGTTTTTGTTAGTTGCAATTATCTGTCAATGTATCCATTATGGCTAATTTTCTCATATTAAAGCAGTGGGTAGCAGATTCATAATCTGCCACTTAAGCATAATCTGCCATTCTGTGGCTTTGGATGAGTTGTAACTTGACATTACTTATCCAAAGTGCTTACATTTCTCATTTCGAAAGTTAGAATGCTAGATTTGTTTTTTAAAATAAGGATCTCTACAATATCTACAAAAAAAGTTTCATAAGCAGTGAGGCTTTATGACAGGAACATGCCACTTGCAACGGATGTCTTAATGAAGTGAAAGACATACCACTGGAGGCATTCAATGCATTTAAGAGTTGAAATGTTTCCCAGAACATTGGTGTAACACTGTATGGTGTGATACCTAGTAATCCAACCAAATCCAATGATTCTATAATGTTATACAGTGAAAATTTTTAAATTACAAAAAAAGAAAAAAGTAATTGAAGTTTCCAGTTTGTTATTATCTTCTTTTATATGCTTTATATTCTTTTATGTTCTTATAGATCTTTCTATTGGACAAAAACATTGAAAAGTAAAATATTTAAACAAATTTTTGACAAAAATAAGCAAGTATAAAACCTAAAATAATTTGTATTGATGTTCATTTCTGAAGATGTTTATTGCTTAATTTGCTTAAACTAAAATTTAATTTGCATATTTCTATAGCCAGGTTCTTAGGACTCAATTTGCATATATAGGCTTAATTTACATGTACACACATATATGTATATTGTGTTTGTGTATATCTATTGCTTTGGATACATGAGAAATAATTTGGGTTGTTACCAAAACTCCTTGGTATCAGTTCAACGTAGAGCTTGGTTTGTTAGAAGGCAAGTATGATCCAATGGTCAAACTTGAAGATCAGTGGTTAAGGTTGAGTATCCCAGTAAGAGAACTTCTAAGCCAGTGACTCCAGAGTGTGTGTGTGTGTGTGTGTGTGTGTTTGTGTTTGTGTGTGTATGAGAGAGAGTGAGAGAGAATGAGAACTAGGGGTGAGAGGATCCTCTGTCTTAGAGGCTCCTGCTTCTGAAGTCCACTGGGAGCCAAGATTCACCTCACAGGTGAGGAAGGAGAATCCAGACAGGAGTCTGATCAATCAAGACAATGAAGGTTTCAGGCAAGTTTCCAAGGGAAAATGTAACCATCTTTGCTTTATGTGGTCTCTACTGGGTTCAGAGGTAAAGCTGTGAGGCACACAGGGTTCATGTTTGTGATTTCTGTTCCCTAACTCTTACTTCACTTCCACCTCTTCATCCACTTATGAGGCTAAGAAAGCTGAAGTAACTTCAGGGCTTAAATTGGAGAGCAGTGTTGGTAACATAAGGGAGATCTGATTTCAGTGTTCTTTTGTAACGTTTTTGAATTAAATTATTGTCTTTATATTCACCTCTCATTTCCCTGACTTAATTCTGTGCAGATGGTGGGTATTTAGCACTTAAAAAAAATGAGCCAAGTGCAGTGGCTCATGCCTGTGATCCTAGCACTTTGGGAAGCCAAGACAGGAGGATCACCTGAAGCTAGGAGTTCGAGACCAGCCCGGGCAACAAAGTGAGACCGCCCTGTCTCTACAAAAAATAAAAAAAATTTTAGCTGGGTGCTGTGGAATATACCTGTAGTACCAAATACTAGGGAGGCTGAAGTGGAGGATCATTTGAGCCAAGGAGTTCGAAGTTGCAATGAGCTATGGTCACACCACTGTACTCCAGGCCAGGTGACTGAGCAAGACTCTTGTCTCTTAAAAACAATATGAATAAACAAATAACTGAGGCCAGGCACAGTGGCTCACACTTGTAATCCCAGCACTTAGGGAGGCTGAGGCAGGTGAATCACCTGCGGTCAGGAGCTACCAAAATTGCCAACATGGCAAAACCCCATCTCTACTAAAAATACAAAAAAAAAAAAAAATTAGCCAGGTGTGGTGTTGGGAGCCTGTAATCCCAGCTACTCAGGAGGCTGAGGCAGGAGAATCGCTTGAACCTGGGAGGCAGTTGTTGCAGTGAGCTGAGATCGCACCAGAGCACTCTAGCCTGGGCAACAGAGCAAGACTGTCTCAAAAAAACAAGATAAAACTGGATCAAGAAAGTATAAACCTCACTCTTTAACCAGTAGGCATGAATTGGTATCAATCTCTTTAATACATTATAAAATGCATTAATGCATTATGTAACATTTTTATGTGAAACTGAAATGCAAATATTGAGCCTAAAATAGTCCTGAAATTATGTTCAATAAGCAACATATCTAAACAAAACCAACATATAGAATAGTACTTCATGTCTTAGAGGTTTTAATAATCAAATCTGTATTTTGCATAGTGGCTTTTATACATGTTTAAGTGTTTCCCTGTGGATTGTCTTAAAAGCTAATGAATTCAGGGGCCATTGGGAATGCCAGACAGTAGCTTTTCATTAGATTGCACTAATGCCACAGGCATTTAAAGTGAGCATCACCGACGTCAACATTCAGAATTCCTCTTGCCACAAAACAGTCGTAAGCATTGTGTAGAAAGAAGAAACACAGTTTCTATAAAAGAGACCAGTTAGAAAACAACATTCTTATCTCAAGAGAACAACATTCCCAGATGGTTTCTCAATGGTTAGAAATTGGTTGTTCGTTAAATGAACCAAAACTGTCACCTTGTCACTGAAAAATTGCCAATGAGGTGTACAGGCAAGTCTTCATTAAGTGACTCACAGAAGGGAGGGAGGTGACACTGCATGATAGCTATTTACTTAGTAAAGGTGAAGAAAAATTCAGGAAGGTTTAGAAAGAGGGAGATTAAATCTCACATTATTTCTTGTACAGAAAACAGCAATGACTCCTGAGGCTGGTGTCATCTCCGAGTCTATCTTCCTTGCAATATACTCTCCATGGCTGGTGAGGAAAGAATGGCGAAGCTAATCATGAGCATATACTCCTAGCTCTAAACACAATATATATCTTGAGTGTAACCACTTATGACCACTGCAAACACCCTAAGCTAAGTCAATATTATCCCTCCTCTGGATCACTGTGATTGGCTTCCTATTTATCTTGTATCTATTTTTGTCCCTTTGCAATCTTTTTGCCCTACTGCAGACAGAATGGTCCATTTAAACAAAATCAGGTGCTGCTAGTCCCCTTTCTTTTCAGGCCTTATATGATCTGACCTTGTTTCTTAACCTCTTACCAAACTTCAATTCCAATTTCTCACAATTTCAGAAAAAGTGTTCTCATTTGGTCATCTCTGTGCTTTGCTTATTTTCTTTTTTTTAACCTCAAATCCTCTTTCTTGTTTTTGGCTTCCTTCAAAAGATGAATCTGAGCACAGCTTATTCCTATATTGAAACTGGTGACTCTGCATGCCAAGCTATTGTAACTTCATGATTTCTAATGCAAAACAAAATTCAGCCACAAACACTACTACTGCTGCTGCTGCTGCTAGTCTCTACCTACTTTAACCTTCTATTTTCCATACAGCAAATAGAGAAAAGTGGTCAATTTTAGACGAGAGTCTTGGGCTCCCAAACTCTAAATCACATGTATTTGGCTTAAAAAAGGAAAGGCCCTATTGGCTGAATTTCAGAGACTGAGAACTAAAATTAAACGGTATATGAAAAACTTTGCCCTATTTTACTGAGGTTAAAACAACTACTTTCATGGGGATAACACCTTTACTGATTATCACTAAGGGACAGAGTATGCACCCTTGCCACCTCACCCTCCCAATATAGGAGGGACCCATTACTTTTACTTATTCAAATACTCACATAACCATTCCAAATACTGAAAGTATATTAAATTAATTGTGTTTAATCCTTACTTTTCATAGGCTTTTAAAGATGCTATGTTTATTAGTTTTCTATTGCTGCATTAAAAATTACCACAAATTTGGTGACTTAAAACAACAGTTGTTATTATCTCCATTTCGGTAGGTGGGAAGCCTGGGCGGGGTTGATTAGGTTCTCTGCTCAGAGTCTCAAGGCCAAAATCGAGATGTTGGGCTGGCTGTGCTTCCATCTGCAGGCTTGGGGAAGAGTGTTCCTCCAAGCTCATTCAGTTTGTCGGCAGAGCCTAGTTCCGTGTGGCGGCAGGTCTCAGGTTCCTGTTTCCTTGCCGGCTGTTGTCTGGTAGCTTCTCTTTGTTCTTAAAGGCTACCCACTTTCCTCTTCATCTGGCATTGAATCTATCTCATGTTTCAGATCTCTTAGGCTTTCTCTTCCATCACCAGCTGAAGAAAGTTTTCTGCTTCTAAGGCTAATGTGATTACATTGAATCCACTCAGAAACTCTATCCTAAAGCAAACTTGTGCCCAGTTTCCAGGGATTAGAGTGGGACACTTCTGAGGGATTATTTCAGAAATTCTGCCTTCACCACTAATCTAACACAGGCATTCATTACCATAATTCAAGAGATAATTCAAGAGATATTCTCTCATTATCACTTAGGGTTTTTTTTTTTTTTTTTGAGACAGAGTCTTAGTGGCACGATCTCAGCTCACTGCAACCTCTGCCTCCTGGGTTCAAGTGATTCTCCTGGCTCAGAGCCTCCCAAGTAGCTGGGACTACAGGCGTGTGCCACTACACCCAGCTAATTTTTAGTAGAGACGGAGTTTCACCTTGTTGGCCAGGATGGTCTCGATCTCTTGACCTTGTGATCTGCCCGCATCGGCCTCCCAAAGTGCTGGGATTACAGGCACCACTGTGCCCGGCCTCATTATCACTTCTTATACTAAATTTCTGTCAATACACAAAATACATGGATTCCAGTTTTCAGACCTTTCCAAAAATAATTGCCTTTCTTAACTAATCACCAGGGAAAGTATCACTGAGTTCCTTGTCAGAGTTAAAATGGCACTTTAAAAGGGATTTCCCAGTTTTAACTGAGAAATGTCCTTTTCTTATTTATGTGGCAAATAATCTTTCAATGATGGTACACATGTGGGAGATTTCTGCATTTTCTTTAGGCAAAGATAAAACCTTTGCTGTGTTCCCACAAAGCCTACCTCATGTCTCTTAACATTTTGGGCTGTAATTTATAATTCTATTTTTGCTTCTATTAGTGGGTTTGAATTCTCCGAAGGTAGGCCTATAGCACTGAGGCAATTCCTTAGAATATAGTAGGTGGTTAAAATCTTTGCTGAATGAACAAGCTGAGATGGAATGGTATACAAGGGATGGTGTCACAGTATAAAACAGAAGATCAGGGGACTTTATGGGGTTTGAGAAATTGGCAACTTTATTTTTATGGTAATGATATTAAGTTAATATCATTATTCTACAGGCCTAACTTGTTCTTTCAGGTACTATACTTCATTTTATTCTTATATCACCTCACTGGAGTAAGCAAGTATTATAGACCTTTTAAAGTTAAGAAAAACTCATCATAAATAAGTTCAAGTTCAAGCACAGCCAGTACTTGATCTCCAGCTGGGAGGTAACATGACAGAGCAGAAAAAAAAAATGAGTTTTACAATCAGACAGGCATGGACTTTTAGCAGCTGTTTGAACAGAAAATTACATTTTCTGAGATTTAAATTTTTCTTTTAAATCTCTAAGATGCAGATATTTTGTACCTTAGATGATTATGAAAAAATTCATTTATATATTTTAATATGAAAATTCCCTAGAAACATACCTGTCTTATATTAGAAACTTACTAAATGTTTTATTTCTACTTTTGATTTTAAGACCATTGTAGCAGACTTTGTAGTCTTTGGCACATCTCTATGTATACTTTTTCTCCCACTTTCTTCATTTTCATCTTTCATTTTGTTCCCACCACTGTATGCCAAGAGATCTCATGTTGCCCTAAATTCATCCAGGAAGCAAGAATAGAAAACTAATTCTCACTAAGGTGTTAGAATGCAATAACAGTAATAATAATAGCTTCAATTGACTGAGTAGTGTATATTCGCTACAGTTTATATACATTGCCTATCTTTACACCACATTTACAAATTAGAGATGATAACCTCCAGTTTTTGAAAAAAGAAACTGGTTTAAAAATGTAGTAATTTGTCCAAAGTTACATAGCTAGGAAGAAAAGCAGCTGAAATTCATAGCCAGCCAGAACTGACTTTAGTGTTACACTTTCTTCATTATACAGTTTTCTCTTCCTCTCAAGAAGTATAACTGGTTGGCTGGCCTCTGGGATTGGATGAGAATATTCTTGGCTGAGGAAGTCCTCTAAACCTTTTCAAGTCTATCATTCAGGTAATTCTTGGAGCCCCTGCTCTTCCATGGTCCCTAGACCCTATTATATTAAGATAAGAAACCCATTTTTTCCCAAGCTTTCCCAGAATTGCACAAGAGATTTTTAGCTGCTATGAAAATTTGTCAGGTAGCACTGAGGAGGATTAGTTGGGGTTTTCCTGGAATTGGTAGGGGTAATCTTGGGCTTGGACAGGAGGAGAAAAAAGAAGATCCTAGAAAAGAAACTGAACTCTGGACACAGGGAAGATAGAACAAATTCAAGTCAAGTACACAAATATCGTGATGTTTCATTTGAGATGTTATATAGTGAGGACTCTGGACTCTGGAGAGGGAGTGTTGGTTTGGGAGTAGATGCTCCTGAGGATAGAGTGGTGAATTAGAAGAGTGGAGACTATTTCAGTATAAATGTCTGTGTGCATCTGTGTTCTGGGCTTTGCTAGTAGGGACATAATGAATATGGGACAAGACAATAATAAATATAAAAATTGTAATGAACTTTCTTAATGAGTAAGATGCAAGCCAATATTGAAAATAAAAATTCTGAGTCGGGTGCAGTGGCTCACACCTGTAATCCCAGCACTTTGGGAAGTTGAGGTGGGAGGATTGCTTGAGGCTAGCTTGGCCAACATGGTGAAACCCCATCTCTACTTAAAAAAAAAAAAATTCTGAGTAGCTTGGTTCTAGACATGTTACATGTTTCAGTAGTTCTGATTCAGGGGCTTATAAGAGGGCCTTATGAATGGAGAGGGGCCACCAGAGGAAATCTGATAGCAAGGAAATTTCCTGTTTGAAAAAGTAGTTCTATATCCAGCATTTTCCTTCTAGCTGAGTCAGGCAAACTCCTACACATTTAGAAAATATATGTTTGCTAAAAAAATATATACTTTGTATTTATAGAACTGTGCAGAATGTAGCAAGAGTGAACAACTGAATACAATCAGTCATAACATATTTTTCCCACGATGAATAAAAATGCTACCCATAAGGACTATTACGAAGGGGTGTGTGTGTGTGTGTGTGTGTGTGTGTGTGTGTGTTTGTGTGTGTGTTTCATTTAAGGCAGTTCTATTAGGATAAATAAGATGTCATTTATTGTTAAATAAACTTTATTTCTTTTTTCTTTTTTAAGTGACGTAATCTCACTATGTTGCCCAGGCTGGCCTCAAACTCCTGGGCTCAAGTGATCCTCCCACCTCAGCCTCCTGAGTAGCTGGGATTAGAGGTGCACTGTTTTTTTAACTAAAGAATGTCTAGAATACCCACCCAGTAGCCTCATTTTAGTAAATATGTCTTTGCTGTATTATGCCAATTATGTTTCTGGCTTATTCGTGATCTTTTTTTCTTATAGGAAAGAGGACATTTTATTCCTTTTCATTTCAACATTATGTGATGCCATTCCTTAGGTTGCAGTTACCCCTTTCTCTTAGATCTTTGATCAAATTAAGCCAAAAATAAGTAGGAGACAAAATGATAGGACCATTTTTCTAGGGAAAAAGACTTTTTGAGTTTAGTCTCTTTAGAGCACATGTATGCTTCAATCAACTTTATGCTTGTCTTTTCAATTTCCATACCCTACTGGGCATCCATTGAAGGCCCTTGGCAGGACAGAATGGGGTCAGAGAAACATATGCTGGAAGGATGCACGATAGTGTTCAGGTCCAGCAAATGTTGCTGTACTTTCTATAGAAAAAGGGAGCTGACAAATGGTTATTGAAATAATTGCCTTAAATTCAGGAGATAGTGCTTTCAGAAATTGATAAAAACAAGTTTGAAATATGTGTTTTGACAATTATTCTGTTTTCTTTTGGAAGTGCGACACATGTCAGGAGAATTGATAACTTAACTTGCTTTTATATTAATTTTCTACCCTGCAGTCAAAATAAAGCCAACATCTATTTTGTGCTAGATAATAGGGAATGATTTAATATTTGAACAAAGAAATGCAAGTCAAATAATGTATGATGACCCTAAATGTGTCACTTGCTGTAGGTTGATGAAAGAACTTGGTTCTGTTTGCTCATTGAGAAAATGAACTGGAATTATCTGCTATAAGAAATATTTTAGGTCCTACTTAAATCATACTAATGCAATGAGAAAAAATATCATTAATTTAATTTATGTTCTAGTTTGAGGCCTAGATTGGATATTGAACTTGGATAACGTTTTTAAAGTTCATTGATAGTGATGCAATTGAACTCAATTGCTATTGGAAATTGTATTCAGTAAATTAAATTGAAATGACTAAATTTAGACAATTTTCTTGCCCCAGTTTTATTTCTTTAAGTTATTGATCAACTCAGACGAACTGTAAATTGGACTAGAAGATACAAAGTAATAACTTAGAAATTCAGCTATAAAATAAAAAAGAATCTACCTTTTGTGTTATGGAGAAATTTCATTGGGTTAAAAATATGTTTAGTCTCATGCAGAAAACTCTATCTTCCCCTTGTGCTAGTGCCTATGCACATAATCTGTTTTGATTGATTGCTGACCCTGCAACACTACCAGGAGTACTCCTTAGCCATTTTAGAGAATAATTTAAACCTTCAATAAGGCAAAATACTTCGAAACGAGAGAAGCAATTAACATCCAATATCCAGAAATGAATTTGTGAATTCAGAAATATGAAATTTGTTTTTGTTGTGAGAGACTTTCAATTTCAAAATTTCACTTGTATATTTTGGTCTAGAACTTAACTTCCATTCCTCAAAGAAAATTGTCAGTATATCCAAATAAAACATATACTTGGAAACCCTGAAATGTTTTATCTCCTGGTTTCTTAACTTGGATCCTGGTTATTTTCCAACCAGTAACTTGTTTCCTGATAATTCATATGATGTAAATATAAAGTACTTAATTCTCTTGTATTTTTAGCTAGGTAACATTAGCTTGAAATTTTATGTCTGATTTTGGGTGAAAGAACCACTTAGAAAAAGAAAGACATGCATGTGAAAGCCAGCATCTAAAAATAGTTTCTAAATATGAAGCAAAGAAGGTACTGTAGTCTTCCTTATAATTAGACATGTGCCAGAATGTTGATGTGGAGGCATGAAACTCAGTTATGAAAAGAGGAGGAAAATATGGACAAAAAATACTGAGAAAAAAGGGTTTTATAATTTAATTTTGAGGATTTTAAGACAATTAAATACTCCTAAGTAGTCTTTATTTCTACTTTATTTAAAAGATTCCAATTTGAACACACACACCCTGAGAAATTAAAACAGTATGATATTTCTAAATGTCAAATGTATGTTTCCCAACAGAAAAATTAAACATGCAGTTGGTTTGATATAAAATAAGAATCATCATGAAATTATGTGACTGATATTTGCAATTTTATTCAGTAAAACATGTCTGTGTTTCAGATATAGTGTATACAATTAACACAGTAATTCTCATATGGTATAGAATGAGTAGTTGTATATTTATATACTTGTTCTCCTTCTGTGAGTGTTGTAAAGATTATTAGTTCTTGACTTTCAGCATTCTGAGAAATGCATGTTTTACAAAATGTAAAAATTCACTACAAAATCCATAAAATCTACTCATTTAAAAATGTATTTAAGTCCTTTAAAGTTAAAAAAACAAAACCAAACCTTTTTACTGGCAAAGTTTTTCAACTGAGGGGCATAAAAATGTAGGAGCTATACTAAGACTTGTTTTTATTTTTTAATGCAAATGAAATTAATAAATTTAGTATTAAAATATATTTTGTATTTCTGTGAAAATATAAACAATTATGAACAGTTATGTCTGTCTATACACGGGTGGTGCTGAATTTAAAATAGGGATAGCAAAATGGTGAATTTGGGGAAGAATCTAGTCAGCATATGTGTTCTCTGAGTAGAAATTTCAAGAAAAATAGCATCAATTTGTACTAGCTGTTTCTTGGAATCTTATTCCTTTAGAAGTTGTCTATTCTCTCCCTCTGTACAACGCTTTCTTTTAAAACACTAAATGCTTTTCTTTCCCATGAAACTCTTAACTTCAGTGATGTTGGCTAATCTTTGGACACTGAAGCCTGTTAGCCTCTTTTAGAAGTTTTCAGGATAATCCAGTGGCAAAGGAGTGTCACTATGAAATGTTGTCAATGGCCTATGAATATAGAATATAGATAATTGGATGCCATCTACATCCAATCGTTTGATTTCCAAATCAAGAATGCATACTGATTCCCCTATACCATTCCTTATTTAAAAAAAAGACTTTCATGGCACTGAAATCTCAAAGAAATTTATTATATTCATATTTGACTAAACTTATGGGTATAGTGTATATTAAAAGGAAGAATGTCTTACAAAAATAAAGTATATTTCACATAGGTACTTATCGTAATTATCTTTGAAAACCAAGAACCTGCCATTAAAGTACATCATAATAAGGGTGACTCCGTCAGAGGATAAAATAAAAGTAGACTTCTAATCATCTAAGTTATTCAATTCAATAGTAGACAGTAGAACAACTACCTAGAGCCAGAACTTATTCTGCATTTGATAAGCATAATCCCTTATCCCTCCATTTCTCTTTGTTTTTGCTGAGAATCATAGAGATAAATATAATTTATTAGATAGATGATTAATAAATGGTTTGGCCCAGGTGATTTAATTGTTCTTTCTGTCCTTGGTCCTTATTTTAAAATTTTACTTTATTAGACTTACTATATCTGTGCTCTTTGTTGTCTATTATCTAAAAGCCAACTTGGAATTAGGCAGGGCATAAATAAATATAATTTGATGATATGGAGTATATTGGAATAAAATGGAAACTTATTCCATTACCTTAAAAATTCAAAAGCTAGGCTGGGCATGGTGGTTCATGCCTGTAATCCCGGGACTTCGGGAGGCTGAGGCCTCAGGCCAATCACCTGAGGTCAGGAGTTTGAGACCAGCCTGGTCCAACACAGTGAAATGCTGTCTCTACTAAAAATACAACTATTAGGCGGGTGTTGTGGTGTGTGCCTGTAATCCCAGCTACTCAAGTCTGAGGCAGGAGAAACACTTGAACCTGAGAGGTGGAGGTTGCAGTGAGCTGAGATCATGCCACTGCACTCCAGCCTGGGTGACACAGTGAGACATCATCTCAAAAAAAAAAAAAAATTCAAAAATTAGTTGTAAAAAGAAAGCCCAAAAAGTGATGTCCAGAGAAAGGAGTTCTCAGGGTTCAAGGAGCTGAAACGTCCATGGGAGAAGAGTAGAAACACTATAGCTCCAGATGCTGGACTTTTTGTTAGTGTAACAGTTGCTGCACATCTGTGATTATTGTAATTTACAGATGTCTGGAGCCAGGGTTATAGAAATTGTTCACACTGTGTATCAAGTCTTTTTGCCTAAATTCATAAAAATGCTGTAAAGGGGAGATCAGGTGAATTTGAAAATAATGGTTTTTTTAAGTAAAAAATTCAGAAAATCTGATAGAAGCTTTATTTACAGCTGCCCTGATTGAGGATTAAACATTGCCTTGCCATATGGGAAACCTCTAATCCAAATCAGGAGTTTGACCTTTGAGCTCCTTGGGCCATAGGAAATTGAGAGACAGGCAAACAGTTATCTCTTGTTTAATAAACCTTGAATATGACTGATTTTTCTTTCCAAAAAGTAAAACTCTATGTTTCATTAAAATATGTCAAATTCCAGGAAGATCTGACTGACATGGGAGTGAGATGGGCATCTATCTGTCTTTAATTTTTCTGAGCTAAAATATTTGACCATAAGCAGTGCCAAAGAGAACATCCTAAATCTTACTTTGTGGAAAACTTGTGTCAATCACTATCACACAGGGCTGCCCAAGATTATGGCAGTTTGGATAAAAACACACTGCTTCTGTCTCTGTTGCTTGTGAATTTCTTGGCCACTCTGTATGTTTTCTTTTTTCCTTTTATTAAATGTTCTCATGAAAAAGGCAGAGATCTGACTATATTTGTAGACTAGTGCAGTCATCCCTCAATTTCCCTGGGGGAGTGTTTCCAGGAACCCCATGAATACCTAAATTTATGAATACTCTCAATCCTTGTTATAAAATGGCATACTATTTGCCAATAATCTTTGCACATCCTCCTGTAAACTTTAAATACTCTCCAGAATACTTATAATACCTAATACAATGTAAATGCTGTATTGTTGAGGGAATAATTCAACAAAAAAGTATGTACATATTCAGTACAGATGCAATTTTTTTCCAAATATTTTCAATCTGTACTTGGTTGAAACTATGAATGTAGAACCCACAGATTCAGACAGCCAACTGCACTCGGTCCATGACACATTATTACAAAATTGCATTTCTGGTGTAATTTTTCTCTTCTCAAAATTTGGCCAGTGAAATTTTATTTCTGAAATTTGGCTTTAGGAAATCCTTTTTACTGTAACACCTAAGTCGCTTTCTCCAACCTGGTCTTTATTAGCAACAATTCTGATATTTTGACATCTTTTGTATGCCTTTTTCTATTGGTTCCGAATTACTTTGAATTGGTTCAATTCTGTAAACACTTATTCCTTAACTTTTCAGAAAGATAAGGCAACTTTTTCTTAATAATTGTTTCAAGAGAAATGTTTCCAACTCGTTAAGAGTCATTGCCACTCCCTAATCTCAAGTACCCAGGGACACAAACACTGTGGAAGGCCGCAGGGTCCTCTGCCTAGGAAAACCAGAGACCTTTGTTCACTTGTTTATCTGCTGACCTTCCCTCCACTATTGTCCTATGACCCTGCCAAATCCCCCTCTGCGAGAAACACCCAAGAATGATCAATAAAAAAAAAAAAAAAAAAAAAAAAAAAATCAAATTAACATTGACATAGTATTTGAAATGGTGCTTATGGGCTTATCGATGCATATTTTTTATTTGTAATCCGATGCTGTCCCAGAATAAGTGTATTGTAATATGAATGTTAAAATTGAACAAGAGAAAGCAGGAAAATAAGTGGTATTTGGGAAATTAAAGGAAAATTGAACCAGAGTCTTTATATTCCTGAATTTAATTGGATTAATGGGAAATTTATCATTGTTCTTTCTATATTGGACTGGTTTTTAAGTGAATCAGCTATTTTATAATTTTATGACAGATCAAAGCTGAGTTCATTTAGCCTGTTGCACTTTATACTTTAAAAATTTACATAAATTTTAAATAACTTGACCAAAAAAGTTATAATTTCATTCAGTTTGGTCAACAAACTCTCCCTTAATTAAATGCAAAATGTGCCGTGTTCAGTTAGTAGAGCAATTAAAAGTGGAAATTCATTTAGAATACTTTGTTTCAAAGGAATATGAGAGAGATAAATTACTTGTGTTGATTAGGGAGATTTGTCACTTAAACCTCTTCAATTATTTCAACCTCTTGTACAGCAATAAATCCATGTAAATTTAGAGCTATAGAATAAAATAACAGATTGCACCTTTGCATTCCTCAAAAGGAAAAAAAAAACAAGTTAAAGGAAGGGTAAAATCTGAGAAAATTATTCAAGTAGAAGGCCCTATCAGTTGATCACAAGCTCTGTTAAATTCACAGCACTTTGCACATGTTCTCACACTGAAGATCTGCCTGATATGTAGCACCAGCTGTGTACACTTTTCTCCTAATTGCTGATTTTATCAGACCTCATTCTCATGTTCTTCACATAGCTGGTCTGTGTTGTGCTGTGTTATGAGCCATGTCAAGTTCCCTTTTGCTACTGATGCCTGTGACAGATGTTATAGGCACTTGGGGACTTTTTATAATCCCTAAAATCATACCTATCCAGGACCCTAGTATTATCAATTCATGAAAAATATCCAGTGTCAGAATTTACATTTCTAATGTATGGCTCTATTTGAAATTTTACTTTGCCATTTTGTAAAGTAGCTGAATACCTTGCGAGAATTAGCTTCCCATTTCATAGCTAGGTGATGCATACCATAGCAACAAGACATGTTTATATGAATGAGTAGTTTATATGAATGAGTAGTTTTTATTCTGTTGCATATCTACAAATCATTAATTAAGTTACCAATAGCTTTACTGGGCTTGTAAAGGTCAATGTGTTATAGTTACCTATTAATATGGTTTGGCTGTGTCCTCACCCAAATCTCACCTTGAATTGTTCCTATAATCCCCACATGTCATGGGAGGGACCTGGTGAGAGGTAATTGATTCACGGGGGCAGTTTCCCCCATACTGTTCTCGTGATAGTAAGTTCTCATGAGATCTGATGGTTTTACAATGGGCTTCCCCATTCCCTTGGCTCTCATTCTTCTCCTTCGTGCTGCTCTGTGAAGAAGGATGTGCTTGCTTCCCCTTCTGCCATGACTGTAAGTTTTCTGAGACCTCCCCAGTCCTGCAGAACTGTGAGTCAATTATACCTCTTTCCTTTGTAAATTACCCAGCCTTGGGTATTTCTTAGAGCAGCGTGAGAATGGACTAATATAACTATGAAAAGAGCTTTTAAAAATCTTATTTATTTATGTGGCTATTTATTTATTTATTCAGTCAAAACTAGTGGTCAGTCTTTTAGTTAACATATGATTAGAGTAGGAGAAAATAGGATTCTGCCGATTGCTGAGTAGAAGTATACTAAAGTTCCAACAAATTAAAAAACATGCTGTATGATTTATAAACCAGAGCTGAGTTGGACTCAAACATCAAAAGTGTTTGAATCTCAACTATTCTTACATTTTATAATCTTGGGAAGGTGATTTAAACCTTCTAAGGCTCACTTATGTATAAAAATAGTAGTAAAAATGTTTTTATTTCTCCATGGTATTTTTACATGGCAACGTGCCATGTAGTTTTGTTATTTTGTGTTTTGATTGAGAAGACCTCTTCCTTCTCCCCTTCCAAAGACAGAGAGTGGGAGTCAAGTAGAAGAGTGTGTGTCAAAGACTTTTAAGAGGTCAAGTGAGGTGAGGACCGAACAGGTCTTATTGGCTTTAGTAGCATGGAAGCCAGTGGTGACCTCAGTAACATGGAGGGCAATGGTAATTTCAGCAGTAGGGCTAAAAGATGGAGTGAATGAGAATTGAGAAATTTGAGACAATTGGTACAGATAACTCTTTTGAGGAGCTGGCAGTGTAGGGAAGGGATAATTAGAAAGGTAAGTGGACAGGAACATAATTCCAAGGTCAGTGGTTTTCATTATTATTGTAATTATTGTAGTGGTGTGGTTTTGTTTAACGACAGAATATTTTTAAATGTCAATAGGAATGACCAACACAGAAAGGATCAGTATGCAGGAGAGACAGGAAATAATCAATAGCATGTGACTTCTGAGAAGGCATACACTGTAATAGAACATTTGTGGAGAAACAGGCCTCTATTCAGAAGGATGGAAGAGAAGTTGAGTGTAGACTCAGGTAGGCTTGTAGATCTGGTAGCCTAACTTTAAAGTAATTTTATAGAATGGCCTATTTTCTTTGTGAAGTAGGAGGCAGGTCATCTGCTAAGAGCCTGATGTCGAGGAAGCAGGAGAGGTGAGGTTGGAGGTCTTAAGGCTGTGGCTATTTGTGATTCAGGAAATTAGAATAATCAGTTTAGTTGATTTTCATGCTAATAACCCCTAATATGTGTAACACCTTATTTTTAAATAAATGTTTTCACATGCATTGTCTAATGTACAAAAAATTACTATTTTCGTCTTTTTAGACATTCAAAATATCTCTAAAATTATCACATGCTACACAAATACGTGACCTATTCTCTTTGCTAGGGGATATGATTTTTGTTTTAAAGTGTTCCTTGTTCATTTATAGTTTAATATTAATGCCAATAAAACTAATATTAAGTTTAATACTTTGACAAAATTCTAAGCCCTTTACATTTATGTTCTCTTTTAATGTTCACATCACCCCAATCAAGTTTAGACAATTATCATATCCTCTTAGCAGATGAGAAACAGAATCAATGAAAGAGGTTACCTTATGTGTGAAGCCCAATAAGCACAGTGAACAAAAGCTATGAATTTCCTGACGTTTTCAATTATTTGAATTGAAAAACATTTCAATTATTTGATCCAACAGTAGATCAAATAAGTCTGTGTTGAATTTGGGACATAGTGAGACAAGAAGAATATTGAATTTTTTTTTTTTTTTTTTTTTTTTTTTTTTTTAAGACACAGTCTTGCTGTGTTGCCAAGGCTGGAGTTCAGTGGCACAATCTTGGCTTACTGCAACCTCTGCCTCCCAGGTTCAAGTGATTTTCATACCTCAGCCACCCAGGTATCTAGGAGTACAGGTGTGCACCACCACACTAGGCTAATATTTTGTATTTTTTGGTAGAGGGGGTTTCATCATGTTGACCAGGCTGGTCTTGAACTCCTGACTTCAAATGATCTGCCTGTCTCAGCCTCTCAAAGTGCTGGGATTAGAAGCATGAGCCACCCCGCCTGGCCTGAATATGAACTTTTTAAAACAACTATTTGTGCTAATAAGGACATGTTTCAAAATACCACTTGATATGTCTATAATATTCAAATAATCAGCTCCATAACTTTGGGGGTACCGATATTGTTCAGTCTTTTTCGGTGTACCAATATAGTTCAGTCTTTTTTACTATTTCCAATTAGTTACCCAAATGTACCTAGATAGTCTATTGACAGAAAATACAATCTCCAACCCCCCACCAAACCTTGCATCTGCCCTTCAGATCTTTTCATCTTCCCTTGTATGCCCATGAATCCTGGGAACTCACCCATTTTGCAGTATAGGAAGGGACCACTACTACTTCAGACACCAAGGGGAGGGACAGCTAGCACATGCCCAGAGCACTGTTGTCACTGATTTCACTGCCTCATGGTAAATCAAGTGAGCTTTTTTTGTCCTGGTGGTGGACCATCCACTTTTGACTTCTCTTGCCTCAGGGAGGTTCCTGTTTGTCTGAATTGCCAACCAGGTCACCACACAGTAACACAGTGGGGACCAAGTTGACTATTCATTTTTGTATACTTAGTTTTTCTTTTATTTCCTTTAAACACTGATTTTAATGATTCTTTCTCTGGCTCTCCTCTAACCCTATAACACTCCAGCTCTCCAGTTCTCTAAATCAAGGTGATTAATTAGTCATTCCCTAAATACTTAGTGGGCATTTATTATGTGCCAGGCACTGTGATAAGCCCTGGGAATAAAATAATAAATATAAAAAACCCCCCAAATTCCCAGATATATGCCTGATCTTAATGCCCACTCAAAGGCAGGAGATGACACATGGGTGTGAATGCCTGGAAGCAGGGATTATTGAGGCCCTTCTCAAAGCTGCCTGCCATAGTCACCTCATATAGCTCTAGCTAAATAGGCCTTATTATGATTTGGCCTCTGCATTCACGTCCTAAGTTTGCACTAGCAAATTACCACAAATTGAGTGGCTCAAAACAACAGAAATTTCTTCTCTCATGGTTCTGAAAGCCCAAACTCTGATATCTAGGTGTCTACAAGTTTAGATCCTTCTGGGGACTCTGAGGGATGATATATCTTACACTTCTCTCTTCGCTTCTGTTGGCTGCAAGAAAACTTTGGCATTCCTTGGCTTGAAGGTTACAGCACTCCAGTCTCTGCCTCCATCTTCACATCACCTTCTCTTCTGTAGAGTCTCTGTCTTCGCCTTTGTGTTTCTTATTACAACATGTGTCATTTTTCAGGCCCACCTTGTTAATCCACGATAATCTTATCTAAAGATTCTTAACTTCAGAATATCTGCAAAGACTCCAAATAAGATCACATTCACAGGCTCTAAGTGGACATATCTTTTGGAGGGCCACCATTCAACCCTCTGTAGCCTCACCATGCCATAATTACACTCTCTGTATTTCCACCAGGTTGCCCTTCCCTCTATTCCTCAGAAGGGCCTCATTTTTTTCTACCTCTGAGTTTTTGCACATGTTGTTTCTTCTTTATCATTTTTACCCTTTGCTGGGCTAGCTTTTATACACCTTTTCCATTTCACCTTAAAGAGCACTTCCCTGAGTCAGCTTTCTCTGATTATCCTTGAATCACTGCATCTCTGCAGCCGACATTAGATTAGAAGTCCATGTACACATCCTCGTAGCATCATGCACCTTTTTTCTAGCACTTAATACAATTATAATTTAATAATAATTACTGTAAAAATCATTATTATGAGTATTTGCATTAGATTGTGATTTTCATGACCACAGAGGACCCTTGATCTCACTAGTATACTAGTACAGCGCTTGGTAGTGAGAGCACAATAATAATTTTGATGTTAAAATTTGCTGGGCAGTGGATGGGTGGGCAATACTGACTTGAAGGTTTGGGGATAAGATGGATATTTGTGTATTGCCACCTGATGCAGCTCAGCTGGTTGCAGTTTTCTATGTTCATCTAGTATTTCTCACAGATGATTTGTGCATAAGCAAATGAAAAATCTGTTATGATTAAATTGTTCCCTAATATATCAATCATGTTAGAACAAATTTGCATTTTCTAAATAAGCATTATGGTGGAACTGACAGTACAATTTAATCATATGTTTGCTGATGTTTGG
The DNA here is from genome assembly GCF_000001405.40 of Homo sapiens. Taxonomy (NCBI): domain Eukaryota; kingdom Metazoa; phylum Chordata; class Mammalia; order Primates; family Hominidae; genus Homo; species Homo sapiens. Next base: position 120,078,820 of record NC_000005.10, read on the forward strand.
TTTCAATGGATAATATTGGAGAGCTAGCAGTTCTATGTAATGGCAAACAAGTTTTGTACTTACCGATAACACCACACATCTAGGCTTGACAGTGATAACTTCCCCATATGTTATTTGCAGAAAGTTTAAAGTTGAAGGGTAGTGAGTTGTTGTTGTAAGAAAGAAGGAGAAAAAACGGCTCAAAGAAGAGTTGATGGCTGGGAAGGCAGTGGTCAGTTATATGGCAAAAAGCTTTCACATGACTCTAACTTGGCGTCTGGGAAAACAAAGCAAGGAGGTTCACAATAAATCATTTATATGCACTAGATTGGCAAAATTAAGAGATCTGATGATAACAGTGTCTCCAATATTATATATGAAACTCTCTTTATACTTTTAGATAGAATGCTGATACACATAAGAATTTTGGAAAACAAAATTAGCATCTCACACAATAAAATATATGCACATGATAAGGTCCAACAATTTCTCTTCTGAAGTAGAGAAAATGTGGGCTTTGTAAACTCATTGATACCTTGTCTTTCTTTTTATAGACTGATTTTCCTAGTCTTTGAAAGAGTTTACTAAAGATTGAAATTATTCGTTCATTGGATATACAGTATTATTTAATAGTAAACCATCCTGGCCTGATGTTTTTAAGATAATGTTTTAATTATTAATTTCTTTAATTAAATATAGGTTATAGGTCCAATCAAGATTTTTATTTTTTAGTGAACCACTTTTGGTAAGATATGTTTTTCTGGGGTTGTGTTCATTTAAGCTTTCAATTTAGTCCTGTTTTGAGAGACCCCAGCTAAATTGGGGTTCCAGTATCAAGAGCTGATAGTAACCTTGCCTTTTTGAAAATGAAGGATTGCTGGATGTGGGTGTTTATAGTGTGCCTTCTATGGATACTTCTTTTACCTGACTGGTGGCCTAATGCCTAGTTATTCAACCTATGACATAGGAGGTCTCTCACATGGAAAACTTGGTTGTACTGGCAGGTGTGTGGCTCTTATCTGACCTATGTCTAGAGTATGCCTGCCTGACCATACCTCTGATGGTGGGAACCCTGTGCTCTCCCCAGCACCCCAGCGAAAACTTGGTTTGGAGCAGCCATTAGTTCTTTAGGTGGAAGGTGCAGATTCATTACACTACCATGATAGGAACCAAGTTAAAATATTTTTACTTAAAGATCCTGGACAGGAAAGGCACAATGAGGAGGGAGGGTGGCCTTCCATTCTCGGGTCCTGCCAGCAGGAAGGAAGAGTCAGGCAGAGAGAGATTGAGCATGGGTGGCAACTAGCAGTATACTTGAGGGAATAAGATATGGGTCACTTTAGGCTCACAGGCAAATTCCTGTGTGGCTTGTTTAAAGGAAGAAGTGGGAAAGCGGGGAGCCCAGTCTGCTAGGTGAGGGAGATGCCCCTAAATTCTTATCTCTGCCTTCTGGCTTGAACCATTTAGGTTTGGTGTAGAACTGGAAACTGTGCCAATGGTGACTGAGCCCTACTTTTGGTATAAAATAGTTAAATATGTCTTCAAAATGGATGCCAAGGCAATATAAGATTATAAGAATTCACTACAAGCCCCCTTCGACGACTGTGGCTTAATAGGGCAGACTCAAGCTCAGCTCTCTGGTTTTATAGAGACCCCAGGAGTTTCAGTTCCTATTACCTGATATTGGCATTTGCCTCCAAGACCACTTATTTGCTTATCATTCAAGTTTGAGTCCACTTTTCCTTTGTGGGTTTTTGTTAGTTTTGTTGTTATTGTTTGGTTTAGGAGATTCTCTTGTATTCTCTTTTGTTCAACATTGTATTAAAAAATATATTTACTGAAAATTATGTAGAATATAGTTGTAATATACTAGTAGGACTTTAAAAGCTCAGGCCAAAGCAAATGTTATCTCACTCTGTTTTTCAGAAAAATTTGAGTTCCCAAATGTCATTAGATTTCAGGCAGCCATATAGCTACCTGAGTGATATTTACCTTGTAAGTTGGAACACTGCGAAGCTTCTTATTACACTTAGCATTGTATCCTTAAGGTTCATCCGTGTGGTAGCATGTGTCAGAATTGCCTTCCTTTTCAAGGCTGAATAATATTCCCTCCTATGTATGTACACATTTTGTTTATTCATCTATCCATAGACACTTGGTTCCTTTCACCTTATGCTATTGTAACTAATGCTGCTGTGAATATGGGCGTTGCCTTTGTTTTTAAAATGTCTTAAGACACTAGTGTCTGGCTGTAAAGTTGTCATATTCACTCTGGACTTCTGATCAGTTTTGGGAAAATACTAGGTTTTATTTCATAGTGGGTTCTCCACTGCTCAGATCTCTTAATAATCAAATTGCCAGTTGAAACCTTCATCAGCAATATTATGCCTACATCATCTTCTTTGCTGTATGACTGTTTACTTCACTCCAAAGTTTATATCATTGTTCTTTAATGAGGTAAAAAAATTCTTGTAGAGTTTGCACTATGTGAGAATAGAATCATAAAATATTTAAGCTAGAAGAAATTTTAGTGATAATGCCAAGTTTTCATTTCAAAGCTTATTAGGAACTAAGGAATCAAATGATGGTCAAAAATCACAGCTGTGATTTGAACATGAGACTGTTGAGTTCTAGTCTATTTACTTTGCCATGTTGCCACAAAAGTCACGTTTCTCAGTATCAGTTTCCATTTTTTAACTACAAAGTAAATTTTAAAAGATTAATGAGTAAGCAGACTGTGAATATCACTGGGATATAATCTGAAAAGTATTTGTGAATCAGTCTATGGATTCACCTTACTTGGATTGTTTTCCATTTTTATAAACTGAGTACTTCAACAATATGGTTAATTGAGGCCTACATGAATAATGTAAGGCACAACTTTAACCTCATCTTGAAAAGTGCCAGAATCACAAATGATATTGATTTTTATTGCCTAATTTGTGCCACTTACAAAATGAGTATTTTGGTTTTAGAGATTTATTCTTAATCACATGAGTTGCCATATATTTGCTACATTCATATCATTTAAACATCAAAAAAATAAAAGTAAGTGGTCTATGTCCCACCATATACATCCTAAATGATGTATCTTGGGATGTTATTATATTTAATATCAATATGAAATGACCTTTCTTATTTTTTTTACATACTTTCTGTTGTACAGATGTAACATTATATATTTAACCAGTGCCTTTTTGATGAACATTTAGATTATAGTCTGTTGCTATAAAAAAGTACTACTATAAATACTTTGTGTCAACATCATTTGCATATATTTGCAAATAAATATATCTATAAGGTAAATGTCTGGAAGTTGAAATTCTAGGTCAAAACATGTATTACAGCTTTGATAGACAATGCCAAATAATCTTACATAAAATTGTTTTATTTCTGCTAATTTATACTTCCATCAACAATAAACAAAATATGTCTGTTGAACACAAAATGAAAATGGCAAGACCATGTCTCTTCGAACAATATTTATTGCGGCTGCAGGTACCCAGTTGCTCATGAAAATCTGGGACAGGGATTGAGCAAGGCTGACCATCGGATTCTGATACCAGAATCCCCACCTTTTGAGCTTGGGGTTTTTAAGCAATATAACTGAAAAAGTGTCAGCTCTTCTCCAGCCACATTCAAGACCTTGCATCCAAGCCTCGTGTCATAACAACAGTATGATGTGCCAGAGCTTGGTCTCCATCTCTTTTTTGCAACCTCAGCATTTATTGATTGGGGCCTTTCCACTTGTACAATTAGGGGAATAGGGTTTGAGACTTGTGGTCACAGCTCAAAAGAACTTGTGGTCTGCGCTGCCACCTCAGCATTTACTAGGATTGATTGTCTCAAACAATGACTGGTTTCCACAGAATTTTGCAGAAGGCCAGCCTGCAGGAAATTGACTGGGACCTGTTAATCCTTACCTCTTGGTCTCTCTCCCCATAGCCTCATCAGTACTGATGGTTGACCTGACTCACTAACACTGAAGCTTTTGCCCATCCATTTACACTTCATCTTTTGATAGCCTATAGTGGAACATCAGTGTTCTAGCTCTGGCCCAAATACAGGCCATCTGACTGCATCCATGTGAGCCCTCTACAGTAGGTAATTTGAATAGCAGTTGAATTATTCAATAACAAAATTAATATTGGAATGGTGGAAACATGCTTTATTAAGAGCAGATTTTCCACAATACTTAGATTCCCAGGATACTTTTTTATCTTAACTTCACTTTTTCCTTAGTAGGCTAATAGATGGATTACCACTTATCATCAATTATTCACTAGTTTTGTGAATAAGTATATAGAATCAACAGAATTGGCCTCTTGTCTTCATTTGATGGAGAATAGTATGGAGACAGCTCATGCATGAAAAGAAGGCAAAATCTAAATAAGTCTCATTCACAGTTCCAGACCCTCCAAATTTTATCAAGGTTAAAAGGAGGCCTATATGAGTTGGTAATTTAATCCAGAGGGATAAAAATGAGAAATGAGAATAGCAATAGTGGATTTTTTTTTTTTTTTGGATAAAAGGTTAAAAAAAGAGGACTTGTGGAAAGACTGTTGTTGTTTTCACCTTTCCCATTTTATGTTTGGAGATCTCTATAAGATGCAGATACTGGATTCTCATTTCCTCATATCACCATAGGTTATTCTGAGGCCCAAAGTTTCTGATCCATCCTTGTGCCACTGGAGAAAGAATGGCAGAATGGCATAGCAACATCTTCCCTCTCTCCACTGCTTTCCTATGGAGCCAAGGCTGGGAAGGCAGGATATCCTGGTGTCCCATGACTATCGACTAGACAAAAAGAAGGACAAACATTAGCCATATAACCTCCTGAGTAGCTGAGACCATGGGCGTATACCACCATGCCTTGCTAATTTTCATATCCTTTCTTAAAGAATGGGGTCTTGCTATGTTGCCCGTAATTCCTAACCTTAACTGATCCTCCTGCCTTGGCCTCCCAAAAGTCCTATAGGCCATTATAGATAAAGGACAAGCATTAGCAGATTTAACATGCTGTATGAAGAACCTGCCTTAGTGATACTCCAAGAGAACATCTGCAGGTACAGGGAAGGAATCAGCTCTGTCCTGGAATAATCCTGCAATTAGGAAGTTGAGAAGAAAATGCCAAATGGGCCCTTGAAGACCATCTGCTGTACACTGTGAAAGGGCTGCAGCAGATGCTGTCTAGGTCAGGAGATAATGCAAGACTGATGTTTGCACATAGCTGAGTAGTGATATTGATAATACATTCTGTATACAACTCTCAGAGCTTTGACCACATAATGCTTACCAAAGAAAACAGAAAAGTGTAATCCAATACATTTTTCAACCAGTCAAGTAGACTTACATAAACATTGTAACTTAAAAAAAAGTTATTCTAAGTAGATGATATTTCAATATTAAATATTTTTTAAGTTTAATATTGGAATATGAACTCTGATGAATGAAAGCTATTCATTAAAATTCAGTTGACTATTTCTATTCAGTTGAGGAGTGTGATGGTTAATTTTGTATGTCAACTTGAGTAGACCATGGAGTACCTAGATGTTTGGTTAAGCATTGTTTCTCAGTGTGACTCTCAGGGTGTTTCTGGATGCACTTAACATTTGAATTGGTAGACTAAGTAAAACAGATCCCTCCCCAGTGTGGGTGAGACTCATCTAATCCCCAGAAGGCCTTAATAGGATAAAGGGCTGAATAAGAATTCTCTCTCTCTGCCAGATATTCTTCAAGTTTAAATACTGATCTTCTCCTGCTTTTTCACTCAGAGTTGGGCAGGAACTTAAAACATCAGCTCTCCCAGTTTTCGGGCATTTGGACTAGAACTGGAAATATACTATTGGCTCTCTTGGCTCCCCAGCTTGCCAACTTCAAATCTTGGACTTGGCTTCCATAATTATGTGAGCCAATTACTTACAGTAAATCTGTATCTTTTTTTTTTCTGTCTCTCTTCACACACACGTGTGTGTGTATATACATATTTATGCCATAAACTATATCCATATCATATTGGTTCTGTTTCTGTGGAGAACCCAGACTAAAATAAAGAGTGATATTATACTGCTTTCATTTTCTAGCAGTTATTTTATTTTAGAAAGCCAGAAACATATGAGGTAAATGACTTGTTTTCTGTTCACACCGTATATTGGCTTCTGGTTTACATGGTTTTTTAAAAAATTTAAGTTATAGAAGGCCAAATATCTATTTCAACATAGAAATAACAATGTACTGAGTTCTATGAATGCAAGATCTTTATATTTGCAAATAAGTGTTTTGACTGTCAGCAGTTATGAGGGCTTAAGGCAAGAAATAAATCTAGAAAGAGCCATATTTCTCTGCTGAATTCTTATAAATATTATTTTAACTTTGAATGCCATGAGTAATGCATAATTCTATGTACATGAAATTGTATTTTTTTATTTATAAGAGAGCTTAAATATCTCCACATCATAAACCATTAATTTTTTCTCTTTGATATAGCATATTCTAGAAATTCTCTGCTATATTGATATAGAGGTTGGATTTATGCATTCCATGGAAGTATTTCTGGCTTCTTTATGATAAGTTATAGGGCCTTTCATGATCATTTAATTATTGCTCTTTTCCTTAAACCAATTTACAATTCCATGGGGATTTACAGTTTATAAAAACTTTTAAAATGTGTAATTTGTTTTAATTATTATAACTTTGTGAGTTAGGTCTTATTATTATCACTTTTCAGCTGAGGAAATTGAATCTGAGAGAGATTAAGAAAGACTTGCCTAAAGCCATAAGGTGAATAAGTGGCAAGAGCTGAGCTAGAATTCCCAGATAAATGTATCTGTAAAGGTTCTTGCTACTGGCATTTAGTCCCAATTGTATCCTGTAAACTAAGATATTTTTACAGTTTTCTGTACTCACACTGTTTCTTTAGTTCGCAACCTTTGGACGACATTGACTTCCAATTCTGGGTGCATGTCGTTGGATTATACTAGAAAATCCTTTGTGAAGTGTCTAGTTTTCTAGAGATTTTAGTGTCTGAGAGTTATTATCAGCTATAATTAACCCATATATCTTTTTTTTTTTTTTGAGATGGAGTCTTGCTCTGTTGTCCAGGCTGGAGTGCAGTGGCACGATCTTGGCTCACTGCAAGCGCTGCCTCCTGGAATTAACCCAAATATCTTTTGAATAGGTGGTGAAAATGAAAACTCTGTTTGGAGGAACTGATTCTAATTGATTACTTTAAGAAGTTTTTTTCTTTTTTTTTAAATTTAAGATAAGGCAACAACCACCAATGTTTACATTTTGTTTTAAAGTATGCATCCAGAGGGAATGATGATTTAAATGTTTCTTTGAACTATATTTTTCTTAGATAGCATATTTAAAACATGCAAAAGCAATTGTCACCCTCTGTGGCCTGAAGTAGAGTATCTGTCCTTAAGTAATTAAACTTGTGTCACAAAAGCCTCTTGAAAAAGATAACATTGCTTAGGCAAGCTGAGAGTATAGCCTCAAAAGTGCTAGGTTCAAACCACTGTCTGAAGAATTGTTACTCACGAAGCCCTCCTCCTGAGCTGCAAGTAGGAGACCAGCATCTTAAAATCACTCCTAAGTCCAAACCACTGTCTGAAGAATTGTTGCTCACGAAGCCCTCCTCCTGAGCTGCAAGTAGGAGACCAGCATCTTAAAATTACCCAATTGTTTGGACTTTATTCCTCGTTCTCTACCTGCTCGGCTGATTCCTGGAAGCTGAAAGTGATATGTGTTCTGTGTGTGTAGATGCATGAATGTGTGTTTTTGGGGCAGAGGTCCTTATGTGTGTTGTACTCATCCCACATCCCTTTAAGGATGTGGAACAATAAGATATACATATGTTAAAATATTTGTTTTGGGTAAGTGAATCATTTCTTGAAGGAGCACAACCTCCAGTATAATAAAAAGGTTCATGTCTTTGTCTTTTCAGAAGCAAACCTAATTTGGCCCAAAGTCAGGTTTATAACTGACTAGGGAGCCTGGCACCAATGAGAGCTCTTCCATCCTGGCCCCAGAAAGCTGAGCAGATCCCATGGCCACCTCATGCTCACTGGTACAAGGAGTACTGGGCATGGGCTTCAGCCATGGGACATAGAACAGTAACCTTCTCTATCACTTTTTAGAAAAGAATACCATGGACCCAGTTTTCCCACGTTAGAATTAGAATTAAATAATTTCTTTTTATTCGATAACCTATAGAAGGACATGAAGAAAAACGTGAAAGATGAGTTAGAACTATTAATCTACAAAGATTATTAGAATATTGTAAATAATATTATATTTAAAATATAAGTTTAAAATATGATTTTTATTCTGATGTCTTCTATGAGATACAAGCAAACTAAATTTAACTAAGCTAAAAATGTGATTCAGAAATGAACTCACATTTTTTTCGGCCTTGCTTGGGAAGGTCCTATTCACAACAAAGCTAACTTTTTCTAAAAAGGTTCATAACTAAAGCAACAATGATTAAACCTTCAGAATACATTGAAGTTCTAATTGTAGTAGTGAAATTCGGTGGGACCAATATAGAAGGGAAGGGTGAGTTTATCAACAGTAATTGTATATATATATATCAAAGAGAAATACAAAAATATTTTAGAATCTACTGTGTCTATCACTTATTTGGTAAATAACTTAAACTGCATCTACAGTCAATTGCATGAAAACATTTTTTATTTTTCTGTTGTCTTTGAATACTCTGTCTGGTTTTGGGATAAGAGGAATCATCACCTACAGGTCATCACCTACAGGTCACTGAAAAAGCCTGCTTATATGAGACAAAAAAAGGAAGGAGGTGGCTGAGGGTAGTGACTCACACCTGTAATCCCAGCACTTTGAGAGGTTGAGGCAGATGGATCACCTGAGGTCAGGAGTTTAAGACCAGCCTGGCCAACATGGTGAAACCCCATCTCTATTAAAAATACAAAAATTAGCAGAACGTGGGGATGCACGTCTGTAATCCCAGCTACTCGGGAGGCTAAGGCAGGAGAATCACTTGAACCCAGGAGGCAGAGGTTGCAGTGCGCTGAGATCACGCCATTGCACTCCAGCCTGGGCAACAGAGTGATACTCTGTCTCAAAAGAAAAAAAAAAAAAAAAAAGGAAGTGGTGAAGTGGAATCTTGACATGGTGAAAAACCATCTTGCCATACTTAGCTTTTGATTTTTCCCAGGATGAAAATCAGCATATACAAATAAATAGTAAAGTACTAGAGAGAGAAGAGCTCTTTCAAACATTTTAACTACACAAAGCTTGTGTTTGATTTGACTGATTGTCAAAAGTTTGTTTCAATTCAAATAAGCCTGTAAATCTGCTTCAAATGGACAATGTTATTTTCTGTCAAGTAGCAGGACCCACAGTGTTTCTGCCTCTGTCCAAGGAAACAATTTAACTCCAGTAACTTAAAACACAAGATCGTTTTAGCACAACTAAAATAAGTATTTCAAGTATCACAATTCAAACTGGGCCATCTTAGAAGTGAACTTGATAACATTTATTTGATTCAAATTATGAAACTAAAGTGATCTACAAAAAGAACAAAACATTTGTTTCATGGCCAAAATGCTAATTGTTGATGAAAAACACATTTTTTGACTTTAATAATGCACATTAATGTTATCCGCATGTTGGTTTTTTGCATTATTTCCAGACTGGGGGAAGTGAAAATATGATCATTCTTATCCAAGACTAGTGACTACTGAAAGACAACGAAGAGTCTGTAACCTGCAGAAACTTGACTAAGTTAACAACTACTTCCTGTGTGACTGTGTGATTGTGTGGGATATGTGTGTAAGTATGCATGTATGTGATAACAGGGATTTGGCTGTGCCAGTTTATTGTTTAGTATTCTAGAGACAAGATCCTTCTGGCTGCTGCTTCATTTGAAGAACTTTAGAAAGAGAATACTACCAAATGCCAATTGCCATTTCCCTTCTTTAAGCTGGCTGAAGTCAAAAGTGCAGTTGTAAAATATCAAGATGCAGAGATATCAATACTTAGAAATCAACAGTGACTACATTTGAGATCTTCAAACAAATTAAAAGCCAAACTGAATTTACAAAATATAAAACTAAAAAGGTATGTTAATAATGCCCCTATGAGTTATGAAGTTATTTCTTCTTCTATTTCCAAAGATAAGAAATGTTTGAAATGATAGCTAGCTCCCTTTGTGCAATGTGTCATACAACACAGTAATGAAATGAAAATGGGATGTTATCTGTGGAAATCACCCACAAATTTCCGTTGTGTTATCTTTTGAAAAATTCAAAGGCAAGCAGGAAGTTCTAGTGTGAAATAAAGATTTGGTCTTTTTGCAAGCTAAGTGTCCAGGAGAAAGTGTATGCTTATTTCCATACACACAGAAATATTTAAGGAACCCATTAACTATTATTGCTGTTCAAGGAGGGGTAAACCAGAATCTAATTTGTAGTATCAAACAAAACATATGGTAGATTGGAGAAGATATCTATACATCTAAATCACTTGTGTGGTCATAAATATACAGCCTGAGCTAGTTTAATATTTAATCAAAGGACATAATAATTTAATTTCTGAGACCATTCTTTACATACATACCAAGGGAATAGGATTAAGTTACCTCTATAGCACCTTTGCAATAACGTTAGTCTCTAAATGTTAAATTCCTTCTTTCCAAAAATGCTTCATTAAAGTCTTAAATGATAAACAGTTAAATGATAAACAGTTTAGTATTACATTATTATTTTGAGAGAAATAAATTTGAGTTGCCTAAATACAACATCCACATTATAGAATGTTAAGTTTTATTATATCTATAGATATTTATGGCAGAATATTTTTATCTTCTATATTAGGAACTCATTTTTGAAATGACTACACTGATGCCAAATTCTGCTTCCTGAAATAGAAACAGTATCAAAAGCCCCAAATGGCTTGGGCATAATTAATCTGAATCATATACTGAATAAGTGTAGTTAATTTGAATTCTCTGTAAAAACACATTTAAATTAGGTATTTAATAGGGCATTTGTATAGACATTTCTCAAGAGAAGTCAATGCACATAGAGTGATGTGTCTGCATCTGTGTTTTGAGACTTCAAAATGATGTTGTTGATGAAAGTACACATAGCACCCGTCATAACACATATGATTGTGTGTTATTTCCATTGTTTAGTTTATAATAAGTAATTTGTTGGATTGGTTCTGACAGAACCTACAGAAAGCTAAAAAACAAAATAGTTTGTAACCTCCTAGCTTAACTTTACAGTGCAAAGTATGAAAGAGCAGGTTTGGAAAAAGAGACAATAGGTTCAAAGAAAAACAGATCTTCCTATAGGGCAAGTTATTTAGCCTCTGGGAGTCTAATTTTCTCACCTGTAAAATGTGGTAGGGGCCAGGCGTGGTGGCCCACACCTGTAATCCCAGCATTTTGGGAGGCCGAGGCAGGCAGACCACGAAGTCAAAAGATCAAGACCATCCTGGCCAACATAGTGAAACCCCATCTCTACTAAAAATACAAAAATTAGTTGGGCATGGTGGCTTGCGCCTATAGTACCATCTACTTGGGAGGCTGAGGCAGGAGAATCGCTTGAACCTGGTAGCGCCATTGCACTCCAGCCTGGCGACAAAGAGAGACTCCATCTCAAAAAAAAAAAAAAAAAATGAAATAAAATTGTGACAGGACTGTACCTGGAGGGCTGTAGTCAGGATTAAATAGTGAATCTAAAACATTTGCCTAAGACCTGAAACATAGAATATACTCACATGAATGTTATGATAAAAATGATGAAGAGGGTAAATAGGAAAGGAGAGAAAAGAGGCGGGTGGTATGGAGTGGCTTTAAGTGGTTAGGGTTCCAGTTGCTAAGGCTGTTAAAACAATTAACCTGATATTTGACTTCAGGGCTCTTCTTTCCATTTAGTATCTCACTGCAAAAAGGTTTGGGAATTGTTATTTTTAAAAAGTGTATTATTCATTCAACAGTATTTTAGCGTCTCATATGTCATAATCACTGACCCTGGCACTGATAATTCCAGTTTCTACCTTCATGGAGCCAGGAGGACACTCTCTCTCTCTCCCCTCCCCCTCTTTCTCTCTCTTTTTCATTTACTCTCTCTCTCTCTTTTTCATTTTCTCTCTCTCTGTCTCTGTCTTTCTCTCTCTCTCTCTCACACACACAGAGTACAATTACAAGTGTGACAAATGCCAGGAAGGAGAAGCACTTTATGTGAGGAAGGCATAGGACTGAAGATTTTACCTAGTTCTGGAGGTCAGAAAAGGTTCACCTGAGGCTGAAAGATAGTGTGGGGCTGCTTTGCGAAGAGAGGGGAGAGCAGAGTAACAGCATATGGAAGGCCATATGGAGGGAGAGAGAAGGGAACATGGGAATACTGCAGAACAGAATAGGTCATGACTATTAAATACATTCCGTTACTGTTTTAAAACTCTATAGTTTAAAAGGAATATAGAAAAACTTCCATGTATATTATCTACATTGAATAAAATTTTAAAACCATTGAATATTCAACCAGAGTAGGTAGCCACAAAACATTGTTTTATATTCTCTACGTTTCTAGTTACTGGAATGTCAGCTATACAAGATATAAATGCACACAGCTTTTTCTCAAACTTCAGAATACGTAGTAAATCCAAGATGAATTATGTCCTTGAAACGGCTTGAGTTAAATCAATAAAGATAAGCTTCAATTTATATGTTTATATTTTCACAGTTATAGATGTTCATTTCTTGTTATGTACTTGATCCAGATGAAGAGATATCAAAAGAAAACTATAGCAATCTATTAATGTCTTACTTTGAGATATGTAATCACTGGAAAATACTTTTAATATATTTTTGATAATATGCCAGTCAATAATGGTCAAGATGATTCATAGTGCTGCTAACTAAAGAATAGGCATGCCCATTACTGAGGCATTTAAAACCTATCAAGACTCAATGTGTCTCAACAGTATTGTGTTAAGCACAGGATGATGAAAAAAAATGAATCTACCACCAGATTGTGAATTCCTGGATTACGCATCTGTTGTTATAATGAGCCAGGGCTTGTCTAACCTATTCTGCTTTTGGATTATTTATAAAGGAGAGGGATTAAATTATGTGTGCTGTGGTAATTCTACTGAAGTCTTTCAAACGTTTCTCTGCTTATCTCTTTGTCTAAGTCAGGAGTCTATGCACAGTTTTGATGATTTAGGTTTGAGTAAGGATATGTCTGCCCCCAAGAGATTTTTCAAGTATTGCTGCTTTAAAGTAGCCAAACATTTATCTTTCTTATTAGATGGCACATTATTAAATGATTATACCATTATATGTCTCACAGTGCAAAGGAAGACCTGTACAAGTAAATATTTCTACTTTCTTAAAAGGTACTGAGATATTTTGAGTGGGCATGAGGTACAGATTATTAACACACTTTAAAATATACCTGTTCTTACACCTCCTGAAATAGGTTCTCGGGATCAATTATTTCTGGAGCCCTGCTATGTGAAGTCTGATGTAGCAAAATAACAATAATGGTGATGATGATAAATGTTCGTTGTTATTACATGCAGACTACATGTTAAGCAATGTTCTAAGTGCTTTACGGTCCTTACAACTGTCTCATTATCTGTCCCTTTCCAGAGATGAGGACACTGAGGGACAAAGTCCCTTAATAATTAAATTCATAATATTCATTCACCCCATTTTGTCCAGAGTTAACTTCTTAAACTACAGTGTTGATTACTTCCCTCCACTAGTTAAAACTCCTGAGCATCAGCTCATTCACTCCAGGACACAATTCATGATTTGCAGAAAGGAATATAATACATTCCATAATTCAGTCACCCACCAGTATCATGTCTTGTCACATATATCAGAGTTGTGGAGGGCTAGATAAATGCAGATACTTGGGCTCACCCCAAACAACAAAATCTAGGTCTCAGAGAGATGGACCCAGAGACTAGCAGCATTTTCACAGTCTCTTCTGGTTTTGTCTTCTACAGACAGAGCACCACAGTCCTCTATACACACAGTGCAGGGACCTGTGAAATTCAGTGATCATGAATTACTTGTACTTCCCCCAAGGCTTCACACCTTTGCACCCATGATTCTTGAAGTTTAGAATGCTTTCTGTCTTGCCTCCTGGCTTTTTCAGTACCCACGTCAGATGTGAACTCTTTGGAGAAGTATTTTCTGACTTTAGCAGAGTTCACCACTCATCTCCTGCCTTACCTCTGTTTTGTGTGCATTCGTTATTAAATCTTTACCACAGTGAGTTATAAATGGGAGAGTAAGTCTCCCTTGTGGGATCTTTAAGGATTACTCCATTCTGGCTGTGGAAATTACACTTGGAGGGCATATGAAATCAAAGGATTTATTATCCTCAGAGCTCCTACAGAGGTAGGGCCACCAGGGGAGCATGCCAACCCAAGCAGGTGGGGAGCTGAGAAAAACAGCGAGGACCTATGTGGAAGTGCCTGTGTTGGGCATCAGGGTAGACTACACAAGCAGAATATATGAGGGGATTTCAGTGGTGCATTTGGTTGCCACTAGGGCCGTAGTCAGGGGAAGGCAAAAAGGGAACTTGCAACAGAGACCAGCCTTATCGCGCTGATACACTAGGTCGCCTGGGTGGGGTGCTCAATCCCTGTTTGTGGGGATGTTGAGGAATCAGGAAACATGAAATTTTGAAAATTCATAATATATAGAGTGTCATTATTTATTGACTTTTCTTTCTTTTCTTTTTTTTTTTTTTTGAGATGGAGTCTCGTGCCCAACGCACAGGGTGGAGTGCAGTGGCGTGATCTCGGCTCATCACAACCTCCGCCTCCCGGGTTCAAGTGATTCTCCTACCTCAGCCTCCCGAGGAGCTGGGATTATAGGCGCCCGCCACCACATGCAGCTAATTTTTGTATTTTTAGTAGAGACGGGGTGTCTCCATGTTGGCCAGGTTGGTCTCGAACTCTTGACCTCAGGTGATCCACCCGCCTCAGCCTCCCAAAGTGCTGGGATTACAGGCGGGAGCCGCTGTGCCCGGCCTATTTACTGGCTTTCTATCTCTCTCACCAGAAAGACAACTGAACATAAACTTGCCAGACACATTCCTGTGGTGGTTCTTCTCACATTTTCTTCTTCAGGTCCTAGTTTTTTGTATAATTCAAACATATCCTTTTTTGGTTTAAGCTGGTCTCCAACTCATCTCATTTGTTTCCTACAGATTCAGCTAGACACTGCTTCTGTCATCTACATATCTATTTGCAGAGCTTTTAGACTTTGTGATTGTTTGATGTTTAGGTTTAAACTAAGTAATAGCAACAAATGTATAAAGTATTGACCAGTCTGCACCCTTCACATGTCTTAAATTACTGCTTCTCAAATTGTCACATACATACAAGTCGTGAAAATTTTGTTAAAAATTCACATCCTGGGGCAGGGTCTGGGAGTACACATTTCTAGCATATTCTTTGAGTGCTAAGGTAGACATCACTAAATACTCACAATAACCTAATGAAGTATGTAATAAAATTAACCCACATCTTCCAGATGAGGAAACTGAAGCAAAGAGAGATTAAATAAATAGCCCAAAGTCACAAGTTAATATGTGGCACTGCCAGAACTGAACCTGCATTCTTAGGCTCCAGAGCATGGGCTTTTGACTGCCACTCTACACAGCCTCTAAGATCAGCAGTCTTGCCTCCCACATGTATATAACTTTGGCTCTTCATGTTCCTAGATTCTGTGGCACTTATCCATATGATTTTGGAAGGTAAGGAAGTGCTGGCTCTTTTCTCACTGCAAAATAGATTTTTTGAGTTGCCTGGGAATGCAGTTCCTTTTTTCCGAAGGAGTGGTGAGGGGTAGAGGCAAAGACAAATGGTTTAGATCAGTGGTTTCAATATTGTCACAACTTAGATTCTTGTTTCATCACATTTTAAATAAAAATATAAAAATACAAATAGGCCTTGTTTCCACCCTCTTCTGGAAGGGCTACTGATTGCATGATCCACTAACTCTTGGGCCAGACAAAATATTGATTGGTTGAGTCCTCTGAGTTCACATATATCTGTATAAGAATAGCTGAATTGTTTCCTTAGATGGATATTATAAATATAAGCAAAAGGGTTAGTTAAAAAGTTACTTGTAGACACATAAACTATATTCAGGATCATTAAACAGTAATATATGAAAGTAAATATACATTATACAATTATATGGTTCTATCATCTATTCTAATCCTGCCTCAGTAGGGAATTGGAGAAACTTCCCTAACTGGGACACTTCATAAAAAATACAGATTTCTGGTCCTAAGGCTTTGAACCAAATTACTGGGCAGGGAGCCCAAGAATCTCTGTATTTAAAATGCTGCCCAGGTGATTCTGATGATCATCTAAGTTTGACCACCAGTATTAGACCACTTTGGCTTTTGGCAGAAAGATAACCACTTCAATATCTCTCAGCCCTTTAATCAAAGAAGTGTCTCTAAGGTTATTTCTTCTACCATATCATATATCACCTGTTGGCTGCAGCTGCTGAGGGCTTTGGTGTTTAACCATTTGATGTCCCTTGGGTTCAGGCACTTCTGTGTATAAGGATATGATTTAGACACTTGTGAAGTTTATTTGCAGAAGTGCTGTCTGCTCTAAATCAGTCACGGCTATAGTGGGAAGACAAATAACTAAAACACCTTTGATCAAATCTCTGAGACATTACTACAAGTGTTAAATACATTTTTGAAGATAGGCCAAGTAGCAAATTAGAAAACAGTTGTTGATTTCAGAAATATTTTGGAAGTGTCTGGTAACTCAAATTTAGCAGGGACGGTAATTTTACTTATTGAACAAAAGTGAGTCATAAATAATCCTAGGAAATTAAGCAGCTGGACTAGCATAGGACTTGCATATTTTATGATTTTAAATGATCCCAAAACCAACTCAAAATAAATCTTAACAATTAAAAAAATTTAACAGTGAAACCTCTCTGTTTCTCTAAGAACTTTGTGATTGCTTATTTTCTGTGATTATCACTTTAGTGAAATGTTTATTACTATGTGAAAAGTATCTCTCATCTGTTATTCATATATCTGAGGTCTCCCAATTTCTCATTCAAACTAATATGTTAACTTCTTTTAAACTGAGACCTGCAGGTCCTCCCATAAATATCAGACTATTTTGAAAGTAACAGAAACTAAGTTTCTAGAAAGCAATTGTCATGATTCCTGGCACAAGCCAGTGTTTGGAGAGTAATTTTGTTCAGGATCATTGACATTTTGATTTCTAAGAATTTGTTCAAAGAGAAAGTATAGAAAATTAATCTTGAGCCATTCAGACAGCATTAAAGAAGTGAATCTGGAGTAGAGGAGTTGAGGTAGATGTTTAAAAAGAACTATCACAAAAATACAATGGGAGCTGAGAGTATGATTCCAGGGGATTTAGGGAACTATAAAAGGAAAAAATAACTGATTCCTTTGTCTCTCATCGGGACGCAGATAATTTTTTTAAAATGTTATTTTTATAGCCAGAAAACTTCTGTTTTATTATAATGAAGTTTCTCAGATAGTGCTTCAAGGACTTCAAATTGTGCAAAACTTGAAAACTCGTGAAAGGGACCTGTATATAACTGAGGATAAGATTATAAATTCCTTGAGAACAGTTATCAGGGCTAATCATTAATATAGTTCCCTAAGCTTCTAGGATTTTATATGTTGCACTATAAATAGCTATTGAATGAGTAAACAATGTGAATAGACGTATGCTCCTTTGTGCATTTTCTGTGCTAAGCCTGAGTCATTTTGAAGTAATTTGACATATTTTATATTCCTCGCTTCAGTATTTTGACTGTAAATTTGAGATTGACACTTCTTTTCTTGAGTATAGGCATGACTTGTAGAGAGGGAAAGTGAAACCAGCCATCAGGGTACAAGTCACTTTATGATAAACAAAACGGGTACAGAAAAAAACCAACCTACCCACCCCTGCCTCCCAGATTTTTAACTAATGAACTGTGTCTAAGACACCAATAGTAAGTAACTTTTTGCCAACAGTATGTTGGTTTGATTAAGCTTGCCCTTCTATTTATTTTTTATTGTATTTACTTTTACAAAATAGAATTTGATTATTTTAAACTAAGAAAAACAGTGTTATATGTTAATACAATGCACTTTTTTTGTTCTTTTATTTCTTGTAGTAAAGACAAGAGGATTTGTCTTTTGACATTTAAGTCCAGTAGTAAGAGTTCTTTATCTTTTCCTGTGATCTTGGAAGATTACATGGCTGATGGCTTTAATTGTGCTTCTACCTTACTTTGTAGTTGGTGCAAAGAAATGGTTTGTGAATTCTGATGGGAAATGAGTTAGGCCAGTAAGTAACTTTGTTTGAAGATGCACAACATAAACAACTTCAGTAATGCTTAGTTGCTTAGATACAGTACGCCAGAAGAATCAATATATTTGTGTACATAATTAGTTTGGCTTGGTAAGTATTCAGTTTTTCTGATGAATTTTCGTTTGGCTGTTTTCATAATATGAGCTAGCAGATTGAGTATTTTGTCAACCTAGGAAAAAATAGACAAAAGATGTCTCTTTAACCTTCAGTAAATGTTTGATATTTAACCTCTGTGCTCTGTATTTAGTAATAGGTTATTACTTTGTGCCTCAAACAGTTTTAATTTGTATATTATGTACATGTTTGTATATTTTTTACTGGAGTTGGGAAACGCTAACTCGATTAAAGCTTTGGTTTCTCAATTTGTTGATAACAATGTATAAAACCCTCTATTGTGCATTCATACTGCTTTAAAAAAGACAAATATTTCAACCTAACATATAGCTAGACGTGGCTCATTAAAGCACATCTTACTCTACATTTTCTTTTTGAATTTTTTGGCAGAAAAATTTACCAATGCAGAAACTTGGGACATAGTATTATTTTAATTCCTAGAAAGAAAACATTAAATAAATATATTAAAGTCATATAAATATATCTTGATTATATATAAAATCATATAGTAAAAGAAATGATTATATTTTGTTAGTCAATCTTTGTGAGATAATTCAAATTTAAATTAATATTCTAAAATTTTTCAGAGCTTATTTTCCTATTCTTAGAAAATAAAAACACCCCTAAGTAGTAATATTGTTTATGACAGTGTTTTTGCCTTTGTTAGTCATTTTCTGCTTTTAATTGTCATATTGCTCAATTGGTATTAATTTCTTTTTAAGGAAGAATTGAAAACTCAAGCAGAAAAAAATAACTAAAGAACAAAAGGCCAAATGCTGAACGTTGAATTAAGTTGGTGGAAGTGAAAAAATTTTAATATGTAAAAGATGGCATTAAAACTGCTTTTGCACACTGCCTTTGCCAGAGAGAGAAGCCAAAGGGGTTTGTTAGGAGTATAAGAAGGAGGTTTAAAAGTATTCAATAGAAATTAAATGAGAGGCACATTAGACAATTTTAAGTAATCTCATGTGGATATGAGCAAATTAAAGCAATTAAACAATCTGGTGGTGCATAGTGAAAGCCAAGTAGGATCTCCATTTCTTTCTAATGTTTAAAAATAACTTCACATTGAATGGTGGTTTATGTCCTCCAAGTTTACATTTACACAAATATTAGAGAGTTTCTCACCATCAATGCTCTGGTTGATGCCCTTCCTCCGTATGTTCTCCAGCACTGCCCCTTATAACTTATCCCCTTCATCCATTCCGCACACCACTTCCAGGTTAATTTTGCCTTTCTGAACATCTGGCAGATTTTATTGGCTGTCTATCTGGTAGCCGTTACCTCTTTTTCTTTGCTAATACCACAATTGAGTTAGAACTGCAAAACGCCCAATGCAGAGTCTTAAATCATGATTGGTCTCCTGTGACAATGGCAACCTAGTCTCTCTTGTGACATATGACCTAGTTTTGGCCATAGAGATGTAGTCAAATTTGTGCTGAGTACTTTTGGAATACATTTTTCTCACTGAGAAAGCTGCATGAGGAGGAATTTATTGTGTGGATGTATGAGAATATGAAGCCATAGGAAAAATGTCAACATACTGAGGGTGGTTGAGTAGAAAAATGCTAAAAGCTTAACACTTGGAAATGCTTAGTTCTGGACTTCTTAAGAAAATAATAAATACTTTATGGCATAAGCCACTATTAATTGGCTTTTTTGTGATTGGTTGCAAATACATTCTATATATACATTCTGTCTCCCTGTTTAGCATTTATTTTCCCTTCTTCTCATAACAGTAACTTGATATTCCTTTGAAACCATTCCTCCACTGTCTTCAGCTCACATACAGATGACATATACTTAAGCCAGTCTACACACTCCACGCTCCCCAGCCCTTCATCCAGCCGTAATGATTGCTTCACAGATAAACATATAACTTAGCTGAGACAAATAAGAATCAGGTCCAGAATGCTAGTTAGAACTTTTGGGGAAGAGATTTTTGTTTTGTTTTCTTTTGGAATTTAATCAAAGAAGACATAAGCTGGGAGCTATCACAAGTGAACATTCTATCCACAAGGGAAGCCTAAAAAGAGGAAGGTAGAACTGTGGTAGATACGAGATTCTTATAACAATCTTTGAGACTGCAGCCTGTGGTACTGTGGAATCTTTTGTAGTTTAGTCGATACCTTTTTAAAAAAGTTAAACTTAAGTCATACTGAATTAAAAGGAATCTATCTTCCCTCTGGCACTTAATTCGTTTGTCACTTTTCACATATTGAATTAAAGGATAGCTATCTGGGAATATCTCATTTATTTTGCTAATGTGTAAGCTTCCTAGGTATAAACCTGATATTTCACTCAGCACAATTTTCTGCTTTTATTTAGTAGACACACCATAAATATCTGTGGAATTGATATAAAACTCAAAAATTCTGTATATATTGGGATGACAGCCAATGTGAGATTTTCTAAGAATTTTCTTAGAATCGTAGTGTCATATTCTGAAAGTGCAATTCTCCCTTGTCAAATATCTGTGCTTCATAACTGCTCAGGGAATTTCATGTACAACTTTCTCCCTTCTTACCTATAATTTATCCTAAATTGTATTTTTTTAATTGAAAAACCTAACAATTTATTCTATGTTATGACTGGTCTGCAACTTTAAACTGCTCAAATTCTCAGTTTTTCATTTTTGTCATTGTGTATTCTCACTCTCTCTTCTCTCTTTCTCCTTCTCTTTTCTCTCTTTCCCTCTATAGCCACTGCTCCTTCTCTTTTCTCTCTTTCCCTCTATAGCCACTGCTCCTTCTCTTTTCTCTCTTTCCCTCTATAGCCACTGCTTTGCTTAGGAATCTCGTAAGTCTTATAACCCAAACCCCTACCCTTCCCAGCATCTACTAATAACTGTTTTAGCCCCTACTTCTGTGAGATCAACTATTTTAACTTTCACAAATAAGTGAGAACATATAGTATTTATGTTTCAATGCCTGGTTTATTTCACTTAACATAGTGTTCTCCAAGCTCATCCATGTTGCTGAGAATGACAAGTTTTTTTTTAATCACTAAATTGTATTCTATTGTTAATATATGTCACCTTTTCTTTATTCATCTGTTGATGTATACTTAGGCTGATTCCACATCTTAACTATTGTGAATAGTGCTTCAATAAACATAGAAGTGCAGATATTTCTTTGACATATTGATTTTCTTTGTTTTGGATTTATTCCCAGTATTGGGATTGCTGGATCATATAGTAGTTAAATTTTTAGTTTTTTTTTTAAAGGAACTTTCGTACTGTTTTCCATAATAGCTGCGCTAATGTACATTTCCACCAACAGTCTTCAAGAATTCCCCTTTCCATTCTCAACAGTATTTGTTATTTTTTGTCTTTTTGTTAGCCATTCTAACTAGCATGAGATGATACCTCATTGTAGTTTTGATTTGCATTCCTGATGATTAGTGATGCTGAGCATTTTTATTCACATACCTATTGACCATTTGTATGTCTTCTTTTGAAAAATGTGTATTCAGTTCATTGTCCCATTATAAAATTGAATTATTTGGGTTTTATTTTGATATTGAGTTGTTTTGAGTTCGTTGTATATTCTGGTTATTAATTTCAAATGAAGAGTTTCTAAGTATTTTTCTTACTATACAGGTTGCCTCTTCCCTCTGTTGTTTCCTTTGCTTTACAGAAGTTTTTAGTTTGATATAATCCCATTTGTCTATTTTTGCTTTCGTTGCCTCTGCTTTTAAGGTCATTTCCAGGAAGTCCTTGTTCCAGACTAATGTCCTGAAGCATTTTAATTTTTTTCTAGTAGTTTCATAGACTTGGGTCTAACATTAAAGTTTTATCTATTTTGAGTTGATATTTATATACGGAGAGAAATTAGCATCAAGTTTCATTGTTCTGCATGTGGATATCCAGTTTTCTCAGCATCATTTATTGAAGAGACTGGACTTTCCAGTCTCATTTAGTTAATGTTCTTGGAGGCTTTGTTGAAAATCAGTTGGCTGTAAACATGTGGAATTATTTCTGGGTTCTTTACTCTATTCTGTTGGTCTATGTGTCTGTTTTTATGTCAGTACCATGCTGTTTTGGTTATGTAGCATTATAGTATATTTTGTAGTCAGGTCGTATGATGCCTCCAGCTTTGTTGTTGTTGTTGTTGTTGTTGTTGTTTTCTCAGGATTGCTTTGGCTATTTGGGGTCTTTTGTGGTTCCATATTAATTTTAGTATGTTTTTCTATTTCTGTAAAAAATGTCATTGGTATTTTGATAGAGATTGCATTAAATCTGTAGATTACCTTTGGAAATATGGTCATTTTTCACAATATTTATTTTTCCAATTCATTAACATGGGATGTGTTTCCACTGTTTTGTGTCCTTTTTAATTTCTTCCATTAGTGTTTTATAATATTCTTTGTAGAAATGTTTCAACTCTGTGGTTAAATTTTATTTCTATGTATTTTTATTTTGCAGCTATTGTAATTGAAATTGTTTTCTTGATATTTTTCCTGCTAGTTAGCTGTTGGTGTATAGAAATGCTACTAAATTTTGTGTGTTGATTTTGCATCCAGCAACTTTACTGAATTTGGTTATTAGTTCTAAGGTTTTTTGGTGGAGTTTTTAGGGTTTTCTTATATATATAATTATGTTGTCTGCAAACAAGGACACTTTGACTTTCTCTTTTCCAATTTAGATTCCCTATATTTCATTGTTTTGCATCATTGTTTTGACTAGAACTTCAAGTACTATGTTGAGTAATAGTAGTGAAAGTGGGCATACATGTCTTGTTCTAGTTATTAGAGGAAAGATGTTTGATGTTTGTTGTTGTGTGATGTATGATGCATATGTATCATATATGGCCTTTATTGTGTTAAAGTACATTCCTTCTATACCTCATTTATTGATAATTTTTATTATGAAATAATGTTGCATTTTATTAAATACATTTCCTTCATCTATTGAGATGATCATATTATTTTTACCCTTCAGATCTCCTGGATAAATCCCACTTGATCATGGTAAAAAATCTTTTTAATGTGCTGTTGTATTCAGTTTGTTAGTATTTTGTTGAGGATTTTTGCATCTGTGTTCATCAGAGATATTGGCCTATAGCTTCTTTTTTTGTTGTGTAATTGTCTAGTTTAGGTATCAGAGAATGTTGGCCCTAAAAATGAGTGTGAGGGAATTCCCTCCTCTTCAGTTTTTGAAGAGTTTAAGAATTAATATTAATTTTTCTTTATATGTTTGATAGAATTCGGCAGTGATTCCACCAAGTCCTGGGATTTTATTTGATGAGATACTTTTTATCACTGATTTAATCTTGTAACTTGGAATTGGTCTGCTCAGCTTTTCTATTTCTTCTTGGTTCAATCTTGATAGGTGTACATGCCTGGGAATTTATTCATTTTCTCCATGTTTTCCAATTTATTGATGTGCAGTTGTTCATAATAGTCTCTAATGATTCTTCATATTTCTGTGGTGTCATTGGTAATGTTTCCTTTTTCATTTGTGATTTGAGTATTTTCTCTTTTTTCTTAGTTTGTCTAGCTAATGGTTTTTCAATTTTGTTTATCTTTTCAAGAATCCAATATTTCCTTTTCTTGATGTTTTGTATTGTTCATTTAGTCTCAATTTCATTTAGTTCTTCTCTATTCTTTATTATTTCTTTCTTTCTACTAATTTGGGGTTTGGTTTGTTGTTTTTGCTTTTCTAGTTCTTTGAGATGCATTGTTAGGTTATTAGAAATCTTTCTGCTTTTTGATGTAGGCATTTATTGCTATAAATTCTCCTCTTAATTTTGCTTTTGCTGTATCCCATAGGTTTTGGTACAGATGTTTTGGTTTTTATTTGTTTCAGGAAATTTTTTAATTTTTTTTCTTGATTTCTTCCTTGATCCATTGATTATTCAGGAGCATGTCATTTAATTGACATTTAATTTGTATAGTTTCAAATGTTTCTCTTGTTGATTTCCGGTTTTGTTCCATTGTGGTCAGAAAAAAAGATACAATTTCAGTTTTATTATACTTGTTGAAACTTGTTTTGTGATCTAACATATGGTTTGCCGTGGAGTATATTTTGTATGCTGATGAAAACAATGTGTATTCTGCAGGTGTTGGATGAAACATTCTGTAAATATTTGTTAGGTCCATTTGGTGTCAAGTGCAGTATAAATTCTATGTTTCTTTATTGATTTTCTGTATAGATGATCTGTCCAATGCTGAGAGTAAGATGTTGAAGTCCTAGCTATGACTGTATTGAAGCCTATCTTTCCCTTTAGATCTAATCATATTTGTTTTATGTATCTCGGTGCTCTGCTGTGGGATGCATATATATTTAAAATTGTTAATATCTTGCTGAATTAATTACTTTATGTAATAACCTTCTTTGTCTCTTTTTGCAGTTTTTGGCTTAAAGTCAGTTTTATCTGACATAGATATAGCTACTCGTGTTTGCTTTTGGTTTCCCTTTGCATGGAATACTTTTTCTGTCCCTTCATTTTTAGTCTATAGGAAGCATATAGGTGCTTAATACATTTTTTAATTCATTTGGCAGGCTCTTATCTTTTAAATGGGGAATTTAATCTTTTGTCCCTTTTGTCCAATTTTAAACAGTCACTTTATATATTTTTCTTATTTTTGGAGGGCTAGGCTAGTGCCAGTCACACCTCCATGGATAGGAATAAAGTCAAGTTTTATTTTCAGTAATCCCACAGAGGCTACAAAGCTTTGTGAAAACACTAAACATTTGTCTGTTCAGGCCCTTACCCTTAATTCTCTGTGTGTTTTATAGATATGAAATAACATAATAATTTGGTGATGAGAAAACATCAAAGAGCATCTCATGAACTACTTGCATTGATATATGGTCTTTCAAAATTAAATACTAAAGACTCACATTTGGCCTCTTAATAATCTTTCTATCTGATATGAAACTAAAGGTTTTCTTACATAATCTGGGAGAATAGATTATGTCAAGACCTTTACTATACTACTACATATAGAAAGACAATTTTTCTGGGCCTGATCAGTGGTTCTTTAGGTTATAAGTAAAACAGTTGTAATCAAGTAGGCCAGACGAAAAGTGTACATGAACACATATTTGCATATGTGTGCTTGTGTACATATACACACATATTTCTATTTGTATCAACACAAATACTTTTGTTTCTGTTTCTGCTTAGCAAATATATGCCTGTGTCTTTGCTTTTCTCCTAGTGAAATATCTCTCAATTTTGCATTATAATTTTCCCATCTCACCTCAGCTACACAATCACTCATATGAATTTTGAGCTCTAAATTTGGTAGCAATATGTACACCTTATACTTTTACTATATATTAATTTCTAAATAATAAGACAGTTGATTTTGGGGGCAGGGAGTGTGACTTAAAAATATCTGCTCTTTTTAATTTGTACTTACTCTATATCACCTAGTTATCTTTCTTCTGCTTTCAACAATTTCGGATAGTGAATTTTCATTTAGAAATTATGTTTATGACCTAAATCCCACTGGGAAGTTATGCTAGTAAATTATAGCCAGCATATTTTTGTCTGTTTTATTATTTTTTTAGTTTTGGAAATTCTGCTGATTTGACCACATTTTATGTAGTTAAGAACCATTGCTGTCAAGAAGTATTTGACAAAGTCTAATCTAAATTTCTCTTGAGCCATTTTGAAAACATGCACATATAATCCAAAATCTCATTATTATGAGCATTAGTCAGCTTATTTAAGTTCTGAATAAAGTAGTCTTAAGCTGAAGTCTGTCTTTATCCTTTTAAAAAAGAGATATTAACAAGCATTAGAAGAACCCTGAAGAGAAACCTAGTGTCTAATTCAATAAAATCTATCATATGTGGAAATCCTCTCAACCAGAAATTCAAAACACAATTTTTATTACTATACTTTATTCCTTAAAAATAGCAAATCATGGAAGCTCAGGATCTAGAGACTTACTGCTGCAGTTTGATCCCTGCCTCTGTAACTTAGCTACTGTAGGACCATGGACAAGTTACTTATCCTCCCTGCACTTAATTTTTTTTTTTCATATCTAAGATGAGGATGATAATGTACCTGTCTTCTCAGATTGTTCTGAAGATAAAATATGATAACAAACATAAAGTATGTTTATAAAAATACTTGTAATTTCATAAACATTATAAAGTTAAACTCATTAACAAGCATGTTTCTAGCTCTCCAAAAAATAGTTTCTTATGTATAAAATACTAATCTGAGCATTTTATATGCTGTATAATCCTTATAAATGCTAAATATCATTAGTTTTTTTGCAGAAGGCATACCAGGACTCAAAGATTTAAAAATATGTCCAGATTGTAATGAAAATATTAGAACTAACATTTTACATAAGAATGAAAAAATATAAAATAACTAAAATAAAGAACTCAAAGCAGGGGCTAACAGTAGATTTCATCACATCTGTGATTTCTAGGTCTACTTCTATTTATGAAGTTATCTCCTGGTTAAAGGATTATTTTTCAGCTTTGCAATTCTAATAATTTTATTATATACTGGACATTATGAATCATAAGTATTTGAATGTCTAGATTTTGTTATTTTGTTTTATTAATGATTTCGGGGGGCATTGTTTCTGTGAGCGGTTAATTTGCTTGCATATAATTTGTTTCTTTTAAGAGCTGTTTAAAGTTTCTGTAAGGAGGATCTAAAACAGCCATTAATTTGGCACTATATTAGATTTACACAAAACATACGGTTTTTAT
This sequence comes from Homo sapiens, assembly GCF_000001405.40. NCBI lineage: Eukaryota > Metazoa > Chordata > Mammalia > Primates > Hominidae > Homo > Homo sapiens. The sequence continues at coordinate 120,105,980 of NC_000005.10, forward strand.
AAGATCTCTCCCTATGCCCTGAGTATTCAGCAAGGTCTCCCTTAGTCCTTTGTATTCATGCTCTTGTAGTTATTCAGATTCTTCCTCCAGTATTTATTTTTTCATTGGCCATTGGGAGTCTTGTCCTGCAGAAGTGAAGCTTAATATTTGGCTAAATATTCAAGCAGACTGTCTGTGAAGATTTATGGAAGTCTTGCACGGCACAACTCGCTTCTTTCCCGCAATCATCCCAATCATTCCAACTGTTTCACTACCCTCGAACCCCACTTTCTGTCTCCTCAATTCAGTGAGACTGCCATACTCTTCTTTGCAACTCCCCACTACTACCACCTCCAAAAATTGTCTCTAGGAAGAAAGCCAAAGCAATCATGGAGCTTAAGTGTCTCTCGAAGCTCTCAGTTCAGTATTGTCTGTTGTACAACCTCTGAAGCAAGTTATTACATATACTTTGCCCAGCTTTACAGTTATTTATGGTGGGGGAATATGTTCAATACCAGTTACCCATCAAATTTAGAAGTGGAAGTATATATTATTAGTGTTTTTACAAATATTTTTCTCTTGTTTATTTTACGTTGATTACTTACTCATATGTTACTATTGCTCCTTAAATATAAATAATTTGGGTGAAGATAACAGTGTAGTTTAAAAGTTTGTAAGAGGCATTCAGTTTTGTCTCTAATAACTCATAGCCTAGTTCATGTTTCTTTTGATATTTACAACCGATTGTAAACACATGTGTGTATTCACATGTGTGTGTGTGTTTAACTGAAAGATGAAATAATAACTTTGAGAGCTTCAAATACTTACAGTCTATGCAAAAGAAAACTGTAAGTTTGTTTCCCTTGGTCATTGTGATATTGTGCTCCTGAATTTTCATTATGTGTGGGATTTTTACCATGCTTACCTAGAAACAAAAAAGCAATAAATGCAACATGAGCTTTGAATTCATTGTATTTTATTTGTTTTTCATTCGTTCTTCTTTTCTTCCTTTCCTCCCTCCCTTTTTCTTTCTTTCCTCTCTTTCCTTCCTTTCCTTCCTTTCCTTGCTTTTCTTGCTTTCCTTTCTTTCCTTCCTTTCCTTCCTTTTCTCTTTTCTCTTTCTTTCCTTCCTTCTTTTTCTTTTTTTTCCTATTTTCTTTCTTTAGTTTTTTCTTTTCTTTCTTCTTTCCTTCCTTCCTTTCCTTTGTTTTCCCTCCCTCCCTCCTTCTCTTTCTTTTCTTTCTTCCTTTCTTTCTTCCTTCCTTCCTTTCCTTTCCTTTCCTTTTTTCTTTTCTTTCTTTACTTTTTTCTTTTTCTTTTTTTCTTTCTTCTTTCCTTCCTTTCTTTTCCTTCTTTTTCTTTTCTTCTTTCTTTCTCTTTCTCTCTCTCTCTTTTTCCCTATTTTTTCTCTCTTTTCTTTATTTCTTTCTTTCTTCCTTTTTTTGAGACAGGGTCTCTTTCTGCCTCCCAGGTTGGAGTGCAATGGTGCAATCTTGGCTCACTGCTACCTCTGCTTCCTGGGCTCAATTGGTCCTTCTGCCTCAGCCTCCTGAGTAGCTAGGACCACCACCAGGCCTGGCTAATTTTTTGTAGAGATGGGATTTTGTCATGTTGCCCAGGCTGGTCTTGAACTCTTTGGCTTCAGAGATCCATCTGCCTCAACTTCCCAAATTGGTGGGGGTACAGGCGTGAGGCACTGCACCTGGCCTCCATAGATTTTTTTTTCTGTCATATAATAAAAAATATTATTCGTGACTGAAAGAATTTTTGTATCCTTCATTTTTCTCATTAGTTTTCAAATCAGCAGAATTAGAACATGAGTGAAGAGAATGAAGCTACAAATTAAAATAAGATAAAACATAGAAGTAAAAACCCTTTAACATTGTTAAAACAGAAAAAGTTTGATGCTTACTAATGTTCCAATATGAAAATAATATAACATCATCACCAGAATTAATCTGTTCCCTGAGTCGCACTATTGCTTTCAGATGATATATTGATGCTTTCACAGAAGTAAAATGCCATTTTCTAAGAGATATACAAATTTAGAGGATGTGATTCACTCATCTATTCAGGAGATGGTAAGAAACTTCCCTGGGCTTTATACAATCAACTGTTGTCTTGGAACCACTTCCCCTTAACACCTGAGAAACTTGAAGCAAATTGCTTAATCCCTCTAGGTCTCTGTTTTCTTATTCATACAATGGGGGATAGTAAAGTATTACATTTTAAGATTATTGGACAATTTCATTATATTTAATCTTTATCATATTTAATATGAAAATCATTTAAAAGGCATGGGGTTTTCAGGCTGTAACAATTTCAGTTTTCTCCATTCTCCTTAATAATCTTGTGCCTTTTCCTATATTCTTAGTTCCCGGGTGATATAGGTCTAAGATCTTTAGAAGTTGCTAAGCTGTGGCTACCATTAGTCTTCTGGCATATACTTGATGCCCTCTTACCCACCCCCACCCCTCATGCTTTAGATATCTCCTCTAATTAATACCTCTACCCAGTTTTTGATTAGGTATATATTTATTTCTATGTAACAAATCACTTCAGAGTTTAGTAATTTAAAACTATAACAGTCATTATTTCCTACAATATTGTGCACCAGGTATTTAAACAGGGTTCAGGTGGAGGATTGCAGAACTGGAGTCAATCATCTGTCTGGTGTTTCAGTGCTATGCCACGTGGCCTCTTCCTTTCCAATAGGGAGGTCTGGCCTGAACTTTCTTAAAGCATGGGTGGCCTCTAAGAGAATTCCAAGAGAACATACCCCAATGTGCAAGTGATTATTAATGCTCGGCTTACGTCATGCTTGCTACTATACCATTGGCCATGGAAGTCATATGGTCAAGCTCAATAACAATGTCTGGTGTCACTTATAAGAGCATAAGTACCAGGAGACATGGTTTATTGTCAGCCAGCAATGAAATAGTCTGCCATAGTGGCTATCATGGGAAATAAATAGTGTGAAAGTTAATAGCTTTTATAAATAACCCTTATACTGTAATTCAGTAACTCTTAAAATACTGTCCAAAGATGTCCAAGAGTTCAAAGGCAGCAGCTTAAAAATCCTGATGTAATTCATTGTACGAATTAGAACACTGTGTTGTAACATTTGAGGAAATACCTTTTTAATGAGAAACAAAGTGAATCACAATATAAAACTATCCTTTTCTCTCCTTGAAGACAGTGGGATGCTCTAGAATCTCAGAAAGAGAAGTCTAGTATTGGGTCTATTAAATTTATTTAGCTTATTAACAAGTGTTTATTTTTCTGGGCCTCAGTTTCCTTTTCTATAAAGTTAGACATTTGTACTGATGGTCACAAGGAACACTTCCAGCTCTGCATTTTCATGTGTTTATTAGTCTTAGTGAAATGGCTAAAGTGGTTTGAAAATGGTTTACAGTCTTCCTCAGGCAGTAGTAATGGGAAGTAATACTCTCTGGTTTTCTTTTGCCTTTCTGTGAAACGCTTATTTCACTATCAACAACCTTTGCATGAAAGAAGTTTCCGGTCACAGCTGGCCTCACTCAGCAGCACAATTTGCAATTGCAGAATCCTTCAACCAACCCAAATGCCCATCAAGAAATAAGTGGATAAAGAAACTGTGATACACACACACACACACACACACACACACACACACACACAAAGGAATACTACTCAGCCATAAAAAGGAATGAATTAATGGCATTTGCAGTGACCAGCATGAGATTGGAGACTGTTATTCTAAGTGAAGTAACTCAGGAATGGAAAACCAAATATTGTATGTTCTCACTGATATGTGGGAGCTAAGCTGTCGGTTAACAAAGGCATAAGAATTATACAATGAACTTTGGG